>NC_000016.10:26062243-26365273 GCF_000001405.40 Homo sapiens
GTCAGACAGAGCTGGTTCAACTGGTGGATCCAGTTCTAATGTGCTGTTTAATGTCCTCTGGGCCTTAGTCTTCTCATCTGTAAAATGGGGTAGTCATAACTTTGTCAACAGTGCTTGGCACTGTGATTGGGGCACATTAAGCTTTAATCAATGGGATTCTTGCCTGTTCTTCTCATCTAGATTTCTGCCATGATAACATATTGGGTGCTGTCAATCAAATGAGGACCGACTTTGCCTTATTCATCCATTTTTGATCCCAGGGATGAGACAGTTGTACCTGAACCTTGGCCCGATGCCTGCATCCTTGCCTACCTTCCTCTATTTCGGAATCATCTTCATTGCCATGCATCATGGACTATTGGTATAGTTTTTTTTTTTTTTTTAGTTTAGATATAATTCATTTATTATAAAAGGGAGGCACGAAAATTGTTTACATGATGAAAGATTTCAGAACTTCAGTGGAATGCACGAGCTCATGTTGATGCTATTTCAATAGTGATCTATTTTAGTCTACGTACTTCCCAAGAATGTCACCATCTCTAAATAAGAAATAATTCCTGTCACCTAGCACCACTTTGGTGCCTGCATATTCTGGGAGAAGAACTTTATCTCCAACTTTCACTACATATTCTGGCACCAAAGTTGGAGAAGAACTTTATCACCAACTTTCATGCTAACTGGTTGAATCTCTTCAACCTTCACTTTAGAGCCCAATCCAACAGCTACTACTGTTACTTGCAATATTTTTTCTTGAGATATTTCTGGAAGCATATGCCTTCTTTGGTTACAGTTTCAACTGCTTTCCTTTTAACCAATACTTGGCCAAAGAGCAGAATAAACTTTCTAAATGCTTGTCTGCCATGATTCCTGCCATCAAGGCTCATACATTGCTCTCATGCTGCTGATGCCAAGACACTCTGGTATCCTGTGCTGAGCTCATCCCATGAATCTCTCCATACTTCCCAGAATTTCTGGGAAAGTCTGACTTTCTCTTGTAACCCAGAGCTGGATCTAAGCATTTCTATCATCCCCAACATCTTCCTCCCCAACCCCTTCCATTGGTTGAATTATAGCCTCTGTCTGTACCCTGCTGTCCTATCCATTTTCAGCAAATGAGACCATGCTCAGCCTTGTCATGGATGTGTGATAAGGAGAAAATGAGTCTGGGCATGGTAGTTTACACCTGTAATCCCAGCACTTTGGGAGGCTGAGGTGTTTGAAGCCAGGAGTTTGAGACCAGCCTGGGCACATAGTGAGACCTTGTCTCTACTGAAAAAAAAAAAAAAGAAAAAAACCATTAAAAATTAGCTAGGTGTGGTGGTGCACACCTATAGTCCTAGCTACTTGGGAGGTTCAGTGGGAGGAGTGCTTGAGCCTAGGAGTTTGAGGCTGCAGTGAGCTATGATTGCACCACTGCACTCCAGCCTGGATGACAGAGGAAGACCCTGTCTCTTAAAAAAATAAAGAAAGAAAATGGGTAGGTGAGATGCTCACAGAACCATATTAAGCTGAGTTGGCAAGCATGTTAAAGGGCATCTGATACAACTTTTCTCTTGTGGGGAACATCCTAGCTGATTGCATGGGCCGGGGACACAGAATGTTGTTTGGATGCCAGTAATGAACCTCCAGATGCCACAAAGCCGTGGGTAACTAGTAAACTCCAGTAAATTAGGACATTCTTGTTGGTAATTAACATCCCCTACTCCCTCAGGGAAACAACTAAAACACTGTCAGGATCCACTTTCTGGAGGAAATGGCCTTAAATTAGATCTTAGGGAGTCGATTAGGTTTATGACTAAAATATATAAGAAGCTAGGTAGGTAACATAAACAAGAGAATGGGGCTAGTGTCCACGTATGTGCTGTCTGCATGTTGGGGGCTATGGTGAGCCAGACAGCACAGACCCTCTTTAAGAAACCAGCCATTGTTCATCTCTCTCCAATAGATGTCATACAGGAGGGAATGCCCAGTGTAGCCAAATCTTCCACCTTTGCAAGAGATGATGGAAATCTTTTAAACTAAACTCAGTTTTTAAATGTTAGTTACTTTTAATCCCTATCCAAAAAAAAAGTTTCCAATGCTGTCTTAATGTCCAAGGTGCTTAGGGTATAGAGGGTAGAAGGGAGGCTTGCTAGGTGTCGGGTAGACCATGAGCAAAGGCTCAGAGGGAAGACTGAGCATCGTGCAGAAGCCACAGTGAAGCACGCAGATGTCATGGAGGATTTAGGCACTGGTGGGAAAAACACAGGGTACATAGGACCAGATTAAGGAGAGACTTGAAGTCAGCCAGAGTAGTTCAGATAGATTTATGGTGTAGGCCAGGACTGGGAAGGCCTAGGAGCAGAGACAGCAGCTAGGATTGTAGTCTTTTTTTTTTTTTTTTTTTTTTTTGAGACAGAGTTTCACTCTTGTTGCCTGGGCTGAAGTGCAATGGCGTGATCTTGGCTCACCGCAACCTCTGCTTCCCAGGTTCAAGTGATTCTCCTGCCTCAGCCTCCCCAGTAGCTGGGATCACAGGCATGTGCCATCACACCGGGCTGATTTTGTATTTTTCTTGGAGACGAGGTTTCCCCATGTTGGTCAGGCTGGTCTCGAACTCCCAACCTCAGGTGATCCACCTGCTGCGGCCTCCCAAAGTGTTGGGATTACAGGCATGAGCCACCGTGCCCAGCAGGATTGTAGTCTTAATTATGTGGCTGTTCATACCATCACCACCAGTAAAGTTAATCTGAGGTTGAATTAAAATACATTCCAGATAGTATCTCATTGTGGCTTTGATTTACATTTCTTAATGATCAATGATGTTGAGCTTTTATTCATATGATTCCTCAAAGACCTAAAGACAGAAAAACCATTTGACCCAACAATCCCATTACTGGGTATATACCCAAAGGAATATAAAACATACTATTATAAAGACACATGCATGCATATATTCATTGCAGCACTATTCACAATAGCAAAGCCATGGAGTCAACCTGAATGCCCATCAATGATAGACTGCATAAAGAAAATGTGGTACATATACACCATGGAATACTATGCAGCCATAGAAAAGAATGAGGTCATGTCCTTTGCAGGGACATGGATGGAGCTGTAGGCCATTATCACTAGCAAACTAACACAGGACAGAAAACCAAATACCATATGTTCTCACTCATAAGTGGGAGCTAAATGATGAAAACACATGGACACGCAGAGGGGAATGACACACACTGGGGCCTTTCAGAGGCTGGAGGGTGGGAGGAGGGAGAAGATAAGGAAAAATAGCTAATGGGTAGTGGGCTTAATACATGGGTGATGAAATAATCTGTACAACAGACCTGCATAACACATGTTTACCTTTGTAACAAATCTGCACTTGTACCCCTGAACTCAAAATAAAAGCGAAAAAAAAAGATAAAAATAAAATATGGTCCAGTAAGTTTGGACAGTCAGCATAGACTACACCACAAAGTAAGAGATAAAGAGGGAGAGGAGGCAAAATGATGTGCATGAATTTCAACATTTATTGAGAGTTCTTAGTTTCTAAGCTCTGTACACCAGCCTAGTCACAGGAGATTGAATATAAGTAAGAAGTGAATCACACCTTAGACTACTGACAATCTAGATGGAGAAATTCAGATAGAGGAAAATTAGAGATCAAGTTCCAAAACCTTGCACTGGCTTCTTAGTTGTGATAGAAAAGAGCAAAACAGGACAACAAAATAATTGTCTACATCACGTATACGTTAATAAGACACATGTCTGCCCATTTTTATGGCATTATGTTACTCAAAAGAGGTGGACATGAGATCCATACAGCTGCCCGTTGTATGATATGCCATATCTTTACAATCTTGTAGAGAAGAGTGGTCTTCACTATGAATCCTAAAATGCAAGGCACGAGTAAGACCACTCAATAGGAGACTTGCTTTGTAAGTGATTTGCTTACGACATGAACACCTGTATGTGGGGTAAAAGCAGAGATGGTTAAGAGTTTTACAAACAGTACAAGGGGTATGAGCTAATTATTAGATAAAGGAAGTCCTACATGTCTATCATATAAAACTTATTTTTCTTGGCCGAAAGTTTTTAAAAAGGAATTTGTAAAGAGGTGGGAGGAACGGTATTCTCTCGCAAGAGAGATGGAACATTTTAATGATGTTATTGAGAGCAAGACTATTATCACTGCATCATTTTGTACTATCTGATATTTGAGGAAATGAAATATTCTACATAAGAAATGAACAAAGGCGAAAAGTTTTAATCTGTTCCCCGTTCAGTCCCTTCCTTCTTCTTTCCTTCTCTCCCTCTCTTCTTTTCTTCCTCTTTCCATCTACTCATTCTCTGAGCATCTGCAAGAAACCTGGGTGATTTCCAACACACACCTGTCACTTAGGTAAATGAGACTCACCACCAGCAGCTGCAGTGTTGAGACACTTGAAAGGTTAATTACAGAAAGACAGTGTGCAGAAGAGCAGGTAGAATAAAGTGCTGAATTTCTCCTGCCTAATTGTCACCACAGAATTCCACACGATTTCTTGCATCTCACTTTAGAATGAGAGCCTCACTCTACATTCTTTCTATGACCAAAGGAAGGAGATCCCTTTGCAGTATGCAATGCTCAGGACATCTGTTCTGTGGACATTAGTTCTATATATGGAATGAATTCCTGTGGGGTTGTGTAGGCATCAGCAAATTTTATGTAGTAAATAATCATTGGCAGGGTCTGTGCTGTGGAACAGGACTGCAGATACAGATAAAGTCATATGAGGACTCCCAGGAGCTAGATCAGGTAGGAAAGTCCTTGTAAGTGCATGGGAATTTGACAGGTAGAGGGGATTAAGCACCATTTTTTAGGCTGCACTGGTTGCCCAGAGGGGTGGTTTGTCCCTCATCATCTCTACTTAACAACACTTCCACACCTCCTCCAAACAAATTGCAATTGAAATAAAAATAAAATATCTAAACGTGCTTCCTGTGCAAATATTATTTTCAGACAAAGTCTCCCGCTCTTAGTCCAACAAAATAGCTGCTTCCAACCACTTCCTAGAGAGAAGTTCTGAATCAGCATTGATTCTCTGTCCCTCCTCATTTTGAATGCATAATCTGAGCGCTAAAATAATAGCGTCATCCATTGCTCCCCTTCTCTGCTAGGTCATGTCCCAAGGGAGACATGACCAAATTAGTGAAAACAATTTGGTGTCAAAGATATTTGGGTGTAACTTTTCTCTGCCACTAATTGAGTTTGTGACCCTAAGTATAGCATTCCCACCACCCCCCACCCCAGCCACCCCTGTGCCACCTCACTGATTCTGTTTTCTCTTTTGTAACTTGGGAAAATGAAATTGTCCTCCCAGGGTTGATGTTAAATAAAGTCAAGAAAAATTGCTGATGGCACTAACTAATAATTAGGGAAGTTCAGCTTTCTTTACATCTCCAGAAAAGACAACATCCCTGATATGGTTTGGCTGTGTCCCTACCCAAATCTGGAACTGTAGCTCCCATAATTCCCAGGTGTCATGGGGAGGAGCTGGTGGGAGGTAATTGAATCATGAGAGCGGGTTTTTCCCATGCTGTTCTCATGGTAGTGAATAAGTTTCACAAAATCTGTTGGTTTTATAAAGGGCAGTTCCCCTACACATGGTGTCTCTTGCTTGCCTGCCACCATGCAAGACGTGACTTTGCTCCTCCTTTGCCTTCCACCATGATTGTGAGGCCGTCCCAGCCGTGTGGAACTGTGAGTCACAATTGAAGCTCTGTCCTTTGTGAATTACCCAGTCTTGGTTATGTCTTTATTAACAGCATTAGAACAGACTAGTGCAATCCTGGAATAGACATAGACTGTGCTTCACTTTCAAATATTCAAACTCTGTACAACTTGAATGCACATACTTTGCATATCTACCTCTATAACCCTTCAACATGTATGCCAAAGGTGTATTTTCCTCCTCCTCTTAATTCACATTTACTGAGCACTTACTGGGGATAGACATTATTCTAATCAGTCCACACAGATTAACCCAATCCCCTGAGGAAGACATTGCCACATTCTGTGACCCTAATATGCTATCAGTTGTAGGACACAAAATTATTTTATATTTGACTGTGACATGGCATCAATGATGTGGTACCCCAAATGTCAGCTATATTAAAAAGTTTAACGTAGATCTTAGGATCAATAAAATAGAGTAATATTCTAGCCTCATTTTACAGGTGAGGGTTCTGAGCACCATAGACATCAAGGGTCTTCCCCAAATTTACATAACCAGTCAGAGTGTGAAAGAAAATTTGAACCTAAGCCATCTGACTTTGAAGTCCACACTTTTAATCACCTCCCTAAACTTCCCCTCTCCATTCAGTAGGTGAATGAACATTTCAGGTAATTTCATCTCCGACCTCAATTATATGCCCTTTGGGGCTCAAGTGGTCGTTTGACTTTTCTGTTTTAAAGGAAGGGGATGAAATTAAAGAACAAGTACAAAATCCTGAAAATACATCCTTGGAAACTGTATCTAACATACGAGATGTATTTTGGCCTTTTTTGATATTGTTTTGCTCTCTGGAAGCCAAATGCCTTTTAATATGTAGGTGAATTGTTTGATTTTTGCATGTCCAACTTATGTGTATGATTTCAAGGATGTTTTATATGTAAATGTTGGCATCTTGATACACTGTTTGCAAAAATGACCCCAATTCTCCACTTCTGCCAATATCTATATTATTTATTTATGTATTGTGTTTGAGACGGGGTGTTGCTCTGTCGCCCAGGCTGGAGTGCAGTGACTCAGTCACAACTCACTGCAGCCTCAACCTCCTGGGTTCAAGTGATCCTTCTGCTTCAGCCTCCAGGATAGCTGGGACTACAGGCACATGCCACAATGCCCAGCTAATTTTTGCATTTTTTGTAGAGACAGAGTTTCGCCATGTTGCCCAGACTGGTCTCAAACTCCTGGGCTCAAGTGATACAACTGCCTCAGCCTCCCAAAGTGCTGAAATTATAGGCATGAGCCACTGCACCCAGCCCACATTCCTTAAAATGGGATGTTGCAGCCTCTTCCAACAAGAAATGGTATCTATTTCTACACCTTGTAAATCTGGGCTGGCTATGTGCCTTGCTTTAGTGAACAGAAGGTGGTGGAAGTGATCACTTACCAGTTCTGAACCCAGGCACCAAGGGGTCTTCTGAGATTAGGCTTTCTTTTGGAACCTTGCTCCTCCATAAAAGCACATCCAGGGTAACCTGATGGAGGATGAAAGACTACATGGAACAAAGTCAAGTAATCGCGGTTGATGCCTTCTTTTTTTTATAGTAAATTCTTTTATATATATATATTTTTTTTTATTATACTTTAAGTTCTAGGGTACATGTGCACAACGTGCAGGTTTGTTACATATGTATACATGTGCCATGTTGCTATGCTGCACCCATTAACTTGTCATCTACATTAGGTATATCTCCTAATGCTATCCCTCCCCCCTCCCCCCACCCCACAACAGGCCCTGGTGTGTGATGTTCCCCTTCTTGTGTCCAAGTGTTCTCATTATTCAATTCCCACCTATGAGTGAGAACATGCAGTGTTTGGTTTTTTGTCCTTGCCATAGTTTGCTGACAATGATGGTTTCCAGCTTCATCCATGTCCCTACAAAGGACATGAACTCATCATTTTTTATGGCTGCATAGTACTCCATGGTGCATATGTGCCACATTTTCTTAATCCAGGCTATCATTGTTGGACATTTGGGTTTGTTCCAAGTCTTTGCTATTGCGAATAGTGCCATAATAAACATACGTGTGCATATGTCTTTACAGCAGCATGATTTATATTCCTTTGGGTATATACCCAGTAATGGGATGGCTGGGTCAAATGGTATTTCTAGTTCTAGATCCCTGAGGAATTGCCACACTGTCTTCCACAATGGTTGAACTAGTTTACAGTCCCACCAACAGTGTAAAAGTGTTCCTATTTCTCCACATCCTCTCCAGCACCTGTTGTTTCCTGACTTTTTAATGATCGCCATTCTAACTGGTGTGAGATGATATGTCATTGTGGTTTTGATTTGCATTTCTCTGATGGCCAGTGATGATGAGCATTTTTTCATGTGTCTGTTGGGGGCATAAATGTCTTCTTTTGAGAAGTGTCTGTTCATATCCTTCATAGTGGCCAGCTCCCAGCTGCAGACGTCAGAACAAGCCTAGCTGAAATCCTGGGAGCATAGCCCAGATAATATAACCTGCACTTGGCACAGTTCAGCAAAACTTCCCAGCCAACCCACAGACTCATAAGATAAATAAATGGCTATTGTTTACAGTCACTAAGTTTTCAGACTGTATGTTATACAGCGTCTTAGAGATTTGGCAACCAAGCAAAATGATGGAACATCTCTTGGGTAATGTAAAAATTTCCTGGATGATCGTTCACCCTAGAAGGATGCTTTACATGTACTTTTGCATTGAAAACTTCCCTATTGAAACAACTCCATTTTCTGTATATCCAGTTGCTATAGCAACCTGATACTTTTGTTCTCTGCTCTGGTCTTCCTGATCATATCACTTTGCAGTTAGTCAACACGTTGTTGGAACCTTGGTTGTTATGGTAACCTGGGACCATTTTTTAAAAAAGGCATTCCATTGACATTGTTTTTGAGGAGACCTGCGATTTAGTCTCCTACTCATCTGGAGAAACTTGTGGTACAGAGCAGAAAGCATTTCAGGAAATGCTCCTCTGGGGAGACATTCTTCATTAAAGCCTCCTTCCAGAAACCTCAGACATTCTGTGCTTTTATGAATTTTTCCTATTTAAATGCCTCTCAGAATTTTGGTGAATTGCAAAGTGTGTTTTAAAAAGTCCTAAAAGAGGCTGAATTGCTAATAGAAAACATGTGTAGCTGAATTGTCATTAATTATGCATGAAGCCCTATAGGCGTCCCTACACGAGCTCCACAAACCCTGGAGATGCAATTCTTTGTGATGCGAGGAGGGAGCACATAAAACAGAACCCACTATGAAAACATCCTTGAGAGGAGGTGAGGGGTGAGGGAGAAAGGGGTCAGGTTTGGAGGATGATGGGGAAGCGGCTGTAGAAATTAGGAGTCCGTGGGTGCGGGGTTGTGGTGAAAAGTGCTGTTTTAGGACTGAAGAAGGAGGACAGGAAGCAAGGGGTTGAGGAATCTAAGTCCAAGGCAGACTCTAGAGGGAAAAGGAAGTATTTCAGTGCTTCAAGACATCTCAATTTTTGAGAAGCTCAGGGCACTTGCATTTTCTGAGGCTTTGGTTATATTAAAAAATCATGACATGCCAAAACAAGGTTATAAATGGTGGCATCTGTCCACTGCTTACATTTAGTGCTTTTACTAATAAAAATGTGATGCAATAGAGTCGCACTGTTTACATGATGATTAGAAGATTTATTTTAAAATACATGCATTAGTCACACACCAAAGGTCGGTTGCAGGACTCAAGTGTGAGGCTGTAGGAATACACCAGGGCTGGAACCATAATGAGGAAAGTGAAGTGCCTAGGGTATAACATTGAAGGGAGCGCTCACTCTCAGGATCAGACTTGTTTCAATTTTGTAACCTAGGTGCTTCACTTGCCTCACCCTAGGCCCTCCCCTGGAATGCACCTTTTCTTCTACCTGTCATGTTAGCATATAACTAAGTGCATCATCGCATTTGGAACACTCACGAGGGGTCTCAAATTGGAGCCAACTGGAAGCATATGACTTGGGCCAAATGACTCTCCCATCTTCTCCTCCGATGGGCCCTTCACATCTATGAAGTAGCCTTTCCCTATCTTTGGATTTTGATGCAGCTGAAGGAAGGATCATTACACATGAAGGGGAGAATAGTTTGAGAAAGTCAGCAGAGAGTCATGTGAAACTTCGGCACCAGGAGGCTTGGGTTCTGGGTCCATAAGGGGCCACTTACTTGTTGTGTGGCCTTCAGCAAATGCCTTTCCTTTCTGGGCCTCTGTGTTCTCTGCTCTCAGAAAACATTTGAATGAACTATTTGTTAGGCTTATTCTGATTCAGACTCCGTAGGATTCTAGATGAGGGGGTCTTATCTTTTAGGAGAGCAAGCCAATCTAGAAGAGGGATGTTCCGTCTTCTACCTGCTGTCTGGAATTGTGTACTCTGGCTGATGAGCTGGTGATAGCTTTGGTGTGGGACACGGAGCATCAGAATTGGTACCCAGCATCAGACCAGGAATCTCTAGAGCCCTGTAATTGGCAGGGATATATGCATGGTGGTGGTCTCAGTCTTAGAAATTTAAGATGGTGCCTAAAACAGGATAACATCCCATTTTTATACATGATAGTCAGTATAGTGCAGTGGCTAAAGGTGTGTTTTTGCACCCAAGACAACTCTTTAGAAATATTTTTCTTCAGTATTTTAGGTTGTCTTTAGATGGACAATCAGTTTTTATATTTCTTATTTTGTGGTTATCACACTTTAAAATCTTTGAGTTATTTTTTGTGTACAATGTGTATTTTATGATAAGATCCTAGAATAGTAATGTAACACTAGTGCTTTGTCCTGTAACTTTTCCATGAAAACAAGACATTTAGTTTGAAGAAAATCAGAAAAATTTAGAAAACTCTTATTGTCTAGTTACTAAGAGACACTTTCAAGATCATTGAGTTTGGTGATTCTGACGACTTGTTCATGTTGAGCCAAAAGTTGTTCATTGTAGTAGAAAAGTAAATCTCTACAAAAAATAAATCTGCTTAAGTAAAGCATCCTTTAAAAAGAGAAAAGAGCCTGTTTATGAAATGGAGCAAAACATGATGAATTATCTAATGAGCTTAAATGAGTTAATACATGCCAAGACTTAGAACAGTGTCTAGCACATAGTAAACAGCATTACCATTCTTACTATTTTTCAGTTTCTTTAATCAACAAACATTTATTGAGCACTTCCTCTGTGCCTGACAATGTGCTGAGCATGTTAGATGCACCATTTTATGCCAATTTCACAGCAGCCTTTAGAAAGAATGCAGCCCCCTCTTACAGGGACATTGGATATTAGTGTCAATGATGAGGTTGAAATTTGTGTAGTCAGAATTACTCTTGAAAACTTTTTCAGATTAGGCAAATTTGGAGATCTATCATGCTTCAAGAGTTCAGATCTTTTCTTTTCTTTTCTTTTCTTTTCTTTTTTTTCTGTGACAGGGTCTCACTCTGTTACCCAGGCTGGAGTGCAGTGACGTGATCTTGGCTCACTGTAGCCTTGACCTCCCAGGCTCAGGTGACCCTCCCACCATAGCCTCCCAAGTAGCTGGGACTACAGGTGTGCCATCATGCGTGGCTAATTTTTTGTATTTTTGTAGAGACAGGGTCTCACTATGTTGCCCAAGCTGGTCTCAAACTCCTGGGCTCAAGTGATCCTCCCTCCTCGGCCTCCCAAAGTGTTGGGATTATAGGCGTGAGCCACCGGTCCTGGTCAGAACTTTTAATATCTAAATACCTTTAAAGCATCACACGCACTGTAGGTATCATTACATTTGTTTGCTATTCTGTCAAAGAGATAGTGCAGTATTGGGGATATGGTACCAAATATCCTGGGTTTGAATTTGGTTTCTGACAGTTGCTACCTGTGTCACTTTTGGGTGGATGCCTTATTGCTTCTAGCTTCTGAGTATCTAGTTTTCTCTACCTCTCGGGTTACCACAGGACTGAATAAGACAAAGTGTAATTATTTATGTTGTAAACTCCAATGTACTACTTGAATATTACTATAAAATTATAGCAATTGGTAGAGAAGCCCGTGTTTGTACCATCAAGACCTTGCATTATTTTCCCAGGTTTGATTATTCTTACCGAATGTGTTGGTAATCCCCCTCAGCCTTCCGGTTTCCGAACAAAAAGCCTTCCACTTACATGAAGGAGCATTTCCAAGCGGCTCCCTCCGTGCCCCACATCATTATACTCAGGACCCTCTGAGGGCAGGAAACCTGTAGCTTCCCTGCAGCTTTCAGTAGTGTTTCCCTTTTATCTTCCAAAATGAAAATTCTGCTCTAAATCTCACATCAGGTACAGTTGTCTGGCTAAACCATTCACAAACAATTTTTTTTTCTGTTTCTTACGGCTGGAAAAGCTTAATATGTTTCCAGCCATCTTTGCAAACTAGGCAGGGACCTTGTGGCATGTTCCGGATGTTGAGAGGTAAGCATACATTTATTGGGGGCTGGGAATGCTTTTGACTTCTTGATAAAGAGATGTGAAGGGCCAATGCCACTTCCATCTATCCATCCTTCTTCCTGTTCGAATGTCGCTGTGATGTCTGGAGCTGGAGCATCCATCTGGCAGTGAGTGATAGGTACCAAAGACAAAAGCCAACATACTACAAATGATGGAGTGGGAAAGAGAAAGGGCTGGTTCCCTATAATACATTGTTTATTTGCTGAATATTTTCCTATCATTCTGAATATACACATTTTTTTTTTATGTTTGGCATCCATTCAAACAAAGCCTTATCTCTCAGGCTCGACACACAATGCAATGTATTACCTGGCCACTCTGACTTTCTAATTTTATCTCCTGCCTGCTTTCCTGTAACTACCATGTTCTCTATATATGTGAATGCACATGCCCCGACTCTGAGCTTCAAGCAAGCTTTTCACTTTGGGGGGTGCCTGTCCCTGTTTTCTTTGTCTGACTAACTTTAACTTAAAACTCACACCGGCAAGGCATGATGGCTCTCATGCCTGTAATCCCAGCACTTTGGGAGGCTGAGGCAGGTAGATCACGAGGTCAAGAGATCGAGGCCAGCCTGGCTGACATGGTGAAACCCTGTCTCTACTAAAAATACAAAAATTAGCTGGGCGTGGTGGTACGCGCCTGTAGTCCCAGCTACGCAGGAGGCTGAGGCAGGAGAATCGCTTGAACCCGGGAGGCAGAGGTTGCAGTGAGCCGAGGTGGTGCCAGTGCACTCCAGCCCGGCAACAGAGTGAGACTCTGTCTCAAAAAAAAAGACTCACACCATGTGTCATTAAGTTGAGAAAACTCTTCCAGACCAACCCTTTTCCTGAGTCTCTCCTGCAATATGGGCTAGCCAACCTCCTGGGTGGTTGCAAAGCACCTGTTCATATCTCCCATAGTACTCAGAGCACTCTATGACCATCATTAACAAGTCTCTCCCTCTTATTAGGTAGTAATTACCCGAGAACAGGGGCAATGCTGTATTTCTAGCACTCAACTTGGAGCCGATCCAATAATCAATGCTCAAGAAAGGTTTGTTGAAATGATGAATGAATAACAGAGTATTTTCCATTGGAATTTGTTATTTCTACTTATGGATCTAACAGGAGCCATGCATACCTCATTGCAGGATGTGGTCTTTTGCAGTTTTCTACAAATAGTGTGTAGACTTTGGGGAACATGGCAGTAAACTGGATAGAAGTGCACAGGGAATAATTATACCATGAGCCTTACATCCTTTTCTCAGCTGGCTGGGGTATAAATATGCTTGGAATCCGTTTTTCTTAAATACATTGCCTGATACATTCCCAAAGAACATTCCCATGATTCTCAAACGCCTCAATTATTCATCCATGCCAGCCTGGTTTTTCAATACTAGAAAGAATACATTATCTGCTGCAATATTGGACATCCCCTTTTTTGAAATAATTTTCAATACCTTAAACTTAGTTAGTCTCAGCATTCCTCCTTGGGATGTCTATGAAGCTTATATATTGTCAACTACAAATTTAATAGTTTGTCCCTAGCCTTTGTTTTCCGAGTATAATCCATTTCTCCATCAATGACACACAGAAAAAAGAAAAAATAACTCTCTTCAACCTTCACCACTAGTCAGTCCCAGACCAGCCAATTTTATGGATCTACTTCAAATTATTGCACCTTCTTAGAATTCTTGGTTTTATCGGTGTCTATGGCTTGAGCATACAAGCTCTGTTAAAGTACAAAGCACTTGAAGGTACAGATGATATACTAACAGCAGGAATAACGTGAGAGAGAGGCATAATGTGCTTGTAGCTGTGTGGGTTCAATGCAGAGGGAGACAGGCATCCTGGCAATTCAGTAGGAGCACGGTGTTTAGGTTAACTTGGCTAAAGCAGTGACTTTGAGTGTACTCAAACAATCTAGCTGGTTAAGCTAGACTTGCTGTGCCTGAAAGATCACATTCAGGTAGGCTGAGGTATTGGCATTAATTGAAGTGTTAATCTAGCAAGGAGTGTCTTAGGCTCATTATTACTACAAGAATGCCTGCAGTGAAAAAAGTGGGATTGGAAGAAACTACCCCAGCCAATGAGCATAAGGTGGGGGATAAGGGTTGGGAGCTAAGGAAGCATAGTGATTAAAACATGGGCTTTAGAATTAGAACAATTTTTGGTTCTCCCACTCACTACCTGGGTAGATTTGGTTAGCTGGGAAAGAAACTAGCAGTTTCTTCATCTCTGAACTGGGAAAATCCTGCCATGAGGATTAATTGAGGTAACCAGAATTATACCTCAATTGATAGCAGCTTCTGGGGTATGAGGATGGTAGGAAACAGAAGTAGCCACTGCTTGTAAGAGTTCATAGAGTAGGCACTCTGAATTCCTTAGAAATTGTTCAGAGTGGTTAAGGATTCATGCATTCATGCACATTTTCTTTCAGCCACACTGGCCACTTTGTGATTTGCTGAATCTCCCTTTCCCAAATACAGGTGCCTCAGAGTCTTGACATTACTATTCTGTTTTCTGGGAACACTCTTTATCTTGGTGTTGCAGCTAGCTAGTGCTGCATAACAAAATGTCCCAAAACTTTGTGATTCAGAACAATACTGGTATATTATTCCTCATGTTTCTGTGGAGAGGCTCTTCTGCTCTACTCACCTGGGTTCATTCATGCAGCTGCAGTCCTCCCACAGTCCATGGTGCCTCACTCACTTGACTGGCCACTGGTCTGGCTGTTCACTGGGCCACCTCAGTCTCTTTGCATCATGGTGGTCCTGGGGTTCCAAGATGGTGAACAAAAGCAGGAACTGCAAGGCCATTTAGGGCCCAGGGTCAGAGACAGGCATAAAACCATTCTCCTACATTCTATTGGTCATGTTTACTTTATGTGACATTGCTTTGATCAGTAGCAAACCCAGATTCAAGGAGACAGGGAAATAGGCCCCACCTCTTGGGAGGAACAGCCACATCATGTTGATAACAGTCTATGGTATCTGGATATCAGCATGGCTCTCTGCCCCTGTCTTTCAGCTCCTGATCACCTTTTACAATAGGCTGTATTGCCGTCATGCTTTCTTGTAGGAGCAAAAGTTAACCCCTTGTTCCACTGTGCTTATTGAGCACTTATTGCCACCTGACATGTTACACGTTTATTTGTGATATTCCAAAAAGTCCCCTTTTGGAATATCAGCTCCATGAAAGCAGGAACTTCATTGGTTTGTTCACTGCTGGATGTCCAGTTCCCAGGCTAATGGTATCCTGGGGACCCAGTGAGTATTGGTAGCATGCATGAATGCAGTCAATACAAAGGACATTTATGTAGATATGATTAAAGGGATGTTTATCTTAAGCATTTTCAATAAGCCTCAAAAATGAACCGTGTGGTTGGGCACAGTGGCTTATGCCTATAATTCCAACACTTTAGGAATCTGAAGCAGGAGGATTGCTTGAGGCTAGGAGTTTGAGACCAGCCTGGGCAACATAGCAAGACCCTACCTCTAGAAATAATTAAAAAAGAGATTAGCCAGGCTTGGCGGTACACACCTGTAGTCCTAGCTCCTAATGTGGGAGGATCACTTAAGCCCAGAAAGTTGAGGATGCAGTGAGCTATGATTGTGCCACTGCACTGCAGTGTGGGTAACAGAACAAAACTTGGTTTCAAAAAATATGTAAAAAAATGAACAGTGTCTGTGTCACTGTGGGCTGGGATGTGAAAGCTGTTTGTGCTTTATTTTATTTATTTATTTATTTTTGAGATGGAGTCTCACTGTGTCCCTCAGGCTGGAGTGCAGTGGCATGATCTCGGCACACTGCAAGCTCTGCCTCCCAGGTTCATGCCTATTCTTCTGCCTCAGCCTCTGAGTAGCTGGGACTACAGGCGCCCACGACCACATCCAGATAGTTTTTTTGTGTGTGTATTTTTTAGTAGAGACAGGGTTTTACCATGTTAGCCAGGATGGTCTCGATCTCCTGACTTCGTGATTCAGCCGCTTCGGCCTCCCAAAGTGCTGGGATTACAGGCGTGAGCCACCGCACCCAGCCTGTTTGTGCTTTATTTTTTTAAAGAAATAGACCCATGCACATGGCCCAAATCCTAAATGTGTATTTATTAGCTGGCAGCAGCAGGTTTTGTGTGGTCTTATTAGAAAGGATTGGCTGCTTTGATTTAGTAATGTGCAAGAGGATTGGGCTTCAGAGGGCTTAAAATTATTTTCAGCATTAAACACGGTATATCTGAGCTCATGCATCTAGTCTTGAATATAGATTCCCAGACCAGAAAGATTATAAGACATTAAATCTATGTAAATTCAACTATTAATTTATGTTTGAACAAATTCAACAAGAGATTTGACTTGGGGGCTTACAGGCAAATAGATTTGGTTGGGAAAAATGCATATTGCAGTCTTTAACCACGATGCTGTATTTCCCTTGAAAATTCCACGGCTGAATGAATCTCTAACAGGTCACAGTTGAGAGCCCAAGCAATTATGCCAGAATGTGTTAATAATAAAACAGGAAAACGACAGTGTTTGTCTTGTAGAAGGATGAAAGCAGCTGTTGGTACCAATTCAGAAAAATGAGAACGGAACAGTAGGCTCTCATTGTTTGTGGTGCTTGGCAGGAAGAAAAGAAGGGGCTCTTCCCAGGAACTTCTCAGCCCAACACTTTCTCAGGCCCCTTTGCTGGTGACCAGTACTGTGGGTGCCACTGTCAACATTTCACTCGGTGACAGAGGCAGGCAGATATAGTTTACAAGGCTACCCTGAGCAGGCGCCTGGGATGCCCGAGACATAATAAACGAGCTGCCTCTGCACGATAAACGACAGCTGTGACTGAAGGAATAAACAGAATAATCTGGACTTATAGAAGCCACAGGGGGCTTTTGGCAGCATGCAAATGCACAAACTTATCAAATGTATCCTTTGAAAATGAAGAGCTCATTTAAAGCTGGCAGTCAAGGAAAAGTAGTCAAGCTTGTATTCTTGAATACATTTAGGAGCAAATGCTGGCAGGACTGCCTGGAAGCCCTGTAGCTTCCCTGGGTCTAGTAATAATAACAGTAACGATAATAATAACAACAGCAAACATTGATTGCATCCTTACTATTTATCAGGCACTTTGTATGCATTATGCCATTTAAACATCACAATCACATTAGTATTATAAGGCACCATTATTATCCCTGTTATACAAATTCAGTAAACTGAGGCTCAGAGAAGTTAAGTAATTGTCCAAAATTATCAGTCCAAAAAGTTATCGGTAGCAGAGCAAGGATTTGAACTGAGGCAGAACCTCTGCTGCTATAGGCAAAGCCATTCACATTAAAGAGGAAGGAAGGGAAGCTTCCTTTTGAGGACTGTGCATCTAGATCTGCCACCTGTCTCTGTTCTCGACTCTATTTCAGACAGTCTTAAAGGCTTTAGCACGGGAGCGGACTTAATGGAGGAAGTCAATGTAAACATGGATAGTAATGGGATCCGCTACTTTCTGAGCGCAATGGTCAGGCATGTTTTGGGGAGCCAATATTCATGATCTCATTTGATCTCTACAATAACTCTACCAAAAAAAGAGGTCCCATTGATAGCCTGGTTTTAAAGATGAGGACGCTGAAGCACAGATAATTCAAGTATCCTGGGGAGAAATTGGAAGAAAGGAAATTTGAACTTATCTGTCTGACAGCTCAAATACTATTACTCTTCAGAAATGCTCTTCACCTCTGCTTGGAGAGCTCCACCCACCTTGCTCAACGTGAGGTTCGAGGAGTCAGGACAGATTAGCTAGCTCCTTCCTTCCTTCCTTCCGTCCCTCACCAACCAACACTTTTAGGAGACATACTTTTGCCTCCTTTGCTGCTAGAAAATGGCAGCACAGAAAAGAATAAAATTAGTCCCTACCTTCAAGTTTTGATTGATCTTTCATTACCTGCCCATTTGTGGAATGAACAAATGAATGAATGGATACCTGGTGAAAGCCTGAGGACGGACAGATCAGATAGCTAAAAGTTTTAGGGACCTGACTTAAATTTGTTTCCCCTGAAAGCAGCCCCTGAAAGAATGGTGTGATAACAAGTGGTTCACTTAAGTACTGATCCCAGGAAACACAAATAGAGGCATGGAAGTTAGATAGAGAAGGCAGGAAAGCAAATGGCAAATGCACTATCAAGCAGGTCACCAGTGTGGGCAACGGAAACATAATTCCATTGAGAAACTCAGGGAGACACAGTGGAGAATGTCTCAGGGCTACTCCAGCCAAGGGACAAGGGAGCTGAGGGATGTATTCACAATACACTTCAGTCACTGGTGGATGACTGCTCCCGCGGAGCATTAACTCTAAGGTACCTCCATTTTGCATAAACCCAACATGCTCCAGCAGCCAGAGAAAGACCTCAAGCAGAGAGTTACAGATGCCGGTTGTTGCTACTGATCAGGTTTGCTTTAGTGGGAATGGTGAGATTAGAGGACCTGGGTGGTGGATTGGATCAACAGCATCTGCAACATCTTGCTCATCAAAGTGCGTCCACGGACCAGCAGCTAAGAGCTTGTTGGAAATATACAGTCAGACTCCACCCCAGCCTTACTGAGTCAAAATCTGAATTTAGGCTGGGCACAGTGGCTTACACCTAAAATCTCATCAACTTTGGAAGGTCAAGGCAGACAGATCACTTGAGCTCAGGAGTTTGAGACCAGCCTGGACAACATGGTGAGACCCCATCTCTACTAAAAATACAAAAATTAGCTGGACACTGTGGCGTTTTCCTGTAGTCCCAGCTATTTGGGAGGCTGAGGCAGAAGAATCACTTGAGCCCAGGAGGCAGAGGTTGCAGTGAGCTGAGATTTCATCACTGCACTCCGGCCTGGGCAATGGGAGTGAAATCCTGTCTCAAAAAAAAAAAAAAAAATTCAGATTTAACACTATCCCTAGATAATACCTAAACACATCAAAGTTAGAGAAGCACTGAGCCACAGGATTTTGTTTTTCTAAATATAGTAATTCACTCAACAGATATTTACTGAGAATCTCCAAGGTGCCAGGTACTCTGTGAGGTGCTGAAGAGTCAGGGATGGAAAAGTCCCAGGCTGGGCCCCTGAGGAGTTTATGCAAGTGGAGGCATTTCAAATCCTGTGCAGTCTGTCCATTGATAAAGTAAGTATATAATGTCTTAGAAGATTCACTGTGGGGCATAAAACTCTGCTCAGGCTCACAGGATTGACAATGTCTAAACTGAGCCCTTAAAGACCAGGAGAAATTATCCAGGTGAAGAAATAAGAATGTTTTAGTTAGAGGAAATAGGGTGTATCAAGACCTGGAGGCCAGGAAGAGAACAAGCCACTTAGGAACTGCCGGTAGAGGTAGACCCCATGTACTTCAGGGAGTACATTCTTTTTTTTTTTTTTTTTTTTTTTTTTGAGATGAAGTTTCACTCTTGTTGCCCAGGTTGGAGTACAATGGCATGATCTTGGCTCACTGCAACCTCTGCCTCATGGGTTCAAGTGATTTTCCTGCCTCAGCCTCCCGAGTAGCTGGAATTATAGGGATGCACCACCATGCTTGGCTAATTTTGTATTTTCAGTAGAGACAGGGTTTCACCATGTTGGCTAGGCTGGTTTCGAACTTCTGTCCTCAGGTGATTCACCCGCCTTGGCCTCCCAAAGTGCTGGGATTACAGGCATGAGCCACCGGACACGGCCGGGAGTGCATTCTTTGAAATGGGAGGAGAGGTGGAAAGTAACTGAATTTCGTAGGAGTTTTACAATAGAGCCTCTATGGAGATGTGTTCTGGGCATCCTCTTCTGTCAATCACCTTTACGTTCCCTTACAATTATTCAAACCACAACATGACTACAACCATTCTTCAAAGAGCCACACTTCCCAGGCTGCAGTTGCAACTACGTGGTCTTCTGTTATTTCTCAGTGGCTTGCTGCCTTTACCCTCTGTTTCTTTAACCATTTACTTAAAGGTGTCTTAACTCTTCCCTTCTCTTCCTGAGACACTCTTGTCTACCTTTTAGATCATCACATATTTAAGGGAGCAAGTGATAGGATCAGAGAGACTGGGTTTTGAGTCTAGACTCCACTGTTACTCACTTGGGCACATTACCTAACATTTCTGCACCGTTATGTCCTCATTTGTAAATAATATTATGGTAGACATTACTCATGAATACCATATTTTCCTGTTTTCTCCTGGTACACTTCAAGCTTCCTTGAAATTAGGCGTGGTCATGTGACTTGTTTAAATCAATTAAAAATGGTACATGCTGCAGATGTTAAGAGCTGATACCTGATTTTCCATTCTCCCCTAACCTGAAGCAGCAAACCTAGAGCTTTGTTTCAATGGTGGCTTCATTAGATGACAGAGCATCCGTCATCCTGGAATTCCAGGTGCCAACTTCATGGAGCAACCTTACCTCCATCCCCTTGCATCTTACCAAGTGCATTGTCCATGTTATAGAAACAAGAAATAAACCTTTGTTGTTTTAAGACACTGAGGTATGAGGATTGGTGGTTGCTACAGAATAACTTGACCTGTTCTAACACAAGCATCCATCACAGGGGTTTGTCGTAAGAATGGGATGGGATAAGCATTTATGCAGTGCCAAGCACATAGAAAATGCTCAATGAGTGGAAGCCACTGTTAATGATATTCAAGGCCAAGGTGCCATGTCATAGATTCAGTGATGCTCTCCCTCGTCTGCTTCTGTCTCCTTACCTGACATAATTAGCTGTGCCCTCCTCTGCCCTCTGACAGCACATAGAATCACAGCAGGTTTTGTGTTAGTCTCTTTCCCATACCAGCTCTTAGAATCTCTAAAATTGGAATGATGCCTATTATTTCTATCACTTATTCCCCAGATCTAGGCACAGTGCATTGCAATCAAGTGGATATTTGAAAAAACTTTTTGTACTAAATCGAGTGAGCTGCATTGATTTGAGTATTTCTGTAGCTATTGTGGCTAGCTTAAGCATTATATAGTTTCCCCTACTCAAACCTTTATTTTATTCTATTCATTAATTTTATCAAAGGCATCTGAAGCACTGACTATTCAGTGCTAATCTAGACCAAGAGTCAACAATTTTTTTTTCCATAAAGGGCCAGGTGGTATATATATTAGATTTTGCAGACCATGAGGTCTTTGTCACAGCTACTCAATTCTTCTGGTGTAAAGTGAAACTGGCCACAGACAGTACAGAAATCAATTGGCATTGAATAAAACTTTATTTATAAAAGCAGATGCTGGGCCATATTTAACCCATGGACAATGTTTGGCTGGTCCTTGGTCTAGACAGACACAGGCTGACATTCTTATATTCTAGTCCAGGGAAGAAAAAAAAAATAAACCAGGAAAGAGTTAAATAAAGGCAGTTATCTCACATGTGCCCTAAGTAAGAAAAAAAACAGTCATGTGATGATTGGTAGAGGGAGATTATAGGGCTACTTTATTTGGACTGTGAAGTTGACATGGCCTCTCTAGGGGAGATAACATGTGAAAGAAGCCCAAAGCAGCCTTGTGGGATCCAGGGGGAAGAAAATTGCAGAGAAAATTATAGAATTACAGTAGAGTGTCAAATACTAGGGTCCTGAGACAGGAGTGAGCACAGCATGCTGAGGAACAGAAAGAGGGCAAGAATCTCGTGGTGAGATGGAAGATTTCCTGCAAAGTTTGGAGTTTGCCCTGATGGTCTGACTGACTTCCCTTGACTTAGCTTTATTGCTTTGTTCCTGGCCAGGTCCCCATGGGCTCTCTCCTGTAGTGCCAGTCTCTCCTGAGCATTTCCATCCTTCAGATGTCTATGAGTGGTTATTACACCTCCCTTTGGGCATTGCTTATCCAAGGTAAACAGACTTAATATGTTTAATCCCTCCCTGATGTTTCAGAGCCTCCAGCTTATGAGGCTCCAGCTTATCCTCCATCTATGGAGACTTTAGGGGATTTCTTTTCTCAACACCGTCAGGGTCTGAAAAGAAATTTCTGAAAAGAAATAGCCTCTTTGCTGGAATTGGCTTTCTCCAGCCCTTCTTTCACTTGTTTTCTTTCTGAATGCAAGTCTCAAAGCTCACATGCCAGCTAATCTCTCATTTTCTTTTCCTGTAAGATTGTAGGAACTGAAGTATTAAATGTTGCCTGATCTGAACAGTGATCATGCGTCTATCACCATCTTTATCTCCTGAGATCCTTATTGTGCCAATCAAATGGTTGAAAAAAATTTTTTTTTTTTGAAACAGAGACTTGCTCTGTCACCCAGGCTCTGGAGTACAGTAGCATGATCATAGCTCACTGCAGCCTCAAACTCCTGGGCGCAAACCAAGCTAGGACTACAGGCTCACACCTCCATGACTGGCTAATTATTTTAGTTGTTGTTGTTTTTTTTTTAATTTTATTTTGTAGAGACAGGGCCTTATTTTGTTGCCCAGGCTGATCTCAAAATTCTGACCTCAAGTGTTCCCCCTGCCTCAGCCTCCCAAAGTGCAGGGATTTCAGGCATGAGCCATCACACCAGGCCCCTAAGGGTTGGAATTTGTTGTAGTTTCCTTTGTTCTTTATCCTTTGAGTTCCTGGTTGCTAATAGCATAATGCTCCCTGAAGAGACTGTGGCTGAACATTGCCTCCTCCATCCAGTGGCTCCACGGTGATGAGCACATGGCCTCTCAGTTATGACTCTTTGATGGAAAGTCATGTCTCTACTGGCCTTTTGCTCAACCGGCTTTCTGGAGACTTTCTGGAGAGAGCTCAGCCTGGTGAAATGAAGCCAGGATTTAGATCCAGAAAAATTGGACTCAAATTCTGATGCTTCCTAGCAACTCTGTAATTTTGGTCAAGCATGGAAACACAACAGTAACACCCACTTCTCGGGATTGTGTAGACACTAATAAAGATGGCACATGTGAAAGTGAGTTCATTTGTGTATTCATTCAAGAAATATTTATCAAGTTTCTATTACATACCAGGCCCTGTATAGGGATCCAGAGATCCAGCAGTATCATAGATTATTAGTGAACAACATAGACCAAGCCACTGGCAGAAAGAATGATAAAATCCTTCATTAAGAAATGAATACACATTCTGCTAGTACAGGAATTAGCTAATCAGTCCTATGAAAAACATATATATATATATGTTATAAAAACAACTGACAGGTAGTTGGTTATAGGTGAAAAAATAGCTGATTAAAAGTCAGGCCAGGCCAGGCACAGTGGCTCACGCCTATAATCCCAATGTTTTGGGAGGCCCAGGAGGGAGGATTTCTTGAGATCATGACTTCAAGACCAGCCTGGGCAACATAGCGAGACCCTGTCTCTACAAAAATTTTTTTAAAAATTAGCTGTGCATGGTGATGTGCACCTATAGTCTCAGCTACTTGAGAGGTTAAGGCAGGAAGACTGCTTGAGCCCAGGAGATTGAAGCTGCAGTGAGCTATGATTGTGCCACTAAACTCCAGTCTGGGTGACAGAGCGAGACCCTGTCTCTTAAAATAATAATAATAATAATAATAATAATAATAATAACAATAATAATAAAATAAACTTAGCCCAGCCAAGGTTCAAACCTTAGCTTTGCCAGTTCCCAGCTTTACCAACATGGACACATCAACTCATCTCTCTGACCCTCCATATTGTCATCTGTAAAATGCAGTAATGGGATGTACTGTCATGAGCATTGAATGCAATTTATCTAGGGCAGTCCTGGAATGCCATCTCCCCAGTTCATCCTAATTCCGAATTTTCTCAATTCACTCATGTCCCTTGCTCAAATGACACCTCTCCATTGCTCTATTTATGATCACTCGCCCTCTAGCCCTCTTGTTCTTTTTTATTTTATAGTCCTTATAAATATAAATATGAGAATATGTCACACATTTATTTGTTATCTATTGTCTGACTCGCTCAGTAGAGTGTCAGCACTATGAAGGTGAAGATTTTTGTTTCTTTTTCTTTTTCTTTTCTTTTTTTTTCTTTTTTTTGAGACAGAGTCTTGCTCTGTCGCCCAGGCTGTAGTGCAGTGGCACGATCTCGGCTCACTGCAAGCTCCGCCTCCCAAGTTCATGCCATTCTCCTGCCTCAGCCTCCCGAGTAGCTGGGACTACAGTCGCCTGCCACCATGCCCAGCTAATTTTTTGTATTTTTAGTAGAGGCGGGGTTTCGCCGTATTAGCCAGGATGGTCTTGATCTCCCGACCTCGTGATCCGCCTGCCTCGGCCTCCCAAAGTGCTGGGATTACAGGCATGAGCCACCATGCCCAGCCTAGATTTTGTTTGTTTTTCAAGCACCTAGAACAATGCCTATCACTTAATAGGTGCACAAGAAATATTTGATGAATAAATGAAATGCACAAAGCCTTTTGACCCTTAATAAATATCAATCTCTTCCTTCATTCACTTCTGTCCTCATTGATTAGTCTCTGAATGTGTCTTCCATAACTGCACCCCTCAGTCTTTTCTCTGTATTTTCTGACAACCTGATCTTGATTTTGTTGCATCTGCTCTGAAATGCATCTGCATTTATGAGCCCAGATGCAGAGGAGGCACTACCTGGGCTGTTGCCTTCTTTCTCTTCTCCTCCACTTCTCTGCTATCACTAAGTGAAAAATTTCTTCCTCCAGACCACCTCGTTGTTCAGGGATATTTTTTTCCAAGGCTTTCATGCAGAACATGCTGATTAATTGTTCTTCAAACATGTTTGGGGTTCCAGGTTCCACCTCTGTTTGTTATTGTGACATCTGGAAGAGGAATGGTAATTAAGAGCTTGCTAGCATTTCATTTCCCTGATGGGACTTAGATTTATGTAATTTGACCATTAAAGTAGGTGGCAGACACATCACTGGCCATGCAGAGTGGACACTTCCAAGGGGCTCAGATGTATTTACTTAACAGTGAATAGGATTTCAATCATCTGGACTTGGTTAGAGCAAGCCCCAAGCTGTGCTGGAAAGTAAATAATGAACCACCTGCTCACGAGAGGCCTTTTTCTTCCCATTAAGGGACAAGCTGGCATTGGGATTGGGATTCACCCAAGCCAAGGCCTCCTAATGGAACCTAATGGAACCAAGGAACACCTGGCATTCCGTTGACCTATCTCAACATCCCTGCCTCCCTCACTCCCTCAGCGTCCAAGCCATCAGCAGGTCCTCTGATTGAAACCCTTAAAGAGCTCTGAAATCTTTCCATTTCTCACTATCTCCACCACTATAGGCTAAGCTGATGACATCTCTTGCTTGGATTATTGCAATAAGGCTGAGTATCCCTTATCTGATATGCTTGTGACCAGAAGTGTTTTGGATTTGGAATTTTTAAAAAATATTTGCATTATACTTACTGGCTAAAACTTCCTAATCAAAAAATTCAAAATCCAAATGTTCCAATCAACTTTCCCTTTGAGCACCAGGTTGGTGCCCAAAAAGTTTTGGATTTTGGAGCATTTTATATTTTAGAATTTTGGATTAAGGATGCTCAATCTTTAGCTTTGTTTCCTGACATTTCCACTCCAAATTATTTCGCTTTGCCCTGCCTCCACTCAATGCATTCTTCCCACAGTAGCTAGAGTGATGATTTAAAAACAAAATAGTTTTGATTATACCCATCACATCCCCAATTGCTTAAAAGCTTGCAATGATTTTCTAGTTCTTTCCAGAAAAAGATAATGTTCCCTAATGAGTGTGGCTTCTTCTGAGGTCCTGAGAGCCTCAATTCCTGCCTCCACATTCTTGTCTTTTTTCCTGCCACACTAGCCATTCACCCCTGCCCGGCATGCTATGGCTGCATAATCTGTTTGTGTATTGTATTCTCGTCCAGAACACGTGTTCCTCTTCCTCTAGGTAATGCATTCATCATTCAGATCTCAGTTCAACTTAAACTGTTCTTTGTGGAAGTCTTCCCAGTCCTCCCAGGGATTGTGGTGATAGTTTTATGTGATGATGTTTTGTTGGTTGTTGCTGTTGATGAGCTGTAATAATGTATGTTTAATTGTGGTGGTTAATTATTGTGTTGATTGC
The DNA here is from genome assembly GCF_000001405.40 of Homo sapiens. Classification (NCBI taxonomy): domain Eukaryota; kingdom Metazoa; phylum Chordata; class Mammalia; order Primates; family Hominidae; genus Homo; species Homo sapiens. Next base: position 26,088,395 of record NC_000016.10, read on the forward strand.
TTGAATTGGTTGTTTGGCTGCTGTGGTTTTTTGTGTTTGGTTGGTTGTAACAGTGGCTTGGTTGGTTTGTTGTGGTAATGTATAGTTGGTTGAGGCGAATGGTTGGTTATTTGATTGTGATAGTGGCTGGTAGTTTGTGATGATTGATTGCAGACTGAATGAGAGGCTGATAAGTTCACACAGCTCTAATTTCAGTCACAAATCCCCCAAACATACCCATTTCAGTTATGCTCAATGACTGGATAAGGTAGGAGATTGCAGCTTGTCCTGTTGTACATGTGAGAAGCTGTTCATTGCAAACCAACATCTGTGACTTTGAGCTTCAACTCTTATGTTAAGACACAGCTTGTCTTATCTGCCCTTGGATCTTACCAAGTATGCTGCATCTCCTCCAGTTAGCGATCATGAGGTCCTCCTGTGTTCTCTCAGTGTCAGATGCTTTGGATAAAGACTGCCTTTCTATTTGGAATCTTTACAGGATTCTCAACATTAATTTTTTCATGGGTCATGTAGACTATATTTTAAGTCAGATCATCCAAAATATACCTCTCAAATTCTGCAAAATCCATCCAGCCATTTTAATTGTCTCTGTATAAAAGTCTTCCCAGAGGACATATGTCTAGCTTGTTGCCTGCCTGTAGAGTTGCTCCAGGGTTCCCACAAGGGTTAGTGGGGTGTGTGTGCACACGCACACATGCAAGTGTATGCCTAACAGCAATTTCTCTGATCAAGTGTCACGTGGTAGTCCTGGTCCCACTGTGCTCCTAGAAGACTTGTTGCCAGAACCCCTCAGCACCTCACAAAGAAGGTGCACATAAGGAGACAATCTAGGACCCCTAGAAGGCAAAACAGGACCATCTGCATCTTCTCCAGATTGTGAAGGTTGACTTCTTCATGCTGGGAGGTGGAAGGGCAGTTCTCAGTCTGTGGCAGCTGAGAGCAGAGCAGGTTATGACCCTGACAGTACTGATAAAGCATGTATCCAGCTTGATTTTTGCAGTCCATTGTCAGAACTGGTGGAGAAGGAGGGTTGGAAACAGGAGCCGTAGAGATTAGGGTGGGGCGTAAAATCAGACAACAGGACAAGTGTCACTGCAGAGCAGGTCTGAAGAGCAGATAGAAGGACAAGGACACTTGAAGGAAAGAAGAAGGGAGCTTCATGTGTGCTGAGAGCTTTCTTCATGCCAGGATTTGCTCTGTTAGCATTCGCACACTTGGTCTTATTTAATCCCACAGGCAGAGTGCTTCAGGAAAAGCCAGAGTTTTGTTTAGACCCTGGACCTACCATTAGGAAGCTTTGTCACTTAAGGCCCGTTGTTTTGCTTCTGTTCGCTTTCATTTTACATCCAAAAATTGGAACAATGATGCTAAGAGATAATATAGCACACATGGGCTCGTGGCCAGTGAATTGTGAGTTTGAGTCCTGGCTTGCCAACCTTTGGTCTCTGCAACTTTGGGTAAATCACTTAACCTCTCTGTGCTTGAATCTTCTGTAGACAAAAAGCATGACCCACCTGGTATGGCCTTGTGAACTGCATGAGAAAGTGCATAGAAAACAGTTGACCTGACACCAGGCTCATAGTAAACAATATATTTTCACTCTTTTAATTATTTATATAAATTTTTACTTTATAATTTTCTTAATAGGGCTTACATGAAATAATCTATGTAAAGTATCAGACACATTACAGGTACTTAATAAATGTCACTTCCTCCATTTCTGTCCCCTAATTTTCACAACTATATTGTAGATAATTTTACAAAAAAATGAAAGTGGATTCAGATTAGTTGAGAAACTTTCCCAAGATTACACAACTGAAACCAGCAGGACTGGAATGAAACCCACTCCATCTGCCTGCAGTCCCAGTGTTCTCCTTGAGATTAAGAGTTGGCAGATCACGTGAAATCTCTCTGCATTGGGATGTTTATGATCCTTTCGTCTGTCTGCCAGAAGTCACTAATCATTGAGCTGTTGTCCACGTTGGCCCAGATTACCCAAGGTACATGGCTGACAGACGTTGAGGATGATTCTATAGAAAGCATCCAGGGTCCTTCCTAGAGGATCATCCATTCTTTTTATTCCTGCAGAGGGGCATGAAAAGGGTGCACAAAATTTCCCATGGGAGTGGGCTCTTCCTTAAGAACTGATGAGACCCAAAGAGCAGAGCCCATAAAAGCAACTAGATTCAAAAAGGTGACCTGCAAATCCTCCACTGCCACACAGCAGCCCTCCCCTTGGAGACCCTCGGGGCCCATGTAGAAGATTTGTGCCACCATCCAAAGGGCATGCGATCATAGATAGTCATAAGAGATTTTAATTTAGAGTTGCGGAGCCTCCAAGCCACAACAAAGAAAATTGGTAAAACTGAGTTATGGAAAGAGATGGCACGATGCCAGAGAGAGCTGGATAATTCTCCACCACCCTGGCCCCACCCCTCACCAGGCCCTGAAAGCACATGGAGAGACTTGCAAGAAGCCCATAGTGGGAGAATGAGGTGCATGCCTGACTCCTTGGTCACAGGATGGAGTCTCAGTTAACAAGGCTAGGTTATGAAGTGAGCACATGAGGCTAACCTGGTGTATAGGGTCAATATTACCCTGGATAATTCCTTAAATAGCCCATAAAATAAAATCTGTGCTGTTTTATTTATATAACCCTGTTAAGTTTTTGTTAGGCACACTCAAGTTTGAGAACCACTAAGGTAGACCAAAGAAAGAAGCTAGCAGCAATGTCAATATGCAGATATCTGCACATTTAAACCAGTCTTCCTTCAAGATAATGAACCGATCCCTAATAAAGAAGAGGAATGGATGGGGAATTATGAGATGTTTTTCCTTGCCTGTAATGTTTACCATGATGTATGATAATATTAAGGCTCTATAACTTTAATGCATGTGATCAGGTGTGTTGTTGGATAGATTAATCAATAGATATAGTGAAAACATGTAGCATAAGATGTGGCACATAATAGATACTCAATGAATGCCTATTGAGTATAAATCGTGCCCAATCAGATCCACATACACACTGATTTTTTAATGTAGCAGAGAAGAGCTTGGCCATCTGCTTCTTGCCGTTCCAAGGTGTTATTTGCTCCTGTGGCCCAATTTTCACGTCCTTGGGCATTGATTTCATGATACTCTAGATATACCATGGGGTCTAGCTTTCCTTCTACCTCACCAGCTGGGGACTTCTGGGCAAAGGGTAAACTGAAGTAAAGTGCAACCAAGCCATATATATAGATATCATATCCTGGAGAGATGCCAAAGTGAAGTTAGCAATGGAACATTCAAGTCACCATTCATCCTGCAATGTCATGCATACTTAGGGAGGAAGAGAAGAAGTTGGCATCTGTTAAGTTCCCATGATGTGCCAAGAATTTTACTCATAGGGAATTCAAAACACAGACTCCAAATATACATGGGATGCAGAATCCAACATTTCAAGAATTCTCTTTTTCAAGAAATATTTATTGAGCGCCTGCTCTGTACTGAGGTCTGCTATTAGTGTGGGGGCACAGCTGTGAACAATGATATGAAAACCCCTTCCCTCCTGGGGCTTGACTTCTGCAGGAGGATCACAATATGGAGTGACAGCAAGGCAGGTGGTGGGAAATTTGGGGTGAAATTTGGAAATGCCGAGCTGAGCCCATGGTGACAATTTACATTCTCCTGGCCCCACGGTGGGAGGCAACCTGGATCCTCTCAAAGGGGACAGAATGGGGTGCTCACAGGACATAACATCTTGGGACCTCTAGAACTCTCCTCCTGAGGCACTGTTCAAGGTTCTGTCTTTGGCTCATCCCTAACCCAGCCCACGTCTACACTTCTCTGGGCAGAAAAAAACGTGGCAAAGAATTGGCCAAAATAGCCTTCTCCACAGGACAATCCTAGCTCTGTTTGGCTTACAGAGGAGGATTATATGAACTTGACCAAAGAGAAACATGAGGATGTCACTAAGATACCTGCCCCAGGCAAGCAACATGGTTCCCACTGCTCCATGTCCAGTCCCCACTGCCCAAAGGTGTATACCTGATGATTCATCAGATCTGGCAGGTGAGAGGCTCTGGCTCTGGCTCCAGATCCTACAAGGTGGGAACATTGTCTTATGTACCTCTGGATCTTTAAGATATGACATGAGACTTGGTACACCATAGGTGCTTAGTATATGTTTATTGAATGCATGAGCAAGTGGTTGAATGATCAAGACAGACATAAGGAGATCCGTTCCAAGATGGCTGAATAGGAACAGCTCCGGTCTGCAGCTCCCAGTGTGATTGATGCAGAAGATGGGTGATTTCTGCATTTCCAACTGAGGCACCTGGTTCATCTCATTGGGATGGTTGGACAGTAGGTGCAGCCCACGGAGGGTGAGCTGAAGCAGGGCGGGGCATTGCCTCACCCGGGAAGTGCAAGGGGTCGGGGAATTTCCCTTTCCTAGCCAGGGAAGCCATGACAGACTGTACCTGGAAAAACGGGACACTCCCACTCAAATACTGCACTTTTCCCAAGGTCTTAGCAACTGGCAGACAAGGAGATTCTCTCCCGTGCCTGACTCGGTGGGTCCTTCGCCCACAGAGCCTTGCTCACTGCTAGCACAGCAGTCTGAGATCAAACTGTGAGGCGGCAGCCTGGCCGGGAGAGGGGTGTCCATCATTGCTGAGGCTTGAGTAGGTAAACAAAGTGGCCGGGAAGCTTGAACAGGGAGGAGCCCACCACAGCTCAGCAAGGCCTACTGCCTCTGGACTACACCTCTGTGGGCAGGGCTTAGCTGAACAAAAGGCAGCAGACAACTTCTGCAGATTTAAGTGTCCCTGTCTGACAGCTCTGAAGAGAGCAGTGGTTCTCCCAACATGGCGTTTGAGCACTGAGAACGGACAGACTGCCTCCTCAAGTGGGTCCCTGACCCCTGTGTAGCCTAACTGGGAGACATCTCCCAGTAGGGGCTGACAGACACCTCATACAGGCGGGTGCTCCTCTGGGACAAAGCTTCCAGAGGAAGGATGAGGCAGCAATATTTGCTGTTCTGCAATATTTGCTGTTCTGCAGCCTCTGCTGATGATACCCAGGCAAACAGGTCTGGAGTGGACCTCCAGCAAACCCCAACAGACCTGCAGCTGAGGAACCTGACTGTTAGAAGGAAAACTAACAAACAGAAAGGAATAGCATCAACATCAACAAAAAGGACATCAACACCAAAACCCCATCTGTAGGTCACCATCGTCAAAGACCAAAGGTAGATAAAACCACAAAGATTGGGAGAAACCACAGCAGAAAAGCTGAAAATTCTAAAAATCGAGCACCTCTTCTCCTCCAAAGGATCGCAGCTCCTTGCCAGCAACGGAACAAAGCTGGACGGGGAATGACTTTGACGAGTTGACAGAAGTAGGCTTCAGAAGGTTGGTAATAACAAACTTGTCCAAGCTAAAGGAGCTTGTTCAAACCCATCGCAAGGAAGCTAAAAACCTTGAAAAAAGGTTAGATGAATGGCTAACTAGAATAAACAGTGTAGAGAAGATCTTAAATGACCTGATGGAGCTGAAAACCATGGCGCAAGAACTTCGTGATGCATGCACAAGCTTCAATAGCTGACTTGATCAAGTGGAAGAAAGGGTATCAGTGACTGAAGATCAAATTAATGAAATAAAGTGAGAGGACAAGGTTAGAGAGAAAAGAGTAAAAAGAAATGAACAAAGCCTCCAAGAAATATGGGACTGTGTGAAAAGACCAAATCTACGTTTGATTGGTGTACCTGAAAGTGATGGGGAGAATGGAAACAAGTTGGAAAACACTCTTCAGGATATTATCCAGGAGAACTTGCCTAACCTAGCAAGGCAGGCCAACATTCAAATTCAGGAAATGCAGAGAACACCACAAAGATACTCCTCGAGAAGAGCAACCCCAAGACACATAATTGTCAGATTCACCAAGGTTGAAATGAAGGAAAAAATGTTAAGGGCAGCAAGAGAGAAAGGTCGAGTTACCCACAAAGGGAAGCCCATCAGACTAACAGTGGATCTCTTGGCAGAAACCCTACAAGCCAGAAGAGAGTGGGGGCCAATATTCAACATTCATAAAGGAAAGAATTTTCAACCCAGAATTTCATATCCAACCAAACTAAGCTTCATAAGTGAAGGAGAAATAGAATCCTTTACAGACAAGCAAATACTGAGAGATTTTGTCACCACCAGGCCTGCTTTACAAGAGCTCCTGAAGGAAGCACTGAACATGGAAAGAAACAATCAGTACCAGCCACTGCAAAAACATGCTAAATTGTAAAGACCATTGATGCTCTGAAGAAACTGCCTAAATTAATGGGCAAAATAACTAGCTAACATCATAATGACAGGATCAAATTCACACATAACAATATTAACCTTAAATGTAAATGGGCTAAATGCCCCAATTAAAAGACACAAACTAGCAAATTGGATAAAGAGTCAAGACCCATCAGTGTGCTGTATTCAGGAGACACATCTCATGTGCAAAGATGCACATAGGCTCAAAATAAAGGGATGGAGGAAGATCTACCAAGCAAATGGAAAGCAAAAAAAAGCAGGGGTTGCAATCCTAGTCTCTGATAAAACAGACTTTAAACCAAAAAAGATCAAAAGAGACAAAGAAGGCCATTACATAATGGTAAAGTGATCAATTCAACAAGAAGAGCTAAGTATCCTAAATATATTATGCTCCCAATACAGGAGTGCCCAGATTCATAAAACAAGTTTTTAGAGACCTACAAAGATACTTAGACTCCCACACAATAATAATGGGAGACTTTAACACCCCACTGTCAATATTAGACAGATCAATGAGACAGAAGGTTAACAGGAATATCCAGGACTTGAACTTAGCTCTGGACCAAGTGGACCTAATAGACATCTACAGAACTCTCCACCCCAAATCAACAGAATATACAGTCTTCTCAGCACCAAATCACACTTATTCTAAAATTGAGCACATAATTGGAAGTAAAACACTCCTCAGCAAATGTAAAAGAACAGAAATCACAACAAACTGTCTCTCAGACCACAGTGCCATCAAGTTAGAACTCAGGATTAAGAAACTCACTCAAAATCGCACAACTACATGGAAACTGAACAACTTGCTCCTGAATGACTACTGGGTAAATAATGCAATGAAGGTGGAAATAAAGATGTTCTTTGAAACCAGTGAGAACAAAGACACAAAGTACCAGAATCTCTGGGACACATTTAAAGCAGTATGTAGAGGGAAATTTATAGCACTAAATGCCCACAAGAGAAAGCAGGAAAGATCTAAAATTGACACTCTAACATCACAATTAAAAGAACTAGAGAAGCAAGAGCAAACAAATTCAAAAGCTAGCAGAAGGCAAGAAATAACTAAGATCAGAGCAGAACTGAAAGAGATAGACACACAAAAAATCCTTCAAAAAATCAGTGAATCCAGGAGCTGGTTTTTTGAAAAGATCAACAAAATTGATAGACCACTAGCAAGATTAATGAAGAAGAAAAGAGAGAAGAATCAAATAGATGCAACAAAAAATGATAAAGGGGATATCACCACCAATCCCACAGAAATACAAACTGCCATCAGAGAATACTATAAACGCCTCTATGCAAATAAATTAGAAAATCTAGAAGAAATGGATAAATTCCTATACACATACACCCTCCCAAGACTAAACCAGGAAGAAGTTGAATCTCTGAAATTGAGGCAATAATTAATAGCTTACCAACCAAAAAAGTCCAGGACCAGACAGATTCACAGCCGAATACTACCAGAGGTACAAAGAGGAGCTGGTACCATTCCTTCTGAAACTATTCCAATCAATAGAAAAAGAGGGAATCCTTCCTAACACATTTTATGAGGCCAACATCATCCTGATACCAAATCCTGGCAGAGACACAACAAAAAAAGAGAATTGTAGACCAATATCCCTGATAAATATCAATGCAAAAATCCTCAATAAAATACTGGCAAACCGAATCCAGCAGCACATCAAAAAGCTTACCCACCACGATCAGGTTGGGTTTATCCCTGGGATGCAAGGCTGGTTCAACATATGCGAATCAATAAACATAATCCATCACATAAAGAGAACCAATGACAAAAACCACATGATTATCTCAATAGATGCAGAAAAGGCCTTCAACACAATTCCACAGCACCTTTATGCTAAAAACTCTCAATAAACTAGATATTGATAGAACGTATCTCAAAATAATAAGAACTACTTATGACAATCCCACAGCCATTATCATACAGAATGGGCAAAAACTAGAAGCATTCCCTTTGAAAACCGGCACAAGACAAGGATGCCCTCTCTCACCACTCCTATTCAACATAGTGTTGGAAGTTCTGGCCAGGGCAATCAGGCAAGAGAAATAAATAAAGGAAAAGAGGAAGTCAGATTGTCCCTGTTTGCAGATGACATGATTGTATATTTAGAAAACCCCATCGTCTCAGCCCAAAATCTCCTTAAGCTGATAAGCAACTTCAGCAAAGTCTCAGGATACAAAATCAATGTGCAAAAATCACAAGCATTTCTATGCATGAATTACAGACAAACAGAGAGCCAAATCATGAGTGAACTCTCATTCACAATTGCTACAAAGAGAATAAAATACCTAGGAATCCAACTTACAAGGGATGTGAAGGACCTCTTCAAGGAGAACTACATACCACTGCTCAACAAAATAAAAGAGGACACAAACAAATGGAAGAACATTCCATGCTCATGGATAGGAAGAATCAATACCATGAAAATGACCATACTGCCCAAGGTAATTTATAGATTCAGTGCCATCCCCATCAAGCTACCAATGACTTTATTCACAGAATTGGAAAAAACTACTTTAAAGTTCATATGGAACCAAAAAGAGCCTGCATTGTGAAGGCAATCCTAAGCAAAAAGAGCAAAGCTGGAGGCATCACACTACCTGACTTCAAACTATACTACAAGGCTACAGTAACCAAAACAGCATGGTACTGGTACCAAAACAGATATATAGACCAATGGAACAGAACAGAAGCCTCAGAAATAACACCACACATCTACAACTATCTGATCTTTGACAAACCTGACAAAAACAAGAAATAGGAAAAGGATTCCCTATTTAATAAATAGTGCTGGGAAAACTGGCTAGCCATATGTAGAAAGCTGAAACTGGATCCCTTCCTTACACCTTATACAAAAATTAATTCAAGATGGATTAAAGACTTAAATGTTAGACCCAAAACTGTAGAAACCCTAGAAGCAAGCCTAGGCAATACCATTCAGGACATAGACATGGGCAAGGACTTCATGACTAAAACACCAAAAGCAATGGCAACAAAAGCCAAAATAGACAAATGGGATCTAATTAAACTAAAGAGCTTCTGCATGGCAAAATAAACTACCATCAGAGTGAACAGGCAACCTACAGAATGGGAGAAAATGTTTGCAATCTACCCATCTGACAAAGGCCTAATATCCAGAATCTACAAAGAACTCAAACAAATTTACAAGAAAAAAACAAGCAACCCCATCAAAAGGTAGGCAAAGGTTATGAACAGACACTTCTCAAAAGAACACATCTATGCAGCCAACAGACACATGAAAAAATGCTCATCATCACTGGTCATCAGAGAAATGCAAATCAAAACCACAATGAGATACCATCTCACGCCAGTTAGAATGGCGATCATTAAAAAGTCAGGAAACAACAGATGCCAGAGAGGATGTGGAGAAATAGGAATGCTTTTACACTGTTGGTGGGAGTGTAAATTAGTTCAACCATTGTGAAAGACAGCATGGTGATCCCTCAAGGATCTAGAACTAGAAATACCATTTGACCCAGCAATCCCATTACTCGGTATATACCCAAAGGATTATAAATCATGCTACTATAACGACATATGCACCCATATGTTTATTTTGCCACTATTCACAATAGCAAAGACTTGGAACCAAGCCAAATGTCCATCAGTGATAGACTGGATAAAGAAAATGTGGCACATATGCACCATGGAATACTATGCAGCCGTAAAAAAGGGTGAGTTCATGTCCTTTGCAGGGACAGGGATGAAGCTGGAAACCATCATTCTCAGCAAACTATCACAAGGACAGAAAACTGAACACTGCATGTTCTCACTCATGGGTGGGAACTGAACAATGAGATCACTTGGACACAGGGCAGGGAACATCACACACCAGGGCCTGTCAGGGGGTGGCAGGCTGGGGGAGGGATGGCATTATGAAAAATACCTAATGTAAATGACGAGTTGATGGGTGCAACAAACCAACATGGCACATGTTTACCTATGTATCAAACCTGCATGTTGTGCACATGTACCCCAGAACTTAAAGTATAATAAAAAAAAAAGACAGACTTAAGGAAGCTTGGATGTGTGGATGATGGATGGATGGATGGATATGCTGTGCAGGGGGGTAGATGTATGGTATGATTGATGGATAGAGGAAAGAAGGGAGGGTGTTGGTATACCTAACTATTGAGAATGAGCCACATGAGCTAATCCTGTCCAAGGCAACCTGCGGATACGGTTCAGGCAAAAGGGTGATATAGAGGTCCAAGAACAAAGGGCACTAAACGACAGGTGTGGTGGGAGGAATATGCCAAAATCAGCCTCTGGGAAACCCTGCTGATGACTACAGAACCCCAGACTCACATCCACCCTATTAGGTAGGCAATATCATTATGCTTATTTCAGAGATCAGAAAACAGAGGCTCACAGTAGTTAAATAATTTTCCCCAAGTCAAACATCTGGTATATGTCAGAGCTAATTTTTTTTAGAGACAGGGTCTTGCTCTGCTGCCCAGGTTGCAGTGCAATGGTGCAGTCACAGTTTACTGCAGCCTCAACGTCCTGGGCTCAAGTGATCCTCCTGCTTCAGCCCCCTGAATGGCTGAGACTACAGGTGGATGTCACCATACTGGACTAATTTTCAAAAATTTTTGTGGAGTTGGAGCCTCGCTATATGGCCCAGACTGGTCTCAAACTCCTATCCTTAAGCAATCTTCATGCCTCCACCTCAAAAAGTGCTGGGTTTACAGGCGTGAGCCACCATACCTGGCCAGAGCTGAAATTTGAACCCAGAGTCAGATTTCACTCTTATACTTAAAAGTTTAGATTAAGAACCAATCTTGGATAAAGTAAACATTGCTCTCACAGTCAATACAGAAATTTTAAAACGAAAGGAACTCCATCAGGCACTGAATACCTGTCATCATCAGACTTCATGAGAAATTTGTTCACATTCATTTATTTGTCCATTTAACAAATATGTACTGAGGGCCAAATATGTCCCAGGTACTAGGAATAGAGCAGTGAGCAGGGCAGATAAAAATCTCTATCCTTATGGAGCTTACATTCTAGTAGGCGTGGCAGACAATATATAAGTAAACACACAGACATACACATGCACACACACACGCACACACGCATGCCCACACCTGCACATATCAGTGGTGATAAGTATTAGGGAGAAAGGCTAGAGAAAATCAAGGATTTTAGATTAAGGATTTTAGAGGTTATCCTGTTTGAGTAAAGAGGAGAAGGGGCTTCCTGAGAGGGAGAAAGGGCAGAAACTTCAAGGGGCTGTGTGGCTATCTGGAGGAAGGGTCTTCTCATCTCTTACTTATCTAATTCTCACAACAGTGGAGCCTGGAAAGCATTATTAATTCCAGTGTTAGGTATGAAAAGCTGTGAATGTGATGGACATACAGACGGGAAGAACTGACAGTAGGGACTCGAAAAGGAGGGAGGGAAGGAGCAGGACCAAGGCTGAAAAACAACCTATCGAGGGTACTATGCTCACTATCTGGGTGATGAGATCAATAGAAACCCAAACTTTTGCATCACACAATATTCTCCTATAACAAACCTGCACATCTACCTCCTGGATCTAAAATAAAAATGGAAATTACACAAAATAAAGGAAAGCTTGCTATTACGAAGAAAAAGAAAGAAAATTTGTGAATACGAAATGTTGGGTGCTTCCTTCAGGGTCACAGAGCAGCAGCAAATTTGGGTCAAGTCTGCACATCCTCAACTGCAAATGCTATTTGGGGCCCTCTCAGACCCTCAAAATTTGTGCTCATGAGCAGGTATCCTCTCAGTTCCCTGAAGCTTCTAATGATGACTGACTTAGTTGCCCTAGTTTTTGAGGACTGCAGACCTCATTGTGGTGTGTTTGAGTCACTCATTTATACCTGGACACCTGCTCTGAATCCATGGGGCAACTCTCTGATAATGAGGAAACTTTTCCCCTCTGATTTATGAAAATTAGCACCATTGCATTATTTTTCATGCCTCACAAATCTCCCCCAACCAAACCCGAGTCATTAATATGAATCTAAAAGAAATTTACTTGAACTACCACCTGGCATCATAAAGAGCTTTTGCTCCTCCCATAACTCCATTACTGTTTTCATCATGATTATATTATCTTCTGTGATCCTCTTGATAGTCCTATGAGATAGTCAAGGAAGCTATTATTATCTCCATTTTGCAGATGGGGCGATGGCAGCTCTCTAACTAAGCCAGGGCTCAAAGGCAGGAGATGAAAGGAGCTAGGAGATGAGGCCCAGCAGTCTTCCCCAGCTCAGAAAAGGACATTACCATCTGCCCCGTTACTAAAGCCCAGAGCCTGGGAATCTCCTCACTGCTAATATTCAGTCTGTCAACAGAAACCGTTTACTCCAGTTGGTGTCTCCAACCTTCTTGCTCCTCTTCACTTTTCTGCAGAACCTCTGGTCCAAGTTACCATCATTTCTCCCTTCAGCAGGCTTCTGGCTTCTGCTCTCAACCCTACTCCTTTGCCCTCCATCTCCAATCCATTTCACCCAGAGGAGCTGCTCCTTATACCTGGAATGCTATTGCCTCTGGCTTTTCTTGGGGTTAGCTTGCTCTTCCTGCAGAATGCAGCCGGGAAGTTCCTGACCATCCTCGTCTCTGTCATCTCCATGTCTACTCCCTTGCTAAAGGCTAGAGCTTCCCAGTCCTCTTTCTGTAACATGTTTCCATGTGTTCCTGGTCTATACCACCACATTCCTGCCACCACTGGAGTGTAGCTCCATGAAGGCAGAGAACTTGTCCATCATCCCAGTGTCCGGGATGTGGAATGTGCTCAGTAAACACTTGGGGAATAAATGAACTTAAACAAATGGGTGAAAAGAAACATTAAGTTGGTTATGTGTATTAACAATCAGAATTTCCCTCTTCTTCTTTTCCATAGGATTCCTGATACATTTGGCACTTATATGCATAGTATCTGGGTATAAAAGTTCCTTAATCAGTGGTTAATGAAAGAATGGATGAATGAATAGATGGATGGATGAACTTTTTCCATCCATCTGGAATAGATGATGGTTGAATGAATAGATGGATGGATGAATCACTTTTTGATTCTACATATTTTTCCTTTTAAATTTCCTTTAATTTTTATAACCAAATAACCAAGTTTATATTCCTTTGTAATCTCCCTTCCCCCATCTTCTCTTTTCCAATATCTTCTCTATCTCTTTTGCGACTGTTTTGGGGTTATGTTCTCCTTAGACAAAAGGTTCTTAGGTGGCCCAAACAATGAGGTCTTACTACAATAGCATGGGCTGTTTTCCAAATGCACTACATTGTTTGTTTGTTTGTTTGTTTTGGCATTAGTTCCCTTCCTTCATAGATATAACAGAAAGAAAACATTGTATTATACAAGAACATATCCCACCTACAAGCATTTTTGATTTACAGATACAGAAAGTGGTTCATTTGAGGGTCAATATAAAAAAAACACAACATTAATCCTAAAACTGGCACCTGAAAGACTAAATCATCCAAAAATCCAGTCTCTGTAAGTTCCTATGATTCAATCACAGCAATGATTTTTTTTTTTTCTTATCAAGACAGCCTCCAAGGTATTTGGCAACATTTTCACCCATGATCCCTACTTCTGATATTTCTTCCCTACTGGGACACTGGTCATTAGTCCTCCAAGCACTCAAAAGGTGGTCCTTTCAATCTTCCCCACTGCTGTAAGGAAATGTCTCTTGGTTTCTTGTCAGCACAACCACCACTGTTTCTATTTCTTTCTTTCTCCCTTCGTGGTGCCATTTTCTTCCTATCTACTCTCTCATGTGTCACACAATGTAAAATGCCATTCCTTGAAACAGCTGTCCCTTGGGCAACATGAGGCTCTTTATCCCGTTCAAGATCGTACGTACAAAACAAATACATTCCCCCTCCATCCCACAATTGCCATGCATTATGTCTGCCTGCCACCTCTCTTGTATAATGTTACGTGATTTACTTTCTCTGGGTTTTAGCTTATTTGCTCATGTTCTTTCTTGAGGATAAGAAAAGAAGCGTTTATTTAGCACTTACTGGGTGTTGGATTCTGTCCATTTCAGTTGCAGCAAGCTAATGAAATAGGAGTTTCCTTTTTTACTTCCAGTTTTTCAAAGGCGTTGCAGGTTTTTGGACAAGGGGAGGAAAGATGTGCTCCTTACAGTGATTCAAGAGCCCAAGCTGGTAACTGCTCTGACATTTTAGACATAAAGCTAGCAAGACTGCTTTGGGTGTAAACAACCACTGTGCAGAAGTGGAAAGAACATGGATGATTATGAGTAAGAAACTTCTATGGGGGCTAGCCTAGGAATGAACATATCACTTTAGCTCATATTCCATTGGCTAGAACTCAGTCACATGACCATATCTGATTGCAAGGGAGCCTGGGAAATATAGTCTATATGTCCAGGAGAAGGAGAAAGTGGGCTTGAAGAGCAGCTAGCCTAATTTTCCAACCAGAGTTGGATGTTTTACACAGTTACCTTATTTAACCCTAATAACAATAAGGTAAAGAAGGTGTTGTTATCACCATTATTAATGAGGAAATTGAGGCCCAAAACACAAAGTAAATTGCAAGGGAGCACATCACTATTATAGCTAAGAAGTTGTAGTGTCTGATGCGAACACAGGGCCATGTGACTCCAACTCAAGTTTCTTCTCATGGAATTACAATTCTTCTCTAGGGAAGGAAACAATCTGGATCTGGAGCTCACAAAGTAGCCAAGAAAGCCGTTAACAGATACTAAATGTGTGTGTGGTAAACTCCCCACTGGCCTCACAAGAGCGTTACCCTGGCTATTTGGTTAGGAAGTACTTGTCCACCCACCCTACTCCCTACAGCCCAAGGTAACTTCTCTATCAGAACATTTGTTTTATTCCTTCAAAGGAACCTATCTGGCTACTTTATTTGATCCTAATAAATGAGATGTTTTGTGTACATTTAATCAAAATCTCCCCAGCTTAATTAATCTAACACTATTTTGCCCAGTGATAAATTTAGTTAACGACCATATCATTTAAAATTCAATACCCTTGAGTGTTTCACATTCATTTGTGGATCTCATTCGTTTTGGTCCCTGAAAACCAAATTTAAAGAATAGGTTTTTATCAATGTCACTAAAAACCACTCAGAATCTTCAGAAGTAGATAAAATATAAGACAACACCCACACCAATATAGAGAAAGCCCATCTTTCATATATTGTGAAAATTCAATAAATACACACTCACACACGAAATACAAAGTTAAATTGAAATGCTCTTAAACGTATTGCCTAGGTTCCTATGATGCCATAAAAATGTTTTTTTAAAACACTGGGAATGCATTTGACTGTATTTAGAACTCCCTAAAGGAAGAATGAGTTTCAATGATGTAACCACTAGGTGAGTTGCTGGTTAAGAGAAGTGGGTTTAGATAAACTGGTTCAGTTAGTCTTTCGTAGACCTCAGTGTTACCTTGTTTGAAGGTGTATTTCCTCTGGTACTACTAACCAGTCAACCTAGCTAAGTCTGTCAAAGACGAGATTGTGCTAATGGAAGCTTGGGAATCCAGCCCCCACTCCGTCAATTTATTCCAGTTTCTACTGCAGTTCTAGGCTTGTTGTTGACTGCTTGTGGTAGCTTTGATACAGGGATGTGATTGGGTTTGTTGACAAAGGATAATAGGCCAGGGAGTTGGAGTTACTACTGCAAAGAGACCTACTCTTCTTCCTCTAGTAAGTGATCAAAAAAAGAATTATGTGCTGGTTCCACTTGTTAAAAGTTAAGCAGATGCCTCTTTTGGAAGCTCTATCAGTTAAGGTGCTCACTGAGAGCCCCAGGACTCAGTCCTCAGTGGCTTTCTCTATTTTTACCTGTTCCCTTTTTAAGATCAGCTAGTTTCGTGGCTTCAAAGACCTTTATATTCAATGTATATCTCCCAATCCAGATCTATTAACTCTAGATTTGTAAATCCAATTCTCTCCTCAACATTCCAACTTGGATGTCTCAAAAAGCACCTCAAAATTAAAATGCCCAAAGGAAATTATTCATGTCTCAACTAAGACCCTATTTCTCTGTGAGTCTTCCTCTTCTCTAAAAATGGCAGCTCTAGTCTTCCTTTTTGCTTAAGGCAGGAACCTTAAGCAGTCCTTGGACTGGAGCAGTCCTTGGTTCTTCTCTTTCTCCCACACCTCAAACTCAATCTACTGGCAAATTCTGTTGATGCTGCCACATCTCATCACATCTCCAACACATTTATCTTCATCCAAGCCATCATCACCTGATACTTTCATTATTTCACCCACCTTCTAATTTCACCCACCTCCTTATCCTTCTTCAAGCCTTATCCCCCGAAAGCCTCTTCTCCCCACAGCAATCACAGTGATGTCTCCCACCCAGGTGCCCATCAGTGGTGGATTGGATGAAGAAAATGTGGTACATAAACACCATGGAATACTATGCAGCCATAGAAAAGAACAAAATCATGTCATTTGCAGCAATATGAATGCAACTGGAAACCATTATCCTAAGCAAACTAAGGCAGAAACAGAAAACCAAATACTGCATGTTCTCATTTATAAGTGGGAGCTAAGCATTGAGTAAACGTAGTCATAAAAATAGGAATGATAGACACTGGTGAATACAAGAGTGGGGAGGGAGGGGAGTAAGGATTGAAAAAAACTAAAATTGAATACTATGCTCATTTCCTGGGTGATTGGTTTATTCATACTCCAAACTTTAGCATCATGCAATAAACTTTTGTGACATACTTGCACATATACCCCTGTGATTCCGAAATAAAAGTCGAAAACAAGCAATCTTTCCAATGTGTAAGTCTGGCCATGCCCCTCATCCCTACCGTGGAATCCAGGCAGTGGCTCCCATTTCACTGAAGGTAAAATCTCAAGTTCTTAAAATGACCTGCAGGACTCTTCTGCCCTCATCTCTGCCCACTCTCCCAATCTTCTTTCCAGTCACGCTAACCTCTCCCTGGTCCTTGGAAAAGCCAGACGGGCTTTCGCCCCAGAATGCTGCACCTGCTATTTCCCCAGGCTTCCCCCATGGGGCTTGCTTTCTTACTTCTGCATCCCTGTTCAGATGTTACCTCTAACCTGGTCTTCTGATTAAAATCACTGCAGTGTGCACATATCGAATTGCCTCTGTTTCACTGTATATAGTCTGGGACTGTCACTCACTTAGATTCTAAACTAGGAAAATTAGATGTTTTCTACTAGGACTTTGAATATTTAGCAGGGTGGTATAGAAAGAGAAGATGAAGAAGAGTAGGAAGGGGAAGAACAGAAAAATAAGGAATGGAAGAAAGATAAAATGAAGAACAAAAGATACAGTGAAACCTGACTTGTTCCTATGGTGGTTTCCTAAGACCGTAGACCCAGTTCTGCAGCCTGTGTCCACAGAGCTTCCCAATTTCCTACCTCTTCCAAGCCTATTCATAACAGACTCCTTATCAGTCTTTCATATATCATTCAAGTAAATTTCCCTTTTACAATAGTTGGCCAGAGACATTTCTTGGTGTCTGTTGAAAATGTGTGTGGGGTAAACTCCCCATTGGCCTCACAAGACCGTCATCCTGGCTATTTGGTTAGGAAGTACTTGTCCACCCACCCTACTCCGTACGGCCCAAGGTGACTTCTCTATAAGAACATTTACTTTATGCCTTCAAAGGAACCTATCTGGCTACTTTATTTGATCCTAATAAATGAGATATTTTGTATACATGTTCTAAGTGGTGAACCAAAACACATGTGCGTAAGTTGAAGGAAAAGCCAAGAGGAGCATGTTCAAGGACACTGTAGAGTATGAGGTTTGAATAACTCAAAGGGTCCTGATTTATAGTCATGCAGCTCAAACCAACCCTCTGGTGAGACTAGCAATATGGAATAACATGTCCAGCCACATACCTTTGGGCAGTTTTGAGAATACTTGACAATGATGGTGAATAAAGGCTCAGTGACCTGCTCCAAAACTCACAGCAAAAATGTGAGCAAGAGGAAAGTGAAACCAGATACCATGTCTTCCTGTGCTGTTCCCCTAGCACAGATAAAGAGGGCAGAAAAGATCTCATGGGAACTATTCCCAAGCCCTCTGCCCATATCCTTCATGGAGTCACCTTCTCGTTAATCTCCTTCTGCTGAGTGCAGCATGAATTGTCATGCCCTGTGGGCAAGGGCTTAGGCAAAGCCAAAACAGCAACAACTGATATTTCACATCAGCATGTGCTGTTCACCTGCTGTCCTGTGGCCTCTTTGGCCATTCTAGCCCTCGACTATCTAGAATGTTCTTCCCCGTCTTCACAACTTGGGCTAGCTACCTCCTCTTTTCCAACTCTCTGAGGGGTTAGTTATTCTCTGTTCTGATCTGACAGTGCCTTGAATGGTTCTTTATTTCCATCAACTCTCATTACCTTCTAGCATGAAAAGGGCTTGGTGTTGGAGTTGGATAATCCTGGATCAAATCTCAGCCTAAGGGTGCCATACGTATATATGGAATTAAAGAATTTGTTGCCCATAGAAATCGTTTAACACAAAACTACACACACACACACATATATATGTAGTTTTATGTATGTTTATATATGTGTGTGTGTGTGTATATATATATAAAATGCCATTAGGCTGAGATTGGCATACAAACACACACACACACACACATATGCACACACACACATACATGCACATATGTATTTCAATAGCTTTTGGGGTACAAGTGGTTTTTGGTTACATGGATGAAATGTATAGTAGCAGAGTCTGATATTTCAGTGCACCTGTCACTGGAGTAGTGTATATTGTAGCCAAAATATAGTTTTTTATCCCTCACTGCCACTCACTCACCCTCTTTCTGAGTCTTCAATGTCCATTATACCACTCTGTTTGTCTTTGCATACCCATAGCGTAGCTCCCACTTACAAATGAGAACATATGATATTTGGTTTTCCATTCTTCAGTTACTTCACATAGAATAATGGCCTCCAGCTCCATCGAAGCTGCTGCAAAAGACATGATTTCATTCTCCTTATGGCTGAGTAGTATTACATGGTGTATAGGTACCACATTTTCTTTATTCACTCATCGGTTGATAGGCTCTTAGGTTGGTGCCCTATCTTTGCAATTGTGAATTTGTGCTGTGATAAACATACGTGTGCAGGTATCTTTTTGAAATAATGACTTCTTTTCCTTTGGGTAGGTAGAGAGTAGTGGGATTGCTGGAGCGAATGGTAGATCTGCTTTTAACTCTTTGAGAAATCTCCGCACTGTGGAAAACACTGTTCTATTTTCTATGGAAAATAGAGGTTTTCTATTTTCTATTTTCTATGGAAAATAGAGGTTGTGCTAATTTACATTCACATCAGCAGTGTATAAGCATTTCCTTTTCACCACATGCATGCCAACATCTATTGTGTCTTGACTTTAATAATGGCCATTCTGACTGGGGTAATATGGTATCACACTGTGGTTTTAATTTGCATTTCCCTAATGGTTAGTGATGTTGAGCCTTTTTTCATATATTTCTTGGCCATCTGTACATCTTCTTTTGAGAAGTGTCTATTCATGTCATTTGCACTAGTGGCATATTATTAGGTATTTTTGGTTGGGTTACTCTCTGAGCCTAACTCTTCTTGCTAAGATGGGAATCAGGGAGCTCACTTTTCAGAATTAGGAATTAAAGGATTTGTTGCCCATGGAAATCACCTAACACAAAACTACATCATAAATCATGTGTAATTGATGCTTAACCATAACCAACTCTCTTTTCCTTTTTGGTTGCTTATAAATCAAAAGGCAGAAGTGAATAGTGGTTAAGAGCAAGAGTGGACTTATTGGAATCCTGCCAGCTAGGTGACCTTGGACAAGTCACTGAACTTGCCTGTACCTCAGTTTCTTTATTTGTAAAATAGAAATAAAAATAATTTTCACCCCAGAGGATCATTTTAAGGATTAATTGAGTTTATTCTTGTAAAGCTTTTGGAATAGTAAGATCTTAATAAATGTGAATGTCTAACAATTGTTGGTATGAGTAAGTTTTAGATTTTGTCATGGATTTCTCAAATAGGCTAGGAACTCCTTGATGACAGGGACCATGTAATATAAATCTTTATCTTACCGGACTTAGCAGAGTGGCTGGCATATAGTGATTAATCGGAAATTCCTTAGCAAATGAATGAATAAACGTATGTTAGGTGTTGAGCATTGGAGCCTAATGGGTCCTGGCCTGGAAGCACTAAGAGGAATTCTGCCTGCCTGACCCATCCTGCCCCACCCTGCCCCACCACCTCAGCCCATCCTAGAGACACAGAGTAACCTAGATTATACAGGAACAAACATGTTGAGGCCTAAATTAAGTGTGGGATGAAACCAGAAAGATGACATCACAAATAACTCATAGAAGAAAAAGAAATGCTCGTTCAATGCACTCTCCGGCAAAATGAACTGATTTACTAGAGCAAATTACCAACTGTAAAATATTTACAGCTAATTCCCTGTACCTTCCAGGGTGGCTGTGGCAAAGGGAGGCAGGTTGTTGAGGCAGTAAAAGCTGGATGCAATTTCTATTTCAGCGGCCCCGTTTCCTGCAGCAACCTCGGGCGACAGCATCATTTATATCTTCCACGCACACAATCTTTTCTGCATGTGCGTGAGTCTCGATTACAGGCAGTTGAGGTTTGTGTGGTAGGCATTATGCATTTATGAGCCAGAGCAAACATTTACTAGTGGTAGTAATTCGTCTGAGGGTGGGGAGAGAGAAGAGCGGGAGCAACCAGGCACAGCACTGGTTCCCTGACAGTGTATCAAGGACCTGGGCATGGCTGGGGAAGAAATGTTCTGTCCATCTGGAGGCTCCTGCTCCCCCAGGCATGTCCATCACCCCACACCTCTAATCTATGAGATCAACACAGCCTTGGATCGTTTCTCATCCCTGTATACACTGCAGTGTACACGGTCTTATATTGTCAATGCCCAGTTCTCCAGCTGAGATCTCTTTTCAACTCATATACTCACTGTTTTTTTTTTTTTCTGTTTTTAGACATTTATTTTTTTTCCCAGCTCTATTTAGGTGTCATTGACAAATAAAAATTACATATGCAGTATTTATCACATACAATGTAATTCAATATATGTATGCATAGTGACATGGTTAAAATAAGCAAATTAACATATCAATCACATCACACACTTTTTTTTGTGGTGAGAATATTTAAGATCTACTTTCAGCAATTTTCAAGCATACAATATATTAATATTAGCTATAGTTACTGTGCTGTATAATAGATCTATGGAACTATCCTAAGTGAAACTTTGTACCCATTGACCGATATTTTCCTGTTTCCCACTATCCTTCACCCCCTGAACCTGGCAACCATCATTCTATTCTCTGCTTCTAGGAATTCAGTTTTTTTTAGATTCTACATATAAGTAAGATCATGAGGTATTTGTCTTTCTGTGTCTTGCTTATTTCACTTAGCATAATGTCCTCCAGGTTCATCCATGCTGTTACAATGACAAGATTTCCTTCTTTTTAAAGAATGAATAATATTCCTATATCTGTATATATTATATATATGGTATACATACATCACATTTTCTTTATATGTTCACCTGTTGATGGACACTTAGGTTGATTTCATGTCTTGGCTCAGAATATTTCCATTTGGATGTAGACGAGGCATCTCAAACATACCATGTGTGAAGCAGATCTCCTGACCTCCCTACACCATGCCCAAGTCTTCTCCTCCCAATGTCTTCCTTCAAGCTAGTAAATATTTTATTCTTCCAGTTTCTCAGGCCTGATACCTTGGAGTTACCCTGACATCCCTCTTCTTATTATATCCACACCAAATTCTATTGGCCCTTTCTTCCAAATAATGTCAAGAATCTTCCCACTTCACCGCTCTCATCGTTCTCTCTTTGTACTTCTGCAATTGCTTCCTTGTGGGTTTTCCTATGCAGTCAGTTCCCAATGCATCAGTTACAGTGGGCCTTGGAAATTGTAATTCAGATCATGACAGTTCTGTGCTCAGAAACTACTGAGGACTCCTCACGGCACTCAGAATAAAGTTTCATCATCTAGTCTTGCACTACCTCTCTGATCTCTCCTTCCACTGTCTCCCTCTCTCACGCTCTCCAGCTACACCGGCCTCCTTCTTGTCTGCGTGCACAACACTAAAAACACTCCTATCTCAGAATCTTTTCACTATTTCTTTTTAGAACAGGTTTTCCCTAGAGAGCCATGTAGTTTGTCCCTTTACTTCTTTCAGTCTGCTTAAATGCTTGTAAGGGTGTGTGTGTGTGCACGCGTTTGGGGTACAATTTATTTTTTTTGTTAAGTAGGGAAGGATTTATTTTATTTTATTTTATTTTATTTTGAGACAGGGTCTTGCTCTGTCCCCCAGGCTAGAATGCTGTTGTGCGATCATGGCTTACTGAAGCCTGGACCTTCTGGGCTTAAGTGATCCTCCCACTTGATCTTCCTCCCGCCTCAGCCTCCCGAGTAGCTGAGACTACAGGTGTATACCAGCACATCTGGCTAATTAAAAAAAAATGTTTGTAGAGATGGGCTCTGTTGTCCAAGCTGTTCTTAAACTCCTGGCCTCAAGTGATCCTCCAGCACTAGCACTGGCTTCTCAAAGTGCTGGAATTAAAGGCATAAGCCACTGTTCCTGGCCAGAAGGAGGTCTTTTTTTTTTTTTCATTTTCATTTTTTATTTTTTTCTATATCAGGCCACTGCTGGAGACATCTTTTTCTTAATTTAAAAACACAGGCAAAAATGTGTATAGTTTAGAACATAAGCATATTGAAGCTATAATGAAAACAAGGGGATGGTTAATATATAATTCAGTATAGTAGTGGCTAACTGGATGTGATGATGGAGGAGGCCACAGGGAACTTTTCCATTCCTTCAGCTGGGCAGCAAGTATGGGAATTCCTTTTATTATTTTTCTTTTAAACTGAACACATAGATTTTTATATCCTTTTTAATACATATTTTATAATGAAAATGTTTTTAAAAATTATCTTTTGGGTCAGGTGCAGTGGATCACTCCTGTAAGCCCAACACTTTGGGAGGCCAAGGCAGATGGATCACTAGGTCAAGAGATTGAGACCAACTTGGCCAACATGGTGAAACCCCATCTCTATTAAAAATACAGAAATTAGCCAGGCATGATGATGGGCGCCTGTAGTCCCAGCCACTCATGAGGCTGAGGCAGGAGAATCTCCTGAACCCGGGAGGCGGAGGTTGCAGCAAGCCAAGATCATGCCACTGCACTCCAGCCCGGCGACAGAGTGAGACTCCACTCAAAAAAAAAAAAAAAATTCTCTTTTGAGCCCTGCCACAATTTATATTTATAAACTCTTGCCCCAGTAGATGGTGCTGTGTCTTGGGAGGCTCTAAATGAAGGAGTGCACTAGCTTATTGGGTTGCAGCTTGGAGTCCATGGAAGCTCATATGTGAATCTTGAGAAAATCAATTTCAACTTTTACCCTCTGAATGGAATTTTGTGTGAAACCATGCTCGAGTGTGTGTGTGTGTGTATGTGTGTGTGTGTGTGTGTGTGTGTGGTGTCTTAAGACTGTAATATCTAAGATTAACTTGGGTGATCACTAAAACTCCAGAAGTGCTTTTCCACATTATAACCAGGCTTGAAGCCTTAAAGCCTCTACATCTTTTTTTTTTTTTTTTTTTGAGACGGAATCTAGCTCTGTCACCTGGGCTGGAGTGCAGTGACACGACCTTGGCCCACCACAAGCTCCACCCAGAAGGAGGTCTTAAACAAGAAACAAAAGTGAACTACTAGCTATGAGATAAAAAATAATAAATTAGACTACATTAACATTAAAACTTCTGACCATCTGAAGATGATAAAGAAAATGATAAATTAAGCCACAAACTGGAAGAAGATATTTGCAGTCTATATGAAAGAGAATGGAGTACTACTCAGAATATGCAAAGAACTCCTACAAATAAAAAAGAAAAAAAACAATTTGAAAGAAAAACAAGCAGATGATATAGATATTTCACCCATGAGGACACACAAATTACCAAGAAACATAGGGAAAAATCTCTTAAATTCAGGGAAATTCAAATTAAAGCAATAGCACACATTAGGTAACAAAGAGTCAGATGAATGTGAACTCATAGGCACAGGTGGAAGGAGTATAACTTGCTACAAGCATTTTGGAAAACAAAGTGGCATTAGCTTTAAGGTGAGCGTTTCCATTGCTCGGAACATACCCTAAAGAAACTCTTGCTCTTTTATGCCAGGAAGCATATACAAAAATATACATAGCAGCCTTGTTCATGAAGCAAAAATATAGAAGCAATGGCAGTGTCTATCATCAGAAAAATGAGTAAGTAGTGCCATAGTCACACAATGGATTATAATGCAGCAGTGAAAATGGATGGGCACACAAGAATTGATTTTGTTTAAATTTTTTAAATTTACAGAAGACTAAGCAGAACATTATGCCATTTTTCAAATAAAAAAGATTAAACAATATGTTGAGAAATACAACATATAGGAGTTCAAGACCAGCCTGGCCAACATGGTGAAACTCCGTCTCTACTAAAAATACCAAAATTTAGCTGGGTGTAGCGGCGGGCACCTGTAATCCCAGCTACTTGGGAGGCTGAGGCAAGAGAATCGCTTGAAACCGGGGGGTAGAGGTTGCAGTGAGCCGAGATCACGCCACTGCACTCCAGTCCAGGCAACAGAGTGAGACTCTGTCTCAAAAAAAAGAAAATACAATATATGATGTGTGTGTGTGTGTGTGTGTGTGTGTGTGTGTGTGTGTATGCAAGAGGAAGATAAACACAAAATTCAGGAAAGCAATATTTTAGTCTCCAGGCTGATTCTCCAGTTTCCAGCTCTCAGCCTTCTTGGTTTCATGTGGGTGAGTGGGTGATATGACTGGTTTTGGTCAACCATTTATCAGAGATGATGAGAATAATGGCTGGGCAAAGAATTTAATTGTCAATGTGCTATTCTTCAGAATACTCACACACTTGCTCTCCATTTCCCTCTCCTCCTCTTCCTCCTTCTCTTCCTCCTGACCCACACCCCATCCATATCTCTGGAATGACATCTGATGATATTTGGGATGAAGGGGAGCATCATGAAGATAGATGCAATGGTAGTAGTAATTTTTAGTTTGGGTTTGGGTCAGGGTTTCATGTTCATGTATGTATATATGTGTGCATATGTGGGCATACATATCTGCATGTGTGTGTATATGTAGGTATATATGTATGTATTCCAGGGAAGCTGTGCAGAGGAGACCTTTGGGTTGGGCATGCTGTGAACAAGGTTTGGTTCAGTCAGTGGTGGGGAAGGGAAGGCCATTTCAAGAATTTGGAACATCACATGCAAAATGCAAGATATGACAAATTCTGGTGTATCCAAAAGATGGCAAGAAGTTCCAAGAGGCTCAGATGCAGGTGGTGTGGGGCAAGTGGCAGGACTGTGGCTAAAACACACCGGGCTCCTTGCTGAGGAACTGAAACCCAGGGATCCACAGGGCATAGCTAATATTTATCCAGCCAGCAGACCCTTCCTTATGGTCTTTTTTTCCCTCTCATATTTCTGCTCAGTTGCACCAAACCACATTAATTTCAACATGTAATTATTTCCACATTAATATTTTTCAATGCCCAAAGCTGGCATGAAACTCTACTTGTTCCCAGTGCTGCCAGGGACACATTAGTTCCCTGCAAAGACACGTTATAGCATCTGGAAAAGTCATGGGGTTAATGGGGTCCAACCATGCAGACTTTCCCCGGGAGTCTATTTTGGCCTTTTCCCAAGGAGCTCATGGTCTAGCAGGGAAGGAAGAAAAATACATATGTGCCATATGGTGTGACGGGTCAATAGTGGAAGCAGAGTGTAATGCCCCTGCAACAGGGAGCAGAGCAGGGAGGTGTCCTGTCAGTTGGAGAAAACAGGTCATTTGAGCTGAGTCCCGCAGGATGAGTGTCAGTCACTACACTGGTAGAAATGAAGAGAAATAAGTACCATTAAAGGCTGGTGAAGGGATGTGGTACTCTCATGCATGGTGAGTGGGAACAAAATTTTGGTATAACAGCATGGAGGGCAATTTACCAGTATCTTAAGAAAATCTTTAATACACACACCCCATGACCCAGCAATTCAACCTCTTTATGGCTATATTAGGGAAATACTCAAGAAAATGCACAAAGAGACATGTACAAAGTCGCTCACTTTGGTCTTATTTGTCATAATGGAAAATCGGAAACTAAAGGACTCTCTCTAGGAGAATAGCTAAATATAAATGGCAATGGTTTGCAATATACCATAAAACATTCATTTTAAAAGTGATATGTACCCTGATATGCAAAGATCTCAAGAAGTATCGTTGAGTAGAATTCCAAATTTTAGAATACTACATAAAGTATGATAATATTTGTGTCAACATACTCCCACACATACACTGACACTCACCCAAAACACTATTATGTATTCTATATAATTTCTATGAATATATATATTCATGTATATGTGTGTATGTGTGTGTATATATATATACATATATATACACACACACACACACACACAAGTATAAACGTATATAAATATGTTTCAGAAAGATGCCAACATGAGAGAGTAGGTTTTTCCTTTGGGTAGCATAGAGAGACAGGGGATTGGTTTCCAATGAAGACTTTAACTCCAACGCAGGGTTCTGTGGAGGAGTGTTCAGCTATGAAACTAATGACAGCAGACAGTCAGGGACAGAGCTTTTCTGATGGCTGATGGAGATGGCTGAAAGGGCGGGAAACACCTGTTCAGAGAAAAGCCAATGGTACGTATTATTCTATGCATGAAGCCATCCATTTGGACCTGGAAAAAGAAATATTTTATTCACCTGGAATCCGGGTAGCATATCTATCCTAACTCAAGGTACACAGGCTTGAGGCTTACTGAGAAGATACCCAGAGAGGCTGATGAGGGAGAAGGAGCCTGTGCCTCAAGGCAGCATATCAAATATATGCTGAGCTCTGGAATGGGACAAAACATTCTATAGACTTGGCAGAGTAAGTCCAAGCAGACGATGAGCACCAAGATCATCTGGGGCCACTGCCCTGCTTCCTGTGATCTTTCAGCCAAAGCAGAATCTTACCTTGCCAGGGCAAGATCACATGCTACTCCGATTCCAGCATCTAAGGCAGGCAACAGTATTATCATTCCCTTATTTTATGGTTACCTTCTATTTGTGGCAATTGTAGTGATTCTCTATAGCTGCGTAACAAACGTAAGGGCTTAAAACACATTTATGTTCTCACAGTTTCTATGGTTCCTCTGCTTCAGGGTCTCTTACAAAGATCCAATCAAGGTGTTGGCCAGGGCCAACATCTCATCTGAAGCTCAAATCAGAAAAGATCCTCTTGCAAATGTGTGTGGTTGTGGGCAGGATTCAGTTTCATTTGGGTTATTGACTAAGGACCTCTGCTTCTTTCTGGCTGTTGGCCAGAGACATCTGCCCTCAGTTCCTTGACAAGTGAACCTCTCTATAGGGTGACTTTCTTCATCAAAGCCAGCAGAAAAAAGAGGGCCAATAGATAAAGTCTGCTAGCAAATGGAAGTTACAATTTTGTGTTACAAGTGGTGCAATTACGTTGTATTACCATTGCCAAGTTCTGTTGATTCAAAGCAAGTCCCTGATCACACCCGCATTCAAGGGGAGAAGGTTATGCAAGGACATAGTACCAGGAGGTGGGGAGTCATATTAGAGTCTGTCTCCAATGACAATTATAATTATTTTTCCCATTCAATTTATTGATATACAGTTTCTATTTTAATAGATTTTTTAATCAAGTAAGAAAAATAAATTTAAAGAAAAATATTGAGTCCATGATAGCAATAACATATGTAGCATCTGATAATGATAGAGTGTCATCAGAGATTGAGATATATATTCAATGATATCAGGATATGCTAATCATTTGTTCATTGACATTTGTTTATTTATTATTTGTTGTTTCTTAACACATTTATTTACTTATCTGCTCATCCATTCATCCATCTACTTATTCATGAAGTACAGTGTAAGTATCCCAAATCCAAAAATTCAAAATCTGTAATGCTCCAAAATCTGAAACTTTTTAAGCATCAATGTGATGTTCAAAGGAAATGCTCATTAAAACATTTCAGATTTGGGATTTTGGGGGTTTGGGATGCTCAACCAGTATAATGCAAATGTCCCAGAATCTGAAAAAAATCCCAAATCTGAAACACTTCTGGTCCCAAGCATTTTGGATAAAGTATATTCAACTTTAACAGGCTATCCTCTTGTCTTTTGAGAAATTTGGCTTAGTGATATCTTTCTAAATTCTGGCTGCACACTAAAATCCCCTGGAGAGCTTTTTAAAAAATACCAATGACCAGGAACCATCACATACGTATTGAGTTAGAATCCTCCCTGTGGGGACTAAGGAATTCGAATGTGCCTACAGAGTTGTGGTGACTTCAGGCCATCGAACCATTTGCAGTAGAATTGCAGATACAAGGATTGTTAGAGATACAGGCAGCAAGCCCCACAACCATAAATGAACCAGCACACTCAACTTATTTTTTCCCTGGAGAATAGAATTTCCAATGAGCTGGTTGACTTTGAGGAAGAGACAGGCTGAACCCTACTCAACTCCCATTCTTGTTCCTGGTCTTTGAGTTTATCCCTGACTTGTAACTTGCCTTCTAGCGTGAACTCTGAAATTGACCTTCAGTTCAAATTTAAGCCCCAGGTCTTCCTCTGCTTTGCCTTCCCAGAGACTGGAGACAGGCTATTCCATGTTATATCTGCATTTCATGGCTGAGGTCGCTCCATATCCAACTAAATGCTGTGTCTGCTGCTCCAGCCAGGGCTAAGAGTATGCAGAAGCATCTTCAGCAGGTCAGCCTCAGCCTTTACTGCCTTCTTAATATCTGGTAGCAATGAGATGGAGGCCTGCCGGAGCCCAAGCCCTGCTTAGCACACCCATCTGCTTGTGGCCTCTTTGGGTGTACAAAGTGAGTGTGTATGCTTGTGAAAATGTGAAGCTGCATATCCAGAAGGAGCCATTTATTAATCATTTATTTGTTCACTTATTAAGCACCTATGATGTACCATGCTCTGTTGTAGGTAATATGGATACAGCAGTGAACAAGGCAACATCTGCCATTATGGTGCTTGATTCCAAGTGGGGAGGTACCAGCAATAATGTGAACCAACCAGTAAATTAGTTAATTCCAGATCCTGACCAGTGCCACAGAGTGTGCTAAAGAAGATAAAACAAAACAATGGGAAAGAATGATGGGTCAGGGGCTATTTTTGGTAGAATGGTCACAGAAAGTCTCTCTTAGAGATGGCCTTTTTAAAAGACAGGGTCTCACTCTGTTGCCCACTCTGGAGTGCAGTGGTGTGATCATGGGTCACCGCAGCCTCCAACTTCTGGCCTCAAGCAATCCTCCCACCTTAGCCTCCTGAGTAGCTGGGACCACAGGTGCACACCATCACACTTGGCTAATTTTTAAAATCTTTTGTAGAGATGAGATCTTGCCATGTTGCCCAGGCTGGTCTTGAATTCCTGGGTTCAAGCAATGGGTTCAAGCAATCCTTCTGCCTTGGACTCCCAAAGTTCAAAGGGCTGGGATTACAGGGTTTGAGCCACCACACCTGGCCTAGAGATGACTTTTAAGTTGCATGTAGATGTCACAAAAACTACAGTGATGGGCTAAATTAGCATCGTCTAATGGAACTTTCTGTGATGATGAAAATAGCCTATATCTGCACCTCCAAGACAGTAGCCACTAGCCATTCGTAACTACTGGGCACTTGAAATGCAGCTAGTGTAACTGATACATTGAATCCTTAATTTTATTCAATTTTAGTTAATTTAAAATTAATAGCTACTTGTGGCTAGTTCCTTCCATATTGGATGGCACAGGTCCAGACATTTAATATAAGAGCTGAATGACAAGGAGGAGCCAGCTGTACAAAGATCTGGGGAAAGATCACTCCAGGATGAGGAAATATCAAATGCCAGGTCCCTGCAGGGAAAGGAATGTGGAGTATTTGGGGACACAGAGAAGGCCGGTGTTGCTGGGACTTTGTTGAAACGGGATATGAGGTTGGAGAACATACCATATAGGGCTCGTAATCCATGAAAAGGGACTTACTTTTTGTAACATAATGAGACATTTTTGAAAGGATTTAAGCACAGGAGTGATGTAATAATAGCAACAATAACAACAACTAATGCTTAGGTGGTTTTATTATATGGTCTTTATGTATATTGGCTTACTCAATCCTCACAATAATAGTATCAATGAAACATTATTCTTATCGTTAGAGTATTCATTTTTGATTTAAAAAACTAAAGCACAGGGAGGTTAAGTAATGTCCCAGATTGTGTACACTGCAAATAGCAGAGTTAGTATCTGAGCCCAAACATCCCACACTAAACATCCAGGCTCTTAGCCACTATGCATTTCCTACCTCCCTCTCAGCTAGCATGGGCTGTTGAAAACTCACTCTTGCTCAGTGTGGGTAATGGCATTTAGAGGAACAAGACAGGGAGAGATGGGCCATTAGAGCAGTCAAGGCTGGAGAAGGCAGTGCTGTAGACAGCAAAGTGGCAGAGGAATGATGGAGCGATGGGAAGAAGAAGTTAAATTTAGAATATGTTTTAGAAATAGAGGCCACAGACAGACTGACTAGATGCACTTATTGGATGTGCTGCAGGGTGCGTAAGGAAACAAGGAATCCGTGCTGATTCCCAGGTTTTAGACTGAGCAATTGAGTGGATGGTGATGCCCTCTCCTGAGGTTAGGGAGCCTGGAGTGGGCACGACCTGGCTGCTGGGGGAGGGAGGGGATGCTGCAATGTGGTGTGTTAGGAAATCTATTGGGTATAATTCTCTGCCTCAATTTGGGCACATTTTTCTTTCACCCACCTTTTTATTCTCCCTCCTTTCTTTCTCCTTCTCTTCTTTTCTGCTTTTCATTATTTCTTCCATCATTGAACAAATATTTATCGAGGCCTACTTCATGCCAGGCACTATGTGGCATGCTGGGAGCACACAAACTATAGAAAAGTGCAAAATCATCTCCCTTCTTAGGAGCTTGCATTCTTTAGGAGACAGGTGGACTCTACGCAAGGCAATGAACATATGAACAAGGTAATTTCAGATAACAGCAAGCCGTAGGAAATGATCAGAAAAGGCTGATGTGAAAGAGAACGTTTTTAGGTGGGGTTCTTGGGGTGGGGGATTGCTAGATGAGGAGGTGAAGTTTGCACTGAGACCTGAATAAGAGAAGGAGCCTATTATGGGAAGAGCTGAAGGAAGTGTGTGTGTGTGTGTGTATGTGTGTGTGTGTGTGTGTGTATATGTGTGTGACAGATACTCTACAGGGAATTAGCATGCATGAATGCCTGATAATATAAGAATCTTTATAGCAGAGTGTGTAGGTATGTGAATACCTCACAAGGTGTATGCATCTCTCCTTTTCTGTCTATCCATCATTTCTCCCTCTGTTATATGATCAGACTGATTGGTTTAAAAATCTGTTTAGTATTTCATGCACCCCAAGCTGTGAAAGTCAGGTCTAAATACAGCCACCGTAGGATACACTAATTAATTTATGATTATATTTTACATCATTAAAGCTGAAGCTCTTGATTTGGGGATGCAAGTGTCTGAAGGAAACAGTTCAAGGACAAGATAGAAGGCTCCAGCCTTGGCACTTCGTAAAAAGGTCGTTCTTCTGTCGTAGCCAAATGTAGAGGAAAGGGGGCTTCTGGCTGAATTTACTCAGCAGAAAGCACAAGTTCCCTTCAACACTAAATTTCAGTTGTAGCTAAACTCTAGAGCTGGTGCGTGGCAGTGTGGCAGAACACACTCGCTCTTCACAGGAACACTGACACCTGTCATGTATATGGATGAATGTTTCCATGTTGACTGACGTGTTTTACAAGTTTCTGCAGCCAGGCATGATTGACCCCAGCAACGCTTTCACCAATAAAATATCAAGTGCTTTGGCTGAACATTGTCTGTCTTGCTGACCAGGTTTCTTGGATCACAAGGAAGAAACACATACAAATTATTTACAAAGAGGAAAGTTCATTTTAAGGATGCACATGGGCTAAAAATGAAATGACCTCACTATTGGCACAGGTCCTAAGATTACATTCTCTGAGAATACACAATGAAGAAATGGGCTTCATGTGTAATAGCGACAATAATTAACACGCGTACTGAGCAGTTAATTCCTTTCAGGCACCCTGCTAAGTGCATCCTAACCACTAAGCCTTTTGATCCTGATGAAACATGCTCTGAGATGGATCTTGCTCATGATTGGAATGGTGTAAAATTGTTGTATAAAATGGGAATTGTATATGGTGAAGAAACTCAGGCTTGAGGCGGTTAAGGAGGTCTTCCAAAGTTATTTCGAGAGAGGATGGCAGAGCCAGGATCCCAGGGACAGACAGCCACTGAGTCAGCTGTGGCAGCTCGAGGGATGTTCATCCAAGTAGGTAAAAGACAGAGCTTAGGAGGCATAGCTATAAGCAGTCAATAAGTGATTTTCTGGACATGCGACTAGTGGAGATTCCATCGGGAGAATATGGTAGTGTCTTGAAAGGCAGGTGGAACAAAGTAAAGGGTGTTCCAGGAAAAGTCAAGAGCTGAATGAAAACCTGGCAAATTGGAAGTCATCTTCTGAAAGAGTAGTGTCTTTATTGCTCTGAGGCTCAGAATTGCGATGGTCCATGCTGTTTGAGGCTGCAGGACTCAGACCCATAGAAGGGTGACAGAATAAGACTCAGCGAGAGCAAACAGGGCTTGGATCAGTAGCAGGATGCAGGTGAGAAGGAAGGCAGGCTGGCAGCATCCCTGAGGCAGTGGTGAGCTGGCACACAGCTCAGAGTGGAGTGTGAGGTGGAGAGACCTGGAGCGCAGGCTTCCCGAGAGGAGCCCTCTGTTGTCACTGTCTTTTCAACTGTAAGCACGAGTGCCTGTGCAGACACACTGAGACCTCCATAATCATCATTTAATTGTTGCACCTGCCCTTTAAAACGCTGAGACCAAGGAAAGAAAACACAACAAAATAGCTAACAGACATTGGTGTGTGAGGTTCTGCAGAGGGGCACTCTTTGAGTGTTTATGAATAAAGTATCAGCGAAGTACACTCCAGGTGGGAACCCCAGTCAGGGTCAGGTGAAATTTGTTCCATAATCTTGTTATTTCACAATCAGGGAAAATGTTGTCTTAGAACCCTGAAGTGAGACGTTGCAATCACAAAAGAGAAAAGAGTAGAAGGAGAGTTGCCAGGATGAGGACAGTGATGAAATCTGAGGTTATAGGTAGGCAATGGTTTAGATTTTAGATCCACGCTACCCAACCTGTGGACTTAAGAATTATTGCAAGAGACCTCCACATCCCTATGGATACTAAACATTGAGTATAAACTAAGCAAAAAAAAAAAAAAAAATCACATATCAACACACATGCACACGCATACACACACATGCGTGGCAACCTTTCAAACATGTAGATTCAGTGATGATTCAATCACAAATGCATTTTAAGGGATTATTGAATTCATAGTTACTATCTGTCCATATGTGCTTTCTAAATCAAATGATATGGAAGGGTTTAATTGTGTTGTATGGTGGTCTATTGGTATTAAAAACCAATGAATGGTTTTAAAAACCAGTCATATTGGTATTAAAAACCAATGATCACATTGCAAAAGGTCAGGGATGACAGAAATAAATAAAAGCAATGCCTACAGTTTGTGCAGTTTGAGGCGTGGGCCCGGTGGAATGACTAAGCCCTGCCCAGCATTGAGGCTTCCCAAATGCTTGCGCACCTCAGGTGGTAAGGAGAAAGAGATTTCTAATAATTCACTAGGATATATGCCACACTGAAGCTGTTCGGTACTCTATGACTGGGTTGTATCAATGTCCATTTGAGAGGTGGGTTTCTGTGAATCAGAGCCATCATTTACATAAAGGCCCATCTATGATGCAACCAGTAATAGTCATGTAGATTAAGAATTTGAACAGGGCTGGGTGTGGTGGCTCACGTCTGAAATCCCAGCACTTTGGGACGCTGAGGCAGCAGATCACCTGAGGTCAGGAGTTTGAGACCAGCCTGACCAACACGTGAAACCTCATCTCTACAAAAAATACAAAAATCAGCTGGGCGTGGTGGCGGGCGCTTGTAATTCCAGCTACTCGGGAGGCTAAGGCAGGAGAATTGCTTGAACCTTGGAGGCGGAGTTTGCAGTGAGCTGAGATCGCGCCACTGCACCCCAGCCTGGGTGATAGAGTGAGACTCTGTCTCAAAAAAAAAAAAAACCGGGGGCTTGAACAGGGCTCTTCTCCTTTGTCTACAGAGCAGATGGGGCTGTTTGTACCTACTATGTGCACCACAATGCTAGCAGTGATAACATGAGGGAGCATTACCAAGATTTTCTCCGTGCCAAGATGCCTGATATCTTTTCTTATAAATAAATAAGAGATGTTATTATCCCCATTTGACAGAGGACAAAACTGAGGATCAAAGACAAAAATGAGTTGCTCAAAGCAAGTATGGTTCAGAGATAGAACCCAGAGACTCAACACTTCCTTAGCCACACACCTCTGTCAAGATGACGATGCACCTGGCCAGCTTCCAAAAGAGGCATTTGTGGGCTCTGGAATTCAGTTGACCCTTGGCCAGTGATTCCTACCCTGAAAGTCTTTGACCACTGTGAGTCCTAAGAGATAACGAGAGACCTCTCAAACAATTTGTACTATTTCAGAAAATGAAAAATTCTTTTTTAATACTTTTTATTTCAATAGTTTTTGGGGTACATGAATAAGCTCTTTAGTGGTGATTTCTGAGATTTTAGTGCACCTGTCAGCCGAGCAGTGTATGCTATACTCAATATGTAGTCTTTTATCCCTCACTCCCCTGTCCAAGCCTTCCCCCAAAGTCCCCAAAGTCCATTATTCATTCTTATGGCTTTGCACCTTCATAGCTTAGCTCCCACTTATAAGTGAGAACATGCGATATTTGGTTTTCCCTTCCTGAGTTACTCCACTTAGATTAATGACTTCCAGCTCCATTGAAGTTGCTGCAAAAGACATTATTTTGTTCCTTTTTATGTCTGCATAGTATTCCATGATGGATATATACCATCTTTCCTATTTTAGAAAATGAAAACTTCTTTTTTTGTTTTGAGACTTTTTTTTTTTTGCTCTTGTTGTCCAGACTGGAGTGCAATGGTGCAATCTCAGCTTACCGCAACTTGCGGCTCCCGGGTTCAAGCGATTCTCCTGCCTCAGCCTCCCGAGTAGCTGGGATTACAGGCAGGTGCCACCACACCCGTCTAATTTTGTATTTTTAGTAGAGACGGGGTTTCTCCATGTGAGTCAGGTTGGTCTTGAACTCCTGACCTCAGGTGATCCACCCGCCTCGGCCTCCTAAAGTGCTGGGATTACAGGCATGAGCCACTGCACCCAGCCCAAAAACTTTTTAAGGGCAAGGTTTTGCTCTTTGTTTTATCTTCTAATACTAGCAGAGTTCCTGCCATGCTATAGTTGCTAAATTCATGAACAAACGAAGAGTTTTTTTCTGTAGTTTTCTTTTTTTTCTCTTTCTCTCTAAGCTAAGACTTATTTCAGTATAGTGACCTTGGTTTTCCTTTAAGAAACACTAATAAGCAATTGTATATAGTTCTGATATATAAAATACAAATTTTTAAATTGTAATTACTTGGATAAGTAAAGTGGGTTCCAAAGCTCAGATCCCATGAAGGAAAACATACGTAGTACAAGAGAACAATGTGGAAATCTGTTAAGAGCATGGGAGAGAAGGCTTTCAACCCTCTGTGATAGACTTCTATGTTCTCATGAGGTATTCAGACATGCCTGTGACCCCTACACACTCTTCTGAGCACCAGAGAAAGTGCCACTTGCCCTGAATCCAACAAGCCAGTTTCTCTTTGGAGCCTGATCCAAGAACATAGCTGTGGGGGCCTTCTATTATGTGTGAACAGCTCTTGACTATTATTGAGGGAGTGAAAACACCATTAGAGTTGATGAGGAACTTCAAAGTCCTCTTTATCCTCATTTGAGAGAGAAGAAGCTACCTTTGAAAAGCTATGAGCCAACCTGCTGTAGAGGTGAAAATGAACTGAAAAGGGCTTTTCTCTTTTCTTATTTTTATTTGTCTTTTCTTATGTCTCTGGACATAAAGTTTGAGGAACTTGCCCCATGGCATAGGCAGTGTCCTTAACTTTTGATCCTTTGAGATAAAGTCCATCCAAAAGTGGTTTATGATGCTTGGGTGTACTCAGAAAAGCATCACGAACATCATTTGTTGAAATAGTTCTCAAAGTTGAATCTATTCTCATATTCTCTCTCTTCCTCTTTCTGGTTGGTAGCTCTTCTGATAGTCTGCTCTCTCACCTTATTTGTTTATGATGATATCTTCAGAAATTCGTCAGTATTATTTTTGCTTTAGCACAGAGGTCTCCAAACTGGCACCACGGACCAGTTTTGTGGAAGACAATTTTTTCCACAGATGGGGGTGGGGTGGGGATGGTTTCAGGATGAAACTGTTCCACCTCAGGTCATCAGGCATTAGTTAGATTCTCATAAGGAGCATACAACCTAGATCTCTTGCTTCCGCAGTTCACAATAGGGTTCACACTCCTATGAGAATCTAATGATGCTGCTGATCTGACAGGAGGTGGAGCTCAGGCAGTAATGCCCACTGGGCCACCACTCACGTCCCGCTGTATAGCCCCGCTCCTAACAGGACATGGACCAGTACTGGTCTGCAGCCCAGCGGTTGGGGACCCCTGCTTTAGTAGAATCCTCAAGAAAAGCATGGAAATAATTCCATTCTCTCTTCACGTTATACCCAGAGGGGCAGTCAAGCCTTCATATCCAATGTCTACATCAAGCCTTCTATGTCCTTAGTCCACCTTCTATGTCCTTAGTCCTCACTGTCTTCTTGTTCATCCACTCCCTCCTAAAATCCTTCGCTCATCGCCTGGCTGGGGACAGAAATAGGGCCCAAGGCTTGAGCACTCACAGGCATCCTCAGTTTTCTTATCTCTCAGTCATTCTGCTATAGCTGCCTTGCACTTGTCTTTAAATGTACGCCTGGAACCTGAACGCTGAGTAGGTCATTGTCAGTTCAAATTATAATTTCCAACTTCATCTGGATACTCAGTGTATTTTGCTAGTTATCTTCTGTAGAACAGATAAATTACTCCTTAGCTCTTAGGTTTTAAGAAAGATTCTTATGTTCTAACTCAAATTAAACCTGGCTTGAAATTCATGTTGCTACTTTGAACAGAAGTCCTTTACCAGTCATTATTCAGACCCGCCTCTGACACCACTTGTGGCACAACCCAGGGCCATAAGAGAGTGTCCCTCATCTTCTCTTGGTCACATGGGACTTGGCTTTGTTGATGTCTGCACACCCTCTGAGTCAATGTTGGCCAGAAGGTCTTCAAAAACTTAATACTTAGTACTCAGCCACACAAAAATCCACACAGGAATTTTCCCATATCCAGAGCTCTGTGTTAAGCAATCTCAGATATTTGCTTTCAGGAGCTGGGATGCAGCCTGCAGGTTGTCTCAGTGGTATAACCACACCCACAATAATGATAGCAAACACTTATATAGCGCTTATGATGTTTTAGGCAATAAAGACAGTACACACATGAACTCATTTCATTTTTAAAACAACCTTCTGAGATATGTGTTACAATTTTTATTATCATCCCATTTTACGTATGGGAAAATCTAGGCAGAGACAGGCTAAGTAACTTGCCCAAAGCCCCACCTCTAATGAAGGGCAGAGCCTAGATTCAAATCAAGGCAGTTTGGGTAGACAAGTCTAGGCAGTTTGGTTAGATCAGTTAAACTCGTGGCTCTCAACAGGGGATCATTTGGACCCCTGAGGGGGATGTGGCAGTGTCTGCAGACATCTGTGGTTGTCATGACTGGTGGGTGCCATGGCATCTGGCGGGTAGAGACCAGGAGTGCTTCTGACCATCTTAAAATTCACAGGACAGCCTCCACTACAAAGAATTATCCATCCCAGAATGTTGACAGTGCTGAAGTTAAGAAACCCTAGGTAAGACCTAGATTTTTGAAACATGAAGACCTCTCAGTGGGTTTGTCTAGGATGCTCTAACATCTTTTTTAGTCCACAAAATAGAGAAACTGTTCAC
This sequence comes from Homo sapiens, assembly GCF_000001405.40. Classification (NCBI taxonomy): domain Eukaryota; kingdom Metazoa; phylum Chordata; class Mammalia; order Primates; family Hominidae; genus Homo; species Homo sapiens. The sequence goes on from NC_000016.10 coordinate 26,126,946, forward strand.
CCTCCCTGGAGATAAAAATTAGCCGGACCATGGGAATAAGGGAATAGCTACCCTCCTTGGCAATGGGAGTGTGTGATGGTGGTGGTGGTGGGTGGGGGTGGTGATGAGTCCTCTGTCTTCCAGATGAGTCTCTGGAAGCAAAATCAAACATAAGATAATTTCTCAACAGGCCATCATAATCCATAAATTGTTAATATATCATCCATCTACATTCTGTTCCCTTTCCAGTCCCACTCCCAAGGTCCTTAAGCTCAGCAATCGACCCTACTCTTCTGTCATTGGGAAAATCAAAGCCATTAAGCAGGAAATTCCTAAACGTTGCTCCCCTTGATCTGGACCACATCCCTGCTGCCATGCCTTAAGACCTGGTGAACTTTCCTGTCTGAGTCAGTCACGATGGCTCACGCCAGTACTCTCAGGACTTTGGGAGGCCAAGGCAGGAGGATTGCTTGAAACCAGAAGTTTCAGACCAGCCTGGGCAACATAGTGAGATCCTTACTCAAAACAAAACAAAATTCATGTCTGTTGTTACCAGGGATTCTTTCCCCAAGTAAGAATGTTGACAAACCCTCATTTCTCCTCCTGAAATCACTGCTCTGTCTCCTTCTCCTGCCTCTAGTTCCATTCTGGATCTTCCTCTCCTTTGTCACACTGAATGGGGTTAAGGAGCATTGGCTCTGCTGGGTTTCAGATCCTGACTCTGCCACATACGAGCTGTGTGATCTTAGGCAAGACACTTAACTTCTCTGAGCCTCAGATTACTCACGGATATCATGGGGAATAATGAGTATCTACCTTCTCAGCCTGCTTTGGTAGGGCTATTGCCACTACAACCTCAGTGGAATGTCTCTGACAAACCTAAACCTTCTCATCCTAAAACATATGTACCTGCCTGGCACAAACTTTAAAACAACAAATATTGCTTGAGACCTCAGTTTGAAAATTTCTCCCAATGTGTGGTCATGTGTTATTTAAACCTGGGATGCTTCTTTCATTTTTTCTCAGTATTTCAATTATTTGTGCATCTTCCAAGCCGAGCTCCTCTTTCCCCTTCTCCTCCCATTCTTCCTCTTATCTTTATTCCTCCTTATTTTACCTTCTAGTCTCCTTCATCTTTCATCCTTTGCTCCTCCTCTTCCTCCTTTCCTCTTCTCTGTCCCATTCCTTTCTGTCTCCTCTCTCGTAGGCATGTGGCAATGCAGCTGAGATTTGACACTTATCATTCTGTTTGATGGGACAGCAAAAATGTCCCATCTGAACCACAGATCATGTTACTAAATGGGATATACAGACCTTTCCTCCAAAAACATACAGTCTATTGAAGGGCAGGGACCATGCCTGCTTTATCATCAACATATACCCCATAGTTGGTACGTAATAAGCACCAATACATACTCAGTGGAATTAATGAGGGAATATCTTTTAACCTGACCCTCTTGTTGCAAAGCAATTTGAGGTCCAGGGAGGGAAAGTCCCTGTTCTTACTTAATTCAGCAAGTTAGCTATTCAGTCAGAACCATAACTCAGGATTCCTTCTTTCTTGGCTGCAATTTTACTGAAAGCCCTAGAGCCTCAGGGCCATATGTACAGATCCTGTTCTTGGGTTTCTATTTAAGAATGTAGTCTCCAAATGGTTTGACTTTTTGCCTTCAGGATTTTCAGAATTCATGAATTTTGGTTTGAAAAACACAATGAACTTTCCAGCATAACTGGGCAGGGCAAGGTCTTGGCTATGCATCCCTGGACAAGGTTCTTTGTCTTTCTGACTTCCAGTTTTTGCATCTCTATAATGGGCTCAGTGAATTGTATGGTACTTGTGAGACTTAACTAGGATAATACGTGAAATTGCCCTGCTCAGTGCTTGGCAAGTAAGCAGGTGCTCCATTGAATTTTGAGTTTCTTTCTTCTGTGCAGGGGAACTGGCCCTGCTTCACCCCATGCCCTTGCTGTAACCACCATCCTCTTGGGTTCATCAGCAGGGCTCAGAAAATATTGCTAATTTATGCACCATTTGTTCCACTGGATAACACATTTGGGAAAATGTAAGATGCCCACACACCTCTAATTCAGGCAAGCCAAAGGCAAGCTCCACTCCTGACCCTTCCAGAGAGAATGGGCACTTTATATCTAATCCGGGTGATTGCTTTCTCCTTCGACATTCATGATGGTATCCATTTGCTTCAATTGAGGAGGCCCTGGAGAGAGATGTCACAAATTGAATGATGTAGCTTGATCTGGCAAGAATTTCTAGGGATTCTGGTCTGGGTGTCTGTAACTCCCAGTGGCAAGTCAGGGATAGCTCAGCTTTGCAGAACACATAATGTGTCTCCTTTTAAGATTCAACTTTGCCACCTACAAGTGACCTTGGGCCAGTCATGTAACCTTGCTGAGGTTTTACAGTTTGGTTAAGCATTGTCAGGCAGTAGCCAAGAGCTTGGGCTATGGTGTCAGACAGACTTGGGATTGAATTCCGACTCCACCTCTTCTCGCTTTGGGTAAATTAATCAAGTCATTGGATCTCAGTTTCCTGATCCGTAAAGTGGGGATTACAATAAAACCTTATTTAAAGAGTTGTTTTAAAAATTAATAGCTACTGCATTGAGAACTTACTCTATGAGAGTCACTCTTCAAGATATTAAGTCATTTCATCCTCTCAAACTCCCCATGAGAAGGGGTATTATTAGTATGATGCCTGGTTTTCAAATAATGAAATAGACCCATATTACTTAAGTTAAGTAATTTGCCAAGGATCACACAGTTAATCAGTGGATGCAAACTTGGTAAGTCTAGATCCTGGAGTCTCTGATCTTAACTACTGGGCTGGTGAGTCCAATGTCTGAAAATGCTTGGAGACGTCAGTCTAGCTTCAGAATTTGCACTCTCAGCCTCAGAACATAGCATGGAGTGAGCACTCAGTGAATGGCTGTGCTCAGTCTAGGCTGCATGTTAACTATTGTTATTGTTTCTGTGAGGACCCCAGAGGCTGACCTGCATTCAAAAGTGGCTGTGCTCCAGGAATTCAAGGTTGCAGTGAGCCATCATCGCACCACTGCATTCCAGTCTGGGCAACAGAGTGAGACCCTAACTCTTTCAAAAGAGAAACTGGGCTGTTCTTAGCAAAGCACCAGGACCAGGAGAGTGCAGTGGGGACAGGGCGAGTGAGTTGGAGAGTGTCTCATAAACATTTGGGGCTGTGAGAGCAGATGTGTGATCTTGCGGAATGATTCTCGCTTCAGGACTGTGTGTTGACGCTGATGTCACGGCTGCTCTGAGCGCCCAAGATACTGTTAACGAGCTGTGCCAAGCCCAGATGCAGTGTTTTCTCACCATATGGTTCACGCTGAAGTGCATGGTCTTTCAGACAGGGATGGGAGGAAAGTCAGAAACGCTGAACCCCATGCATGGAACACCTACTTAGATGAGCCATGTCCTGCATGTCCCAGTTCTCCTGACTTCCAGAGACCATGTATTCATTGGAATGTCGTTTGTTTTTCATCCAGTAACCACAAATAGTAATGGGGCAGCTAGTACATGTCAGACACTGTGTTTGGCGCTGGGGATACAAAGGTGATTAAAACTTTGCCTACAGCCCCAAGGAACTGAGACTAGCCATGAAAGACATGGGAACAAATCATATTATGACATTATTCTAAGCCCTGTAACGCAGGTAGTTAACAAGGACTCTGGGAATTAGAAGAAGTTCATGAACATCTTTGTAATGAAATAAAACACAATTTTTTTTGCACACCTAGCATCTGAACACCTTTCAGTTTTGAGAGAACTCCCAGCATAGGCAGAGGACAGTCGTGTCTTCTTCTAACAAAGGTAAAGAGGGCAGACATTCTTCTCCCTACTCCCTGGCAGGTGGAACTTGAACACAGGACATAGATGTCCACTTCTTATCTGGATCTCCCTTGGATTTCAGCCTCCTGTGTCAACATGATTACTCAATCCCTCCACCTGGGTATGTAGGACATATCTCATATTACAAGTCTGAAATTGACTTGGTATCTTCCCCTAAAACCTGCCCTGTTCCCAGTAGTGTCCACATCAGTAAATCATGCTACCATGTAGCCACTGGCACAGGCCAACAATGTTGGTGTCACCTGTGATGCTTCTCTTTCTCTTGCACATACATCCCACCCATCATTAAGGACTTCTGGCCTTATTTTAAAATCTACTCCTATTCTGAGCACTTCTTTCTGTGTTGCCCTCTCCACCTACACCCAGGCCCCCCACCATTTCTCTCTTTCTCTCCTAAAATTGTCTCTTAGCAGGTTACTTTCCTTCTATCTCTGCCACACTCCTATCTTTTCTCAGCAAAGTTACCAGAAAAATAAAATTAAGTGTAAATTTTATCACATTCTTCTGTGAGATATTCTTCAGTGGCTTCTCATCACATGAGGAAAACAATTCCAGTACCTTTTCCATGGCCCATAAGGCCCTCCATAGTCTATTCCCTGTCTGTCTTCCTGGCCCTATTTTCTGACTCTCTTACCTTTGCTCACTGCCCTCCAGCGTTACTGGTCTTCCTTCTGTTTCTCAAGCACACCAAAATGTGAGAACATGAGTATATTGAAGTGTCAGATGCAGTTAAAATGAACTTACTTAAAACCTAGAAGAGAGAAGAGAAATTGAGAGAAAAAGTGCCTGAAAGGTTGGAAGAGAATAAGATCCAAAGCCCAGGTTAGCAGGGGGTTTTGTCCTATCCACAGGAGGGATGCCTCCTCTAATCTTACAGGAAGAGGGAGACCAGCATGGTTTGGAAGTAGTTACTGGATCGGAGCCCCAGGTGAGAGATGAAAGTGGGGAAAAGGAAGATTAAGGCATCAAAACCTTTCACAACAAAAACCTAGCATTAGGACTGGCCTACACTTAGGAGTGGAGATTAATGGCTTGTCATTCACCCATCTATTCACTCAACAGATAGGCACTGAGAACCTGTTATTTGCCAGGACCTGTCACCGATCCTGGTGTTGAATTACTCTTGCTCAGCCACTCAACTTAGAAACAAAATACATACTTAGTGAGACCTTGGAACAAATCTTTAGCTTCTGGTCCTGTTTCCTTCTCTGTAAAACTGGAGTAATAATGATGCCTGCTCTGTTGATTTAAATACTTCATTATATGATGCTATAAAGAGCTCTTTATGTATCAGCTGTGGGAGCTAGACTGGTAGCTTAGTGGAGGAAGGGACTGCATCCGTTTTGTTTACTGTTACATTACCCATAGTGATCATTTATGGAATGAATGAAAGAATGAATGAATGACTATAACTGATTCAGAATCAGTTTGAGGAAAGGGAGCTTTGTCCTTTATAGATTTCAAGCAACTACTGGATATCTTCTCACTGACAAAATAACTGGATAACTCATGCCACATTGGTTGAATCATGGCTCAATGAGATAGTCTCCCCATGTGTGCCCCAAATGCAAAAACTCTCCTAAAGTATATACTTTTCACATTCATGGGTAGCATGAAGGTCAAAGCTATTTAGTCTCCTCTGCTCCCCTCTACTGTCTCCAAAGCCTTCTGCAATGCCTTCTCTTATTTCCTTTTGCAACAAGCAGTAAGTTAGGCACACATCTACTCTGCTAAATCTACCAGCTTATATGTTGGGTACCATTTTGTCCCAGATACTTCAGATAAAAGACTCAAGATCCACAAAGATCTTGACAGATCGTCAATCAGCTGAAGTAAAGGAGATGAATTTGAATGGGGCTCAGTGCAAAGAGAAGCATTGAGGTCTAAGAAGGCAAAGGTGAAGAATGGATGAAAAGAAAAGTTGAGCAGCTGCTCCTACACTAAAGAAAAATGCAACAAAATAATGTGTTTAGTTTTGTGTGTCAAAAGTACATCAGGGGAACTAAAATCTGGAAAAGGCCGTATAAAAATAGCTATTTTCAGGTGATGTGTTTTTGCATCAAGATTTATCTAATATTTTTATAATATGATATGAGTTGCATAATGAAACAAGGGAATATATCTCTCCACTTGAAATAAAAATAAGATGGTCAGTATATTTCCTATACTCAGGCTGAGCTAATGGTAGCTCCCTTGTTGGACACCAGCCTCCAGATCCGGAAGTGCAATTGATGATATTGGCATGAATTAGAGTATACTTTTTTCTAGATCAGTTCCTTAGATACCATGTTTTCCTGCCTTTTCCATTTGGTCAAATGAAGTATTTTTTTTTTCCTTGCCCTTCTGTAAGAATTACTGTAAGAATAATCCTGATTTTGGCCAGCTGGCTTAAGTTAAAAAAATTCTGACATTGAACCGGCATGATCCCAAGTGATTTACCTGCATTATGACATTTAATCTTCATTAAAATCCTATGAGGCATGGCCTTTTATTAACCCTATTTTCTTTGATGAAACATTAAGGGTCAAAATGGGTTAAGTAACTTCATCAAGGTAGCATGGGTAATCAGAACTCTTAATTCAGGCAAATCTGATTCCCAGGGGCTGCATTCCTTAGCCCTGTTCCTCCAAATTAGACAAATTGATCTGTTGAGAACCAAACAGACACACACAAAGGCATTCAAACTACTTTGGAGAATATGTCACTCCAAGATGAGCATGGTTGTTTATGGCCAGGGCTATTGCTTTGATCTGAAAACACCACGCTGCCCAACCATTATACTAACAACATCCAGCTCTTTGTGAATTTCTCTACGAGGCAAATTCCTCTTGCCTCATAAAAGTGCTTGCCGAGATAGCTCAAAACCCAGTTGCAATTAATTATTGACAGAGCATGTGAATTAGAGATAAAAGAAAAGTCATTCTTTCTCCACACACGCGATAGTAAATAAATTTAATTATGGTAGGAGAAGCTAGGGGATCTTTGTCTGTATTAAGTTTTATTAGCTAAGACATTTAAAAGCATGTCATCATAACAAAGAGGTCTTGTGTAATCCTAAATGCACCACTTTGGTGCAAGGCTCAGAAGTGAATAGATTTAATGGAGCACATGGTGGCAGATGGCCTGCTGTACTGACAGGTATTGAACAGGTTTATCTTCAATTAACTTTGGTCTACATATGCCTGTAGCAAATTGACTGTATAATGGCATTCTAAGCTTAATTTTATCATTGATAAGCCTGCCACATTGAGATTAGGGGAAAATGGCATCAAACCCCTTTAATATTAATATCTTGGAGCTCCCAAATAAGATAAGGCTACTCTGGAGGCAAACTCGGATGGAGGAATGGGAGTGGAGGAGCAGCCTTAGCAAAGGAACCAAGAGATACTGACCCTGGTATGGGATCTGTCAGTGGCTTTCTGGGCAATTTTGGGAGCAAAGAAAGAATAAAATCCCATATATTGAGCCATACCTATGCTAGATCTTTCATCTTATATGTCATTTTCCTCTCAACTGAATTTTCTTTTCTTTTCTTTTCTTTTCTTTTCTTTTCTTTTTTTTTTTTTTGATTGAGATGGAGTCTCACTCTGTCACCCAGACTGGAGTGCAGTGGCACAATCTCAGCTCACTGCAACCTCTGCCTCCTGGGTCCAAGTGATTTTCCTGCCTCAGCCTCCCAAGTAGCTGGGACTGCAGGCGCGTGCCACCATGCCCGGCTAATTTTTGTATTTTAGTAGTGATGGGGTTTCACCATATTGGCCAGGCTGGTCTTGAACTCCTGACCTTGTGATCTGCCTTCCTCAGCCTCCCAAAGTGCTGGGATTTGAGGTAGGTTTTAGGATTTTACAAATGAGGATAATAAGGCTCGAAGATATAATTCAATTTGCTGAGGTCACAAAGCCTGTCTGATTTCCATGTTTATTCCCTGTCCCTGGGCTTCGGTTTTCTCATTTGCACAATAATACCTTTGGACCAAGTCAGGGATCAGCAGACTCTTTCTTAAAGGAATAAGGAGTAAATACATTAGGCTTTGGGCCATATGGCCTCTGTCTTACCTCCTCAGCTCTGCTGTTTTACTGTAAAAGCAGCCTAGATGAATATGTAAATGAATGAATGTGGCTGTGTTCCAATGGAAGTTTATTTATAAACATTGAAATTTGAATTCTATATAATTTTCATGCATCACAAAATATTATTATTATCTTTTTGGTTTTTTTTTCAACAACAATTCAGTGATTACAAATCATTCTTATCTGTGAGTTAGACGAAAATAGGAGGCAGGAGGTAGTTTGCCAATCCTGGACTAGATAAGCTTTGAGGTCTTGTTGAGCTCAAAGATTTTCTAAAAACTACTATAACAATAATAATTTCTTTAATTTATTGAACTCTTACACATGCCAGCTTCATTGCTCAATGCTTTTTGAGCATTATCTCCCTTAATCCTTATACTACAGTGTGAAGTCAGTGCTATCATTATCTCTGTTTCAGGGATTATACAACTAATACGTAGAGAAATCAAGGGTGTATCTAGGTTAAACATAACTGGTAAGAGGTAGAATAGCCATTTAAACCTAGGGATATATAAGGGAGAGAATGTATATGCCTTGTGTTGCCTTTTCTGATAATACGTAGCCAGGGTAAGACTATAGTCAGGAGATATAGGTAAGAAGAACTTGCAAGAGTTTATCAATTTTATTTGGTGGTTCCAAACTAGGTTGTTTATATCACACATTTTGTGCAAAGAAGTTCAGATATTTCTGGACAGGAATAACCATTCTCTTCCTTTTTCCTCCCTCTCCTAGAAATGTGATGCCCAAGACTTTGGATGGGCAAATAACCATGGAGAAGACTCCAAGTTACTTTGTGACAAATGAGGCTCCCAAGCGCATTCACTCCATGGCCAAGGACATCAAACTGATTGTGGTGGTGAGAAACCCCGTGACCAGGGCCATCTCTGACTACACGCAGACACTGTCAAAGAAACCCGAGATCCCCACCTTTGAGGTGCTGGCCTTCAAAAACCGGACCCTCGGGCTGATCGATGCTTCCTGGAGTGCCATTCGAATAGGGATCTATGCGCTGCATCTGGAAAACTGGCTCCAGTATTTCCCCCTCTCCCAGATCCTCTTTGTCAGTGGTGAGCGACTCATTGTGGACCCCGCCGGGGAAATGGCCAAAGTACAGGATTTTCTAGGCCTCAAACGTGTTGTGACTGAGAAGCATTTCTATTTCAACAAAACCAAGGGGTTCCCTTGCCTAAAGAAGCCAGAAGACAGCAGTGCCCCGAGGTGCTTAGGCAAGAGCAAAGGTCGGACTCATCCTCGCATTGACCCAGATGTCATCCACAGACTGAGGAAATTCTACAAACCCTTCAACTTGATGTTTTACCAAATGACTGGTCAAGATTTTCAGTGGGAACAGGAAGAGGGTGATAAATGAGGCTAGAGAGGCAGAGGAAGGCTAGTCAATAAGCTAAGGAGGCTCCTTGCCTGAGTCCTTGAATACCCCAGCTTCTGCAGCTTCACTTGCTGGAGTGCCAAGTAGATCTCCTCCTCCTTCATGCAGCCAGGATTGCCTCCAGTGCTGTTAGCTTAGGCAAACAGGTGGATCCCATGGCATCCCCATGGAGGAACCAGGCCCATCTGGGCAGCAGCATCTGGTTGACCAGATGGCCACCAGAACCCACTGTTCATTCTTATCTTCTGCTAGTTAATATAGCCTGAAGACAGAGGATAAATAGTTGTCAATGTCAGAGACAGTGCTATTAATGTATATGTGAGCGACAAAAAAGGTCTGCTTTATAGGGGTTCTCACTCTAGCTTGGGGAGCCAGGGTTCTAGCCCTGTATCTGTCATGGGCACCTGCTGTCTAAACCTCTGCTTGGGCTTCTCCCCAGAATGCACTTTGTGGCTGAGTGCTCCAGGACTCCTAGGGAGCAAGGTCCTCCCTCTAAGGTGTTTCTAGTCTTCTCTTTAAAGGTCTCATCCCACAACCCCTGACTTCCTCCCTCCCCACATCATGAAGGCAGAGGCATGCACATTCCTCACTGAAAAAGAAAACACACACCCACCCACACACACACACACAGAAGAAAATGAAAGCTGACACACCTCGAAGCCTTCTTTCCAAGAGCCCTCTAAATGGGGTTGGGTCTCACTCTTCATGAGTATCCTGGGTTGTGCAGAAGCTTAGCATATGCCCTTGTGTTCGGATCAGGCCCACAGGGCTGCTCAAAGAGTAGAGTAATTGTAACCGAGGTCAGAGCTCTGGGGTTGGCAGAGATGAGTGGCCATATCTGGGGGTAAAAGAAGAAATCCTGTCCTCTTGGTGGGAGGTTACCTTACCTGAAGACCATCTCTCCCAAGCACTGTAGTTCTGAGCATGTTTTTGGGGTGGACTCTGTCCCCTAGGGTCCCTAGAAGGGCAAAGACCAGAGAGTTGACAAGTCTGTTATTAGGAATAATCCTTAGCCATGTAATGGAGAAAGGAGCAGTCAGCATTCTTCCAATTTGCCCCACCACCACCTCCTCGGGCTTCATTTTCTCTATTTAGAGATGGCAGAGAGTGAGGTAGTGGCGAGAAAGCTGACTCCATTCATCAGATCCAGTTTATGAGGGTTGGGGGTGAGCAAGGGCTGTCTGCAGAAACCCCCATCAAGAGCTGCTGAATGAAGTGTCCCTTCCCATCAGTTTGATTCAATTAAAATGCATCATTTGACATAAAGCACTTGTTCACAGATCTCCAAAACCAGGAATTGTTCTAGTAAAACTGGAAATTTGTATGAGTGGGGGGAGTTAAATCTGTTCAGCTGTTATTAAACTGTCATTTCTCCCGCTAAATGAAAACCGTGTTGTTATAAAGCTTAATGCAACCTGATTAATGAGTTTCGATGGTGTGTTTGTGTTGATCATCTCCATCTTCCCGCCTCCCCTGGAATGCCAGGAGCATCATCTCTCTGAGATGGCTAGAAAGTCCCAGAGGCAAGAATCTTCAGAAGGTTCTGTCTGCAGGGCACAGTGAATCTTGCAATAGTACAAAGCAAGTGGGTCCTAAAAGGAGTGCAGCTTTTTCCTATCTTAACCATTTCCAACAAGGAATGGACTGATATGCCAGATTCAAAAGCAACCTTACAAATAATTTTTCCAGATAGTAAAGCAGTTATTGAGCTGAAAGCAACAGATATACCTGCACTATCAATGTAAAAGAAGAAACAGATCAAAATGCGTGCATGTACATTTGAAGGAAGAAAATGCACCCATATTTAGAAGGGCAAACTGTGGGACTCATGCGGGGTTTGGTTTCATAAGCAGAGCAAGGAGTGAGTGAGTTTCAGCCCTCCCTACCCATCAGAGTCAGCCATGGAGTTTGTTCAAGCCTACTGCTTCCTGAGCTCTGTTTCAGACCTGTTAATGAGTCAGAAACTCTAAGGTGAGGCTCAGGAATTCATCCTTTCAAAAATATTCTTAGGGAAGCTGGAACTGAGAGCAACTGGAGGAAAAGGCTTGTCTGTATATTTCTTTGCCTCCACTCCCTCCCTCCTACCTCCTTTTATGCTTTTGCTTTTCTCGGAATTATTTCCAACAGAGGTGACCTCCACAGTGTTATGGCTTCCCTGCAGAAACATGTGCTCTTTTGGAGTTCAGTGGCAATAGGGTTAAGTGTTACCCTTATAACTTAGACAGTCAAAGGAGAATCTGGTTGTAGCAATGCTTTAAAGAAATAAATGACCTATTAATCTAGCTTGCTCTCATCACCTCCGTTCTGGGCAGGCACATATTCATTTGGACCCTCAGTCACACCTACTATCCATTTTCCATCTGCCTGGTTGTCTATGTGTCTTTAAAAGCCCAGAACATTAAGACTTGCCTCCAAAACATGTGTCCTCACATAAATATGTCCCCAAAATATGACAAGCAAATCCATTTTGTAATGTGGTAGCCAATGGTGAATAAGCCACTTCACCTGGGAAATAAAAGTGGAGAAGCCCCCTTAAATTATTTATACATCCTTGCATACAACAGGAGGTTAAAATTTCCTGGAGAAAGAGGGCAGAGGGCTAAGCCTTGGGACCTAGGGGATTTTTATATTTAATAGTGTTTGGTGTTATAGTTGAAAACTCGTGGTTCTGAAGAGAAATGCAAATTTGATATGTTTAAGGTCCATTTTCTTCAGTGTCTACTCTAGCTTGATCCTTGTCACTCTGGGAGTGAACCACTTAGCCACGTCCCTTTCTGCAATGTGGAGACTTGATGAAGGAATTATTTTCTATCCAGAAAAGCTAAGTCAACTTGCTGAAATAGAGTCAGGTTAATAATAATTCCGCCCTATTTAAACGTGAGCATTGCAACTCACGGGAGATTGAATTTTGTATTTGATTTCAATTAGCAAAGCATAAATTATGTTTAATTTTCTATCCCCCTCCTTTCCCTCAAATGGATGATTCATGGCTCTGGGAAGGCTGCTGCGTGTGGTTCAGAGATGGGAAAAGGAAAATTCATCCTCCCAAATAGTGCAGCTGTCATTGCTCCCGTATTCATCTCTTTCTGTCAGTATCATTCTGTACCTGAAAGGTGTGAAAGCCTTGACATTGCGACTTAGACCTACCAGCTCAAAACACAATAATAATCAAAAGCACCCAGCAGCCCATTTATCTTTTAGACTGTGTATGAAAACCACGACTTTAGAATAGTAAATATGTGACCCTTCTTTGGGATTCCTTGCAAACTTTAGGAGCCCCTCAGATCAAATTTTAAGTTCAGGAGAGTGTGGCCTGCTCAATCCCTTAGCACTAGGAGTCCAGTCTAAGCCTCACTTTTTTACGACCCCAAATCTTTTCCCCTCTCATTCACCCACCTGTTTATTTAACAAAGAAAACTTCTGCATTGCCTCACTATGGTCAGAAAAGGGGTCACTGGGTCTTATCCTTGCCTCTGTCTGTGTCTTGGACAACTAGATTTATCAATATGAACATTAGTTTTCATATCTGTAACATAAGTATACTTAATTCCTGCTGGCCTACCACCCAGAGTTTTTCTGATGATCAAAATGAGTTAATAGATAGGAAAGTATTTGAAAAGAATAAAGTACTTCATTGACACAAGAATAGTGATGATGATGATGATGATGATGCAGAGCTGATGGTAATAACGATGATGATGGTGATGGTGATGGTGATGATACTGCAGAGTGATAGGATGATGATGGTGATGACAATGATGATGATGGTGTTGATGATGCAGAGCTGATGGTGATGATGGTGGTGATGGTGATGGTAGTGATGGTGATGATGATCTGTGGAGCTAATGGTGATAAGGATGATAATGATGATGATGATGACTCAGAGCTGATGGAGATAAAGATGATGATAGTAGTGATGATGATGGTGATAATGATGGTAATGACAATGATGGTGATGCAGAGCTGATGGTGATGATTATGGTTGTGATGGTGATGATGATGATGTTGATATGATCTGTGGAGGTAATGGTGATAAGGATGATGATGGTGTTGCAATGATGATGATAATGATGCAGAGCTGATGATGATAAAGATAATGATAATGATGGTGATGGCCATCATACTGCAGGACTGATGGTGATAAAGATGACCATGGTGATGATGATGGTGAAGAAGATAATTGTGAAGAAGATTAAGAAGGAAGAAGAGGAGGAGAAAAAACGGTTCCCAAAACCCCTTCCAGAACAACATGCCTTTATAGCATTCCAGGGAGTATGTTCAGGTGAAAGTGCTGTTTTACTCAGACCAAACAATGATGAGAGTGCAAAGAGAAAGTGAAGCACCATTGATTTGCTTAAAGCCAAGGCCAGAAGAAGAGCTCCCTATAAATGGCACTGAATGGGCTGAATTTCAGACACTCAAATGCAAAACCTTCTCCCCTACCCAAAGACAGGGTCTCACCGAATTCATAGATGGGTTCTCCTCACTGTGGCCTTTCCCTTGCTACATACTCAAGGTTCTTTCAGATATAACAAGGCTTCAAGATTAATTCATACAGAGCCAAATACATTCTCTTGAAATGAAGGTGAGGGCAATGTTTTTGAGCTTGCAGGCTATGTATTCGGTGCTTGAAGCTCTGAATCCTAAAAGGTTACATGGAAGACAAAGATGTTTGGGAAGCAGGGCACATCCTTGGGAGTAGCTCTCGTAGTTTTCTGGAAATAAGTTGGGATTGGTGGATCTCCTCAGGTTCTTCCTGTAACAACTTAGGGTGGAAAGAGATGAGTTCATGCATTTCCCAGTTTCTCAAAAGAATGTAGACTTGTCATTTTCAGACATAAGAGATACATGGAACCACTGTCTCAAATTGTGAAATGTCTTACATGATGAGGTAATAATAGTACATTTTCTGTCATCAAGGCAGGAAATCAAGGCTAAGAAAATATATGTCCATGAATGGAAGATAAGCAAGAATCTCTAGTGTCCCTGGGCTATGGGAAAACAATGCTGCTGTGGAAAACAACGCTGCTCTAGAAGCTGTCATGTTTTATTCAGTCTTTAATTCACACACACACATCTGTAGAGTGACCAAGTGGCAACAGGAAGAGATATGGGGAAGAGCAAAGCTGACTCACCTTGACACTTGACACTTGGTACTCCCAGCCCAGTGGGGAAGATGGACATGGATTTAGGCTAAATGAGGAGGGACATACGGAGTGCACATGAAATGAAGCAGGGTAGGGGGAGGTAATATGGAGGATAACCAACTAGGGGGAAGGGAAGACCACCAAGTACTTGTTGCAATAGAGACCACACTCAGCAGCATTTAGTCTTATCCCAAATTATAAGACAATTCTTACAAAGCACAAAGTGGTAGACACTAACAAAAGAAAAGATAACAATTATAAGATTGGGTAATTAAGAAGACAAATATTTGGGGGGTGGGGAAGAGAGAGAGAGCGCGATGCATAAAGAATGTGATTAACAAGAAAAGTATTTGCCCAGAAGGGAAGATGCTATCTTTTTTTTAAGTGACCACAGCCAAGCCATTAATAGAGAACATAAATCCTTCCAGGCTCCTTCTACCACCTATGGTTTCCTTGGTATTGCCCTTGGTCCAAGGTCAAGGGATGTCTTTGATGCCACCCTCAGGTGTCAGCTACTTGTTGACTAATACATCAAGAAGGAAACACCAAACTACTAGAAATTCATCTTTTCTGAAAATGTGCTAAAATCAGCAATAGTTCAAATTAAAGCACACTTGCACAATACACAGCTTGAATTAAATTAAAATATAAGGTAGACTTGTCCTCTAGCTCAGGCATAATGAGGTCTTTTGACCGTATTTTAAAAGATGGGGTCTGTAAGGACTTGGGTTTGCAAGAGACTTTTCCAAACTTCCAAAGCAGGGTAGTGACTGAAGTAAAACCACGAAGTGGCTGGCTCAGAATAATGGGAGAAGGAAGTGACAGTACAGCCTGCCCTAATAATAGCAGTCAACATGATTTGAAAGGGTGTTTTCCTAAGCCCAGGAAAGGTCAGTTTGGATAGCTGTGATCCTGTCTAATCATTCCGGACCACGTGGAAAAGAATTATTTTGAAATAGGCAGGAGAATTGATATTGAGTTTTAGTTGCAGACAACAATGTCATGGGGAGTCGTCCATGAGGCTGTGAACAGACTAGAACTACAACAGTCTTTCATGTTTGGGGATCAGAAAGATCTTCATCACAGCTTCTTTCTGGCTCTGAGTGAATTCATAACTCCCTGTTGTTGTAATAACTGTGGGGCATAAGAAGGACTGACTGTGAGATATGGAGCTCTTTGGGGTTAATACTTCTCAATCTGGTCAGTCTCAGACATCACAAACCCATTCCCTGGTTCTTTTCCAGGAGAAAATAGAGATCTGCATTCAAACTGAAACCCAGAACAATAGAGATTTCTCCTATTAACCACCTGGCCCCAGGAAGTACTCCCTAGCAAGTTTCCTCGATGAATCCTTTCAGGGATGGGTTATCTCCGTATTTAGCTTCTTCTGCTTTACCATTTCCTTCCAGAGCCACATATCACATGGTGTCTACTGAGAGAAGCCTCCCCTTGCAAAGATGTCAGATTATCTATCCCATGAACCTTGGGTCCCATAGCTTTTTTTTCTAGGGCAGGCTATTTTGAGAAAAAAAAAAAAAGGCAATGGAAAGTCAGAGAGGACATTTAGGGTAGCACTGAGCACTGGGAAAAGTTGATGCAGGAATCCAAGTGCAGGTCAATAGTGGGGCTGAGAAATTTGGTGTAAAGAACCCTCGGAGTCCATGTCGTATGTCTTCATTGTACCAATGCAAAATTAGAAATCAACATGGCACATGTATACATATGTAACAAACCTGCACGTTGTGCACATGTACCCTAAAACTTAAAGTATGATAAAAAAAAAAAAAAAGGAATTACCTTGTTTTGCCTAAGATGACACAGAAGAGCAAGGCTTCCAACCTGGATCTGCTGACTTCTAGTCCTGTGCACTTCCCACTACCCTCAAATCAGAGACTCAGGAGATAACTCAAGTGTACTTAAAAGTAGCTTTTCCCCTCAAAGGACATGAACTCATTCTTCTTCATGGCTGCTTAGTATTCCATTGTGTATATGTGCCACATTTTCCTTATCCAATCTATCAATGATGGGCATTTGGGTTGGTTCCAAGGGACATGGATGGAGCTGGAAATCATCATCCTCAGCAAACTAACATAGAAACAGAAAACCAAACACCGTATGTTCTCACTCATAAGTGGGAGTTAAACAAGGAGAACACATGGACACAGGGAAGGGAACATCACACACCGGGGCAGGTTGTGGGGGTGGGGGGAAAGGGGAGGGAGAGCATTAGGACAAATAACTAATGCATGCGAGGCTTAAAACCTAGATGATGGGTTGATAGGTGCAGCAAACCACAATGGCATCTGTATACCTATGTAACAAACCTGTACGTTCAGCACATGTATCCCAGAACTTAAAGTAATTTTTTTTTTTTTTGAGACAGAATCTCGCTCTGTTGCCCAGGCTGGAGCACAGTGGTGTGCTCTCAGCTCACTGCAAGCTCTGCCTTCTCCTGCCTCAGCCTCCCAAGTAGCTGGGACTACAGGTGCCCGCCACCACGCCTGGCTAATTTTTTTGTATTTTTAGTAGAGACGGGGTTTCACCATGTTAGCCAGGATGGTCTCAATCTCCTGACCTCGTGATCCACCCGCCTCAGCCTCCCAAAGTGCTGGGATTACAGGCGTGAACTTAAAGTAAAATTTAAAAAAATTTAAAAAAAGATCTACTCATAATCCTTCAAAAAAAAAGTAGCTTTGCCTAACAGATTGGTCGTGGAAATGGAATGTTTCTAAAAATGCTAGGAGGATAGCTTTTTCTAGAGGCAGGGGTTAAGTGTATGCTTGATTCTGAATGGGCCCCAGGCTTCTCTCATTGGAATGTAGTCCAATTTTTTCTGATGGCCTTCCCAAAGTTAGAGGATACTGATGGATATTCACCATGCTGGACTGAGAGTGCTTCAGAGTCCTGCAGAGAGCACACCTGTGGGTGAACCTAGACCTGTATGTGTTAGATCAGTGCTCATAGTTGTCTACTGCCCTTTGCTGACTCTACATTTCATCTGTCAACCAGGACTTAGAGCAGTAGCTTTGCGTAAGGAGCAAGACAGTGTTCTGAGGAAGCCATGAGCAATTATCTCTATCCAGAATCAACTAAATTAGACACAAGGAGGAATATTTAGGCAGTGACAGTTGTTAAACCAAACCGAAGAGCTGTGAAATCTTCATCATTTATTTCATTCCTCTATTATTGAGTAAACATTTATATATCATCACTATGCCAGGTGCTAAAGAAAGGTTGTGGACAAGAAGTCCCATTAAACTGTCCTCATGAAACTTTAATAGGAGAAAGATGCCCATCTTTCTCTTGTTAGTACAAAAGCTGTCCAGCCAGTAAGCAGGAATGGATAGGATGGTTTCTTGGGAAAAGCAAAAATCTGGAATTTGATCATTAAAGGGAGCTTGGGCTGTAGAAGATATTGGATATCTCCTTCCTTTATATCTCAACTTGAGAGGAGAGTTGATATTAAGCTTTCTGAAAATTTCTGACTTCTTTTTCCCTGCTCCTTTCTACCTGGAAGAAACATAAAATATCCTGGAACAAAAGAGAATAAAATGAGCTGGAATTGCAGGATTAGACTAGAAGCAGGTTGGAGAAATGACAAATTATGGTTCATGAGAGGTTGAGAGACGATTATCTCATGTCCTGCTTGCCTCCACAGTGGGTCCACAGAGGCAAAGATGGGCTAATGCCCAGCAACCCTAACACGGTTCTGTGCTGGACCATGGAAGGACATGGTCTCCCTTCCCGGCCAAATTTCAAAAAGCTCCAATCTCTTTGACAGATCTACCTCTACCACATCTTTGCTTACAACTTAATTACACCTGTGTTTCTGTAACAAAGGATATTTACCATTAAATGTCTTTAGAGGCTGAATTTTTGTCACCGGTTTGTTTCTAGGATCATGGGAACAGCCTTGGGACAATCAAAAATCTACAAGAAAGGCAAAAAAGAAAAAAAAAGAAGTGGTGTATGTTCTTTCTTACAACTCATGGAAAAAGCAATATTTAGCAACCACTTTGGTTCCTTCTTTCCCTAGAGAAAAGAGCAGGACGCGTTTGAAGATGAGGCTGCAGGTTCCACTGTGACTTTGCAAATCAAAGGCGAGAGATAGCTTGATCAAGCAGGAGATATCTTCTTTTCTGTCATTTAGGGAAGAAAGCATTTCTTAGTTTTCATCCCAGTGGAAGCACCTGTAAAGGGTGTCAGGGGAGAGGACCTGCTTCCGTGAATGCTTGGGAAAAGGGCTTTGGAAATAAGTGCTTTTGTTACCCTGGGATTCCTGCTGAGAGTAAAGGAAAAAAACACACAATAAAATAGGAAGTGTTTATGCCATAGGCACCAGGACGAGGACTGAGTCTAAATCACAGACTCATAGACCAGTCCCCAAGCCAGGATGAATCCCATCATCCATTTACTCTGCTCTGGCGCTCACGGCAGAGAATACAGATTGGGGTCCTTATAAATTTCTGGTTTCTAACCTCGGCTGGGCACTCCGTTCTGCTATTTGTTTCTTTTATTGGTCCCTGGGAAGTTCTTTTTTTTCAGTCCTCTTGTATTTGTTTCTGAGACGTCCCCCTTTTGTCAAACTTTCTATCCCTATCCCTGTTCTCTCCCTCTTGTTCTCTTGGCCAAAGGAGCTGGCTTCACGGAGAAAGTTGAAGTTGCCTCTCTCTGCCTGTCATTGGACTTGGATTACCTCATGCATTAAATGTATTCAGTGATAGCACCAGCCTCAGCACATGTGAGGATAGGATGACATATATAAGGAGCTTAAAAGAGAGAATAACAACAACAAAAAAGAGCTCAGTGGGCTCACTGTTATTATTGTTATTATTATGAATTTTAAAAAGTACTAGCATGGCATGAATCCTTCATCCTCCACCCACGTTTCATCATTTCCTACTTTTGCATCGGATTCTTCACTCTTAACGTCAAGGATCATGGACTTTATTCCTGTATCCTCCTCTTCACTCAGTCTTTATAAACATCAGTCCAAAATAGAACATCTCATCCTTAATTTAAAAAATAAAATAAAAAACCTTTCTGTAGCACTTTTCAAAATACCATGCAACAGCCCACCGTTGTGGCTGAAGTCTTTGAAAGTAGATTTTACCCTCTCTCAACTCTCTCAATTACTTTCCTCTTCTCATACACCTGCCTTCTGGTATCTGCTCCCATAAGTCTAATAAAAAGCTTAATAGGGCCATTAATGATGTCTTAATTGCTAAATAGGGCTAAAGGACATTTTTAGCCCTCTTCTACTTGATCTCTCTGTAGCATTTGATGCTGCTGGCCATTTCCTTATACAAGGAAGCTCTCCCACTTCTGTTTCCATACCATTCCTCTCTCAGACACCTCTCCCAGCTCTGTTCTCATCCTGTCTCACCCTTACAGACTCCTTCTCTTCTTCATTTTTTTTTGAGACAGAGTTTGGCTCTTATTGCCCAGGCTGGAGTGCAGTGGCGTGATCTCGGCACACTGCGACCTCCGCCTCTCGGGTTCAAGCAATTCTCCTGCCTCAGCCTCCCAAGTAGCTGGGATTACAGGCATGCACCACCACGCCTGGCTAATTTTGTGTTTTTAGTAGAGACGGGGTTTCTCCATGTTGGTCAGGCTGGTCTCAAACTCCTGACCTCAGGTGATCCGCTGGCCTTGGCCTCCCAAAGTGCTGGGATTACAGACATGAGCCACTGCGCCTGGCTTTCTTTCTTTTTTTTTTTTAAATAGGGGAGGTGGCTGTCTTTGGACCAGTTCTCTTCATGCAGATGTTCTGAATGGTGTCATTCACTCCCATGGTTTAAACAATATAATAGCTAAATCCCAAACTTATGTCGTGAATGGCCATAGTTCCTAACACAGATGGTGTTATACAACAGCTATCTTCTCCCATTTCCCTTGTTAAAAGAACCCTGCTTTTGTTTTGGTAAGTGATGGTGATGTGTGGAGGGAAAGAGGACCTCTTCTCTATCCCCAAGGAATGGCCCGTGACTAATCTAAGCAATTCATGTGAGCTCCTAATAGCCAGTGGAGCCTGAGCAGTAGTCAGCTCAGAGATTCTCAGAAATAGAATCCTTAAAGATGATAGATAGATAGATGATAGATAGATAGATAGATAGATAGATAGATAGATAGATAGATAGATAGATGATAGATAGATGGATGACAGTGACCAAGGCTAAGAGGAAAGGGATCTATTTTTTCTACTTTTGAATGCTATTGTGAGGATGACAGATGTAAGAGCTGTGGCAGCCATCTTGTGACCATGAAGGCAAATATGGCTGACACTGACAATGTCAGGGAAGAACTGATGAAAAGACCCTGACTCTTTGTTGGCCTTCTTTATCTACTGAATCATGCAACCCTGCAACTACCTCCTTCCAAGCTTTTTTATCAAATGTGAGAAGAAACATCTTCATTGCTTAAGATACTTGCAATTGTGAATCCTTTTTGCATATATACATATCCAGGTTATAAGACCCTTAAGGTCCATAGGACAGAGGAGAGAATGCATGGATATTAGACCTCAGCATCTGGGAGAATCATTATGACCTTATGATGTGGACTGGCATCATGGGGTCAGGCAAGGATATATGAAACGTACATTTAAAAAAGCAGCACTGGTTTCAGACATATGTGGACCCTTTTTTGTTTCTCACATTGCAATGCATTGCTTTATCCCCTTGCAATTCTATTCCTCTATCATATTAAAAAGTAGCATTTTGTAACACATCTTTGGGTTCAGCATCTTTTCTGCACCACCACAGTTATGCAAGTTACAAATTCCCCCAGAGGCTTCTCAAATTTTGGGGGCATTAACATATTATATCCAACGTATAGATGCTCTTCTCCCAAATTTCAGGTTCAAGACATCTGAAATCCCAAGTTACCTAAATCCTATTAAATACTTGACTCTAAACAACCCCCATTAAGGTAAACAACCTCCAGAGGCTCTATCTTGAGTTAAGGACAAATACCAAGAAGAGTAACAACTAATATCTCTGGAGAAATCCTGTATTCATGGTACTTAGATTATCAGCAGCATTTATATAGTTGATCACTCATCCCTCTCTCCAACAGCTGCCTTACTTCACTTTCCAAGAACATCTATTATTTGTATGACTAATCCACACCATTGGTCACTCTTCATCCTTGCATGCTGTTTACACCTCATTTTCCAGGTCCTTCAGTCCTTGTCATGCTGGTTACACCCCATTTTCCAGGTCCTTTAGTCCTTCTTTATGTATTTGTATTACTAGGTAACCTTAAACATTCTCATGATTTTAGACACCCTCTATGCTGGTGACTACAAATTGCACATTTTTAGCCCAGAGCTTTCTCTTGAACTCCAGATTTTTCTATTGAAGTACCATTTGGGAATATCATAGGCATCTCAGTCTTAATACATCCAAATCAAATTTCAGATGTCCTAAATCATCCTAACTTGTTTCTCCCAATGTTTCTCCATCTGAGTAAATGGCTGCTTTGTCTTTCCAAGCCAAAATCTATATTCACTCTTGCTCCTTTCTTTCACTTATACTTTGCATATAATTTAAAAGAAAGTATGTCCAGAATCCAGCTACCTCTCATCAATCCCATTTAGGACTGTTAGGTTTTGCAAATAGTTGCAGAAGACATATTTATGCTAAGCATTTATTAATCTTACGGGTTCTTTTGAGATCTCCCCATAGTGGTCCACCTTTCACCAGTTTATTCCCTTTTCTATTTGTAATTTATTGTACATCTGGGGCCATGTTAACTGACAAGGGAAACTGATTATATCATCCCCTTACTAATACACTACTTGTGTAATACCTATATTAGTCACTTACTTCTTTACTTGGAAGTGACAGGCAGCACAATTCAAATATGATTCAGGACTAAATGGAATTTACTGGCTCATGGAACAGATTTACAAAAGGTGGCTGGCTTCAGGTATAATTTATATCTAATAATTTAATAATATCAGTAAGTGTTCTCTTTTTCAACCCCATCCTTTTTACCGCCTCTGTCTTTCAGCATTTTATCTCTGATGATCTCTTTTTGACTTCATTCTTAGATTTTTTTCACATGAGGTCATTACAGCTACTTGCAGACAAGCCTACATTACTCTTAACAATTCCACAGAAGAAAGCATTTTTGTAAGGGCTCCATCAAAAAAATGGGTCACATGGTCACTCAGAAACTAATCGCTGTGGCCATGGATCTGGAACACTCTGAGTCTGGCTTAAGTCACCCTCAGGGACTGGGAAGAGCCAGCCCCTACCCTTATGACTTGGGAAACATAATTATTGAATGGGGGAGCATGATTCCAAAAGGAGATCCCAGAAAAACGAATACAATGTTTTTCATGATTCCTTGTTGCCTGTATGATAGATTCCAAATGCCCCAGCTTAGTGCTTAAGGACTTGTACAGTCTGTCCCCAAACCATCCCCCTCCAGCCTCTTCTCTGGCAACTACTTCCTACTCAATGCTCCCGCTACACTGATTTTTCATCGTTCCCTACACAGTTTCTGCTGTAATTTGTACTTGTAATATCTTCCCTACACCAATCCTTTCTTTCTATGCACAGTATTACTCATGCTTAATGCTTTAAGACCTGGCTGAAATACAACTTTTGTGATTCCCTTAATGCTTTAAGACCTGGCTGAAATCTACCTTTCCTGATTCCCTGGCTGAATTGGTTGTCCCATCCTCTGCATTTTAAATGTTCTACAGTGCCACTTAAGATCATGCAATGCCACTTCTCTGAACCATTGTTTTCCACTAGACTGTGAGCTCCTTGGAGGTAGGAATGTCTCATTCATCTCTGTCTCCCTGATGCCTGGTGCTGGGATTGATACAGGAATTATTGAACAAAGGGATGAATGAAAGGTTTACCAATCAAGTAAATACATTATTTAATGAAGAGAGCACCAGGCAGAGTCTTCAATCTTCATTTAAGCCCCGCTTCCCACCTCTTTATCTAGCTTTCCCAGTTGTGGCCTCTTTATCCACTGAGCTTACTGATCTCTTATAAAGAGGTAATATGACCAATAAATGAAAGAGAAGAGCTGCTCACATTTCTGAAGAATGAGAAACTTCAGACTTTCACTGTATATTTTGCGAGACTATGGTGGGCATCTGACTTTTCATCTGAAAACCTCATTAAAGACCTCAAGAGGTAAGATAAACAGTCTGGGAAAGACAGTTTTTGTCTCTTTCTACAACTCTTTGGAGATTCCACAACCTCATTTGATGCTCCTTTTAGCATTTTATCATCAAGAGTAAGAACTCCTTTATGTCTGACTAAATGCCATCAGTGTGTAGAACTTTATCTTCAGGTGGGTTTCTTGAACACTTAACAAATGTTAGGTGCCCTTCCCTCTACCTGAAGTGCTCTCTGCCAGATATACCTGTGACTTATTGCCTCACCCTGTCGAGTTCCTGTTCAAATCTTCCCGTCTCAGAAAGGCCTTCCCCGTTGACTCCATTTAACATCACGACCCTTCCACCCTGGTCCTCTATTCCTTTAGCCTGGAGTATTTTTGTTCATAGCACTTCTCAGTCCCTGTTGTTATAACACAGCATACATTGCCTTTATGTGTTCAATTGCTTGCTACCTAGCCAGGCATAGTGGCGCACACCTGTAGCCCTAGATACTCGAGAGGCTGAGGTGGGAAGATCACTTGAGCCCAAGAGTTTGAGGTCACAGTGAGATATGATCATGCCACTGCACTGCAGTGTGGGTGACAGAGCCAGACCCTGTTTCAAAAAAAAAAATTGCTGTGTCTCTTCCACTAGAACATAAGCCATAGGAGGCCAGGGACCCACTGGCTCTTGTGTATCACTCTATTCTGGGCTCCTAGAGTAGTGCTTGGCCTAAAGTAAGCACTCCATAGATATTAGCCAGGTGAATGAAGAATATCACACACTGCGTGGATGATTGAACTCTATTTTACCCAACAACTCTATGAGGTAGGCTGTAATGTCATTCCATTTTACAGGTGAGGAAACTGCGAACCACATGAGTTAAGACGTCACCTTAAGGTTACGTAACTAAGATGTGGCAGAGTCAAGACTGCATCCCAAGGTCTAGTTGAGCATTTCTCCCTTTGGGGCTTCTCTGGGCTTCACTAGGTAAGCAGAGATGGGATTTTACATCCATCTCAAGTGCATAGTGGGACAGTTGCCCATTATGCTAGCCAGCCACTCTCTGTCACCACGGAGGAAAGAGATTTACTGAGCTATTGCTGGACTGACACAGATGAGCTATGATACTGACTTAACTTTGCAGCCTGAAGCTTATAAATCGTTTTTCAATCCATGATGTCATTTGACTCTGATTTAGGTTATGAACCCCATTCTGCAGAACAGAGAGTTAAGTCATCTGTCTCAAGAAGTTTTCCAACCCAGCCTGGTTTCCTTTTGCCCCCTTTCTCCCAGGTGGGGAACAACATATAGCCAAGTGGGGAGTGTGCAGGAACAATGGGGACTTAGAGCCAGTAGCTTCTGCCATCCAGACGGCACAGGCTATTGGCCATTTTTGCCCAATGGAATTTCTTGAAAGTACTTAACTTACTCAACCTTCTTGATAAAGCCCATTCCATTTGTAGAATTCCATCTCTTCCTTTAAAACAGTCATTACATCAGTATATTGCATTCAAACGGAGAGGCAATTTCTCATGGACGGCCAGCATTGCTAATGATGACCTTGGGAAGAGGCCCCCAGATGACATTATTCTAGCTAATGCTCCCTGGATCCTTGCTCTTACCAAGTGCTTGGTGGCCAGAGAGTGAACATCACCCAGAGGGAAATGACTACATCTTATCAGAGATGGCTTTATTAGACCATGGGAGAATGGCCCAAATAATCTGTTACCCAGGAAGATTACTAGAGTGTACCAGACTGTGAAACAATTAATTCCAATAATTTCAAAAATTGAAGTTAAGAAATACAAGGGATATTGGGGATACATTTTGGGTTGGGCAGTCCAAACATTTGTATGGTACATAATGGTAGTCCTCAGACCAAATTCACCTTGCAGAACTATTGTGTCTGGCCTGCACCATTCTGTTGTTTATCTACTGAGTTGCTTGTAGGGAGGGTGCAGGCCACCACTTTACCCCAGTCCCCACAAGCTCTTAGACTCTTACACCAACCTGCTTTACAATATGTATCTGCCCCTAAAGGGTTCATGATTTAATAATATAGATAGGGAGTTTTGATGAAGCAAAAGAATGAGTTTTCTAGGTTTATAATTCATAGAATTAAAAATAGAACTAGCATTCATAGCTGGGATGGTGGTGCATTCCTGTAGTCCCAGCTACTTGGGAGGCTGAGGCACAAGAATCACTTGAACCTGGGAGGTGGAAGTTGTAGTGAGCCAAGATTGCACCAGTGCACTCCAGCCTGGGTGAAGAAAGTGAGACTCTGTCTCAAAAAAAAAAAAAAAAATAGAACTGGCATTCAATCCAGCTATCCCACTACTGGGTATCTACCCAAAGGAAAATAAATCATTATATATAAAAGATGCCTGCATTCGTATGTGTATTGCAGCACTATTCACAATAACAAAGAGATGGAATTAACCTAAGGGTTCATCCACAGATAATTGGATACAGAAAATGTGGTGTGTTTGTGTGTGTGTGTGTACATACAATATATTGTATGTATACACAATATATACATATATACACAATATATTGTGTATGTATACACAATATATTGTGTATGTATACACAATATATACATATATACACAATATATTATGTATGTATACACTATATATACATATATACACAATATATTGTGTATGTACACACTATATATACACATACACATAGAGTGTGAAATAATGGACACTGGAGATACAGAAAGATGGCGGAGTGGGAGAGGTGAGGGATGAGAAATTGCTTAATGGGTAGAATGTACAATGTTTGGGTAATGGTACACTACAAGCCCAGACCTTACCACTATGCAATATATCCATGTGATAAAACTGCCCTTGTACCCCTTAAATTTATACAAATTTTATATATACATATACATAAAATTTATATATTATATATACATATACATAAAATTTATATATTATATATACATATACATAAAATTTATATATTATATATACATATACATAAAATTTATATATTATATATAGCAACATATACTATTATGATATAATATATAAATATATAATACATAAATTTATATATTACATATGTATTATATATTACTATATAATATAGTAATATATGATATAAATGTAATATATAATATAAAGTAATATGTAAATAAATATGTAAACATTTATATAATATATAAATTTATAATTTAAATTTATAATATATAAATATATAATACATAAATTTATATATTATATATAGTAATATATAATTACAAATATAAAATATAAATGTACATTTATATATAAATATAAAAATTTGTAAATATTATATTTTTATATATTTTTGTATTTATAAAAAGAAACAATAATATCCAGAATTTCGGTAGCGTCTTTCAATTTTCTTTCCAGGGTATATTCTCCCTTGCTTTCTTATTGGCTGCTGACAGTATCCCCATAAGACATTGGTTCTCAAACTCTAGCATGCATAAGAACTACCTGAAAATGCATTACAACACAAATATCTGCTCCATAACCCTAGAGATTCTCTTTTAATAGTTTTGAGACAAGGGTTGAAATTCTGCACCTCTAAAAGCTTTCTAGAATGCAGATGCTGCTGGTTCACAAATCACAACTTTAGTAACAAGCAGGGGAAAGATTATCATGCCCATTTCATAGATGCAGACACTGGTTATCATCTATAGAAGGATTGTAAAAGACACTGAGAGCCTCTGTACAGCAAACAAGAGCAACTCATTTCTCTATGGTGATGAATAGAGGGCCCCAGAAAGGGCCATTTGAGCTTGAGTAAAACTTCAGCAAAATGTTTGGTAAATTCATTTCTATTACTCAATTTCTCCTGTACCTCTGGGCTAGCTGGGTGGGGAGAGCGAGAGGTGAGCTAATGCGTTGTAATGAGTATTTCTATAAGCTCATTAAGGAAAGACGTATCGGGGCTAATGAGAACACAATTTTTTTCTCTACTCCCACTGCTAAGGTTAAGAGAGCCCAAGGTGAGAGCTAAGCCATCCCCAAGCTGCCTTTCTACAGCTTTCCCTTGATGTTGATTAAGGATAATTTATTGCAGATTCAATCTGAAGATTGAGACTTGGAGTGGGGGTGATGGTGGTGAAGGGAAAGAAGAAAGGGAAAGGCCTACATTCCATTCGGTGAGACTGCATAAGCAAACAATTTTTTTTCAAAATTATTTACCTCTTTATGAGACCCATGTTTACCTCCATTTTGGGCAAGTGATTTCACAGCACGTTGTATTGTGGTGCCTGATAAAACCATGGAAAAAAATTTTATCCATAAAATTAGGAAGTAGTGAGCTATAAAATTGCTAATTATTTTCTAGTAAATTTACTTTTAAATAACTTTAGGCATCAATTACAGGCACCATTAGGCACCATTAAGCACTGGGTGTGTTTACCAAACAAGGGCAGTGCATTGCTGATTCTTGTTCCATCTGTGTGGCCTCATCATTCAAGTTCAGCCCTCACCCACAACCCTCTCCCCAGACCCTCCTGACAGACACAGCATTAGTACCAAGAGCCAAAAATAATGGCAGAGTGTTTCCATTTTAAGTGTCATGTCCCAGTCAAGCCCCAGGTGTCTTAGATGAAGGTTAGTTTAGGAGGAGATTTTAATTCTAATTGTCAGTTCAAGATGTGTTTCCTTGCCTACTGTTTCGCGACCATCGCTACACATGAGAATCACCTGGGAACTTTTTTAAAAAAAAAAAAACCTATATGTCAGGGCCTCATTTCAGACTAATTACATTGGGAGCTTAAATTTTTCTCTTAAAATGTATTCCAAGTGATCCTAATGTTGCAGCCAAGGATAGCAGCCACATCTGCAGCCATCCCCAGCTGCAGACTCAGGCCTCCCAGATCAGAGAGGTAGGAGGAGCACACTGACTTCCTCCTGTCTCCTATGCCTGTCATTGAGTGGAGTTAGGAATAAGTAGCAAGCCAGAGCCACGATGCCTTGGATCAGCATTAACCATAGGATTTTCTCTGGTGGGTCTCTACCTGCCCATTAGACACATGGCTCTGGGGTCTTTATAACTGCTCATTTACAGCACTCATTTCATGATACAATTGGCCATGCTGTGGGTTCAGCCAGGCCCGGCTTCTGCACCCAGAAACCATAGGCAAACTGCACATTCCTCACCTGTCAAACAGGGACAAGGGGCTGGTGTGAGGTTGGCATGCCTCAGCTCTGACGCAGAGGTTAGAATACACACTCTGATGTGAAACCTCCGGGCTCTCAGCCTGACTCTGCCACTTAGGAGCCATATCATGTAACTTCACTGTGCCTCAGTTTCTCATTGCATCTGAGTTGCTTCATAAGATTATTGGGAGGATTAAGTGAATAAATATAATTAAAGGTGCCTACAACACTGGAGAGGCTCCATCAGTGATAGCTTTCATGTTTAGCACAGAGCACAGTGTCTGATCCACACAGTAGGTATGTTCCTCTCTACTTTTGTGTTTCCATAAAAATGAAAGCTTTGGCCGGGCATAGTGGCTCATGCCTGTAATCCCAGCACTTCGGGAGGCCAAGGCGGGTAGATCACCTGAGGTCAGGAGTTTGAGACCAGCCTGGCCAACATGGTGAAACCCTGTCTCTACTAAAAATACAAAATTAGCCGGGCATGGTGGCGTGTGCCTGTAATCCCAACTATGGGAGGCCAAGACAGGAGAATTGCTTAGAACCCAGGAGACAGAGGTTGCAGTGAGCGAAGATTGCACCGTTGCACTCCAGCCTGGTTGACAGAGTGAGACTCTGTCTCAAAAAGAAAGCTTTTGTCAATATTTCTAACCTTTTAAGAAAACATGAAAAGGGAGCTTCCATTTGTCTATTTTGTTTTTCCCCAAGTGAGATGGGGTAGCCAAGAAATTGATGAGAACCTGCTGTACTATCTATTGGGCAGCATTTGCTGGTGGATGTGGACACTGTTCATGTATACCATGGTCTCTAGCTCTTCTGGGCCAGTCTGTTCTTAGAAGAACTGAAGGTGGAGATATCAACTGTGTTCTGGCTTCTTTCCATTCATTTTTGGGTCAACTCTGGGGCTGCTCTACAGAACAACATGGCCCCAAAAGCATAGTGGGTAGAATTGGAAACCGCCTTTCTAGAGTCAGTTCCAAACCATGCTCTTCAGGTGGCCTTCTTCTGTGAGGGAAGGGGTCAAGGAGAGGGTTTGAGTATTATAAAGTTGATGGTTAAGTTCCCATTTGGCTAACACTTCCTTTCTTTCTTCCCTTTATATCCAGTCAGATCCTGGAGCAATGTAAAAATGGGTCTTAGGTACCAGAATCCATCATTGCAAATTGGTTTCATTCTCCTCTCTACTTGACTCAGTCCACAGGATGAAACTTCATTATAGGTGCTCCCAGTTAGGACTGATCAATTTCCCTTCCCAATACACCAGTCCTCTGTTCTTGCATCAGAGCCCACGTGTTCATGCATAAGGCATTTGCCATGCATAGGGCATTTGCCTAGTATGGTGTCATTTACAAAAACCCAACTCACATCATTTTCCCGATGGATGGGACTGTATGGAGTGGTAGACTTGGAGAGGGGTGGACGTATGCTTACTGTGCCTCTGACCCCCACTGTGTTTGATTATTACTTGGCTTCCATTGTGCCAGGCCTTAGCTGCTGAATTGGACTTCCCACATCATTCTGGAATTAGGACTTAGATGTTCCATCATAGATGCATCATTGCTTGAATCACCCACAATGATCTGTAAGGCCAACCTGTCATCCCTTTTGTCTCTTCACCCAGGCACTGCTTTTCTTTTTATCAATTCTTACTGCAGAACCCCAACCATTTGTTAAACATAACTTTTTTTTTTTTTTCTTCAGAAAGAGCATGGAAATTCTGGGCTGGGCTGGCCTAGCTCTTGGTGCAGGAGAGATATTTGGTTTTAATAATGCAATGAGAGCATGTGAATTCCCAAAGTAACCATAATTTCTAGTTGTAAATGCCTTGGTTGCGAGCTCTGTGGTGTAAGTGCTTGGGGCCAGCGGGTAGAATGTTGTAGTGAATTTTCCCCAGCAGGGTCTGTATTCCCGGGCAAACAGCTATGAAAGGACAGGCAGAGAAGATTAATTGATATTTTTATTATAATATTTTTCTCCCATTAAAATTATGAAATCAATATAATAACAGTATGGGGAGTCTGCAAAACAGAAAAATGACTCCTCTAAATACCAACCTTTAACACAACCCAAATTTTATTTTTGTACCTTTTCTTTTCCTTCCAGCCCTAATACATATGCAGACTTTTTTATTTTTACAAAGTCACCATCATCACTTTATTCAATAAACAATTACTGAACGCCTACTATGTGTGTAGCCTTCTGCTGGGAGGTCAAAACCGAGGAATATTCAGTCCCTGGCCTTGGCGAGCTCACAATTTAGTAAAGAAAACAGACACAGGCACAGATCATTGCAACACAAAGAGGTGTTGCACTAATAGAGGTTAATTCTCATGTTTGAATACAAGTGATGCAGATAATGGCCCAATTCTTCTTAATGTTCCACAATCTATCAAATAGGCCTGATGATTTTAGGACCTCAGGACAACATGGTATAATGCAAAGGACTCGAACTGGATCCATTTGTCACAATTCTGTAACCGGAGGCATTGGTTGGGGGAAGGGGTAGGCATAGTGCTTTGATAGAATGGAATTCATTGCTAATGTTTCTTTTAAAAAAATCAGGCGGCTTCATGTGAAAATCCAGGTTCCCGGCTCCTCTTGAAAAGTAGGTCAGGGCCAGGCACAGCGGTTCACACCTATAATCCCTGCACTGTGGGTGGCTGAGAAGGGAAGATTGCTTGAGGCCAGGAGTTCAAGATTAGCCTGGCAAAATAGCAAGACCCTATCTCTACAAAAATAAATAAAATAAAACAAAACAAAACATAAATTAGCTGGGGTGGTGACACATGCCTGTAGTCTCAGCTACTCAGGAAGCTGAGACACGAGGATTGCTTAAGCCCAGGAACTCAAGGCTGTGGTGAGCAGTGTTTGCACCACTGCACTCCAGCCTGGGCAACAGAGTGAAACCCTGTCTCTAAAAATAAAAATTAAATTAAATTTAAAAATAAATAAAAAGGTAGATCAGTCCTCATTGGCTCTGCCTTCTCTTTTGGGGACAACAGAGGTGAGCAGGAGGATGAAGCAAGCACATCTGTGCCAGTTCAGATGAGGCAGGCACATCTGTGTCCCAGTCCCTTCTGACCACACTGCTCATAACATTACTTGCTTGGCCCATGCAGGCAACTGAGTCTCTGACTATGGGTTTTCCTGTGTTTCTTGTATTAGAAAGCCAAACTCTTTGCAATGGTTCCCATGACTAATGGTTTTCACAACTTGTCCTCCTGTCTGACGTCCTCTCCTTCCACTCTTTTACAGTCTCAGTTCTCTTTGCTTTCCTGATACGGACATCCTTGCTGTCCCCAGACATGCCAGTCTGTTTCTGCCTCAGTGTTCCCACTCTCTTCCCTCTGTCTGGAATGTTCTTCTCCCAGATAGCTGCAGCCTCATTCCTTTACCGCCTTTAAAGTTCACCTCCTCATGCATTTCATACTGTAGCCTCTTTTCTAGCTCTTCAAAGCCTCTTTATTCTGTTTCATGTTTCCCATTTTAACATACCTTTTAACTTTAACATACTATATGTAGATTATTTATTTTTTGTGTTTATTGCTAATCATCCATCGCTACCCACCAAAAAGGCAGGGATGGCACCAAATTCCCACTGCCTCGATTACCTGGTGCATAGCAGGTGCTCAATCTATTTTTGTTGAAGAAATAAATGACCCTTGATTGGCCTGTTGGACTGTTAGAGTTAGAAAATCTAGTTTCTGAACCAAACTCTGCCTTGGAAGCCAACTGTCCTTGGAAAGCCACCAAAACACTCTGTTCCTTTATCAGTAAAATTCACTGGAAGCTTAAGAATCATATACACTAGACCCTTGAATAACACAAGGGTTGGGGCAGTGACTCCCTGTGCAGTCAAAAATCCAAGCATAACTTTTGACTTCCCAAAAACATAACTGCCAACATCCTACCATTGACTGGAAGCGTTACCGATAACATAAACATTGATTAACACATGTCTTGCAATGTTACATGTGTTATATACTGTATCATAAAGCTAGAGAACTAACTTTATCTTACAGTAAAGTAAGCTAGAAGAAAGAAAATGTTATTAAGAAAATCATAAGGAAGAGAAAATATATTTAGTATTCCTTAAGTGGAAGTGGATCATCATAAAGGTCTTCATCCTCATTATCTTCACACTGAGCGGGCTGAGGAGGAGAAGGAAGAAGACAAGGGGTTGGTCTTGCTGTCTCTGGGGTGGCAGAAGTGGGAGAAAGTGTGCATATAAGTTGACCTGTGCAGTTCAGACCCGTGTTGTTCAAGGGCCAACTGTATATGTGTATGACCAATGTGCTGGGCCATATCAGTGGTCGGTTATTACATGCTAAGCATATGGACCAGAAGGCATTTGTTGATAGTAGGTGTTTAGAAGTCAGTCTGGTCTCAATGTTTCCCTTAGTGACTAGGGATCCTTGGTAAGTTACTGAACTTCTCTATGCCTCAGTTTTTTCAATTGTAAAATTATGGCCTACCAGACTGCCTCTTCGTACACTACTTAGGAGCAATAAAGAATATGGTGTGTGAAGGGTCCATCATAGGCCTAACAATTATTAGATGTGTCTCCTCTTCCCCTTAATACTGAAGATTTTTAGGGGACTTGGATCAGACCCCTGGAACAGAGCTGTAAGCCTGACCTTTCAAGACCAAGAATCTTTGACCAGTGAAAATTTGAAGAAGAATTCTAGGTGGGGCAGAGGGTAAAGACTTGTGTCTTTGGATGGGAAGACTCTTAACGTGAGTTATCATTCCCAGGGAGGAGAATTCACAGAGCAACAGCACCATGGGCAGCCTGGAATTTCAGTGGGGTGGTGTGCGATGGTGGAGAGGGCAGGGAGATGGCGGAGGCTGGTGGTTAGTTCCATTTAAATGAGCCCATTGGGGTGAACTCATAAACCTTCAGTTTTCAATTTCCTCTGGGCCTCCCACAGCGTTAGCAACAGCAAGAGCACCTAGTTCAACACAGAGGAAAATAATAATGCTTTCTTCCCAGGGGTACTAATGTGTGTGAAAACATCCCCAGTCCAGTGTCTGGGCGTTGGCCTGGGTACCTAGAATCAGATGGTAACATCACCAATTTGATAGCCTCTTTTTCTTGCACTTAAAGTTTTCAAGGTGTAAACATAATCACCATGATGAGAAAAGCCATCACTGCTTAGAGCCTTCGCCAACTCTGAGCATTTTGCTAAGTGCCCTGCACAGGTAACCTCATGCCACAACAGGCCTAAGAGCTTGGTTCCATTAGGATCACAATTTTGGCCAATTCTGTCAAAATTGATTCAGGTTGGGAGCTGTAAATGGCTAGAAAAGAGGCTGATGAGGTGGCCCTGGGCTACATTGTGAAGAAATTCATACCCCTCCTGCCCTCTCCTTCCCACCTGGGGAGATGACTGAATGTTTAATCTCCAGGCCTCAGTTTCTCACCTTTTCCCCAGTGCATTTGTAAGAATTAGATGTGTCAAGCACAGTGTTTAACCTGAAGAACATTCTCCAGAGAAACCAGGTCTCTTCTCTCAACTTAACCTTTCTTAAAGCCCATGTCAGGGGTGTCCAATCTTTTGGCTTCCCTGGGTCACATTAGAAGAAGAAGAAGGGTCTTGGGCCACACATAATATACACTAACACCAACAATAGGTGATAAGCTAAAAATAAAAAATAAAAAAGACAAAAGGATTTCATTTATTTATTTTTTTTTTTTGAGACAGAGTCTCACTCTGTAACCCAGGCTGGAGTTCAGTGGCTCACTGCAACCTCTGCCTCCCAGGTTCAAGCGATTCTTGTGCCTCAGCCTCCCAAATAGCTGGCACTACAGGTGCACACCACCAGGCCCAGCTAATTTTTGTATTTTTAATAGAGATGGGGTTTCACCATGTTGGCGGGACTGATCTCAAACTCCTGACTCCTGACCTCAAGTAATCCTCCCACCTTGACCTCCCAGAGTGCTGGGATTATAGGCATGAGCCACTACACCCAGCCAAAATCTCGCAATGTTTTAAGAAAGTTTATGAGTTTGTGTTGGGCCCCATTCAAAGCTGTTCTGGGCCTGCGGGCCTCTGGTTGGACAAGCCTGGCCTATGTTATGGTCTGAATTGTGTCCCCACAAATATTATGAAATTCTAACCCCCAGCACCTCAAAATGTGACTGTATTTGGAAAAAGGGCCTCTAAAGAGGCAATTAAGTTAGAATGAGGTCACTGAGGTGGCCTCTAATCCAATGTGACTGTTGTCTTTATAAGAAGGGGAGATTAAGACCCAGAGACACAGAGAGAGGGTGAAGGGAAGACACAGGGAGCCGACAGCTGTCTGCACTCCAAGAACAGAGGCCTCAGAAGAAACCATCCCTGCTGGCACCTTGATCTCAGACTTCCGGCCTCCAGAACTGTGAGACAATACATTCCTGTTATTTCAGCCATCAAATCTCCGTGGTATTTTGTGACAGCAACCTGTATTCATCTGTTAGGGTTTTCATAACAAAATGCCACAGACTGGGTGACTCAAGCAGCAGATAACTATGTTCTCAGTTCTGGAGGCTGGAAGTGCAAGATCAAGGTCTTGGCAGGGTTGGTTTCCTCTGAGGCTTCTTTCCTTGGCTTGCAGATGAGCACCCTCTTGCTGCCTCATGTCAAGGTTATTTCTCTGTGCACACAAATCCCTGGCATCTCTTCCTCTTCTTAAAAGGACGCCAGGCCGGGTGCGGTGGCTCACGCATGTAATCCCAGCACTTTGGGAGGCTGAGGTGGGCGGATCACCTGAGGTCTGTAGTTCGAGACCAGCCTGACCAACATGGTGAAACCCCATCTCTACTAAAAATACAAAATTAGCTGGACGTGGTGGCACATGCCTGTAATCCCAGCCACTGAAGAGGCTGAAGCAGGAGAATTGCTTGAACCTAGGAGGCGAAGGTTGCAGTGAGTGGAGGTTGCAGTGAGCCGAGATCGTGCCACTGCACTCCAACCTGGGCAACAAGAGTGAAACTCCATCTCAAAAAAATAAACAAACAAAGAAAAAAAACACTTGTCAGATTGTATTTGGGCCCTACCCTCAAGGTCTCATTTTAACCTGATCATCTCTTTCCAGGCCCTATCACTGAATGTAGTCCCATTCTGAGGTTATTGTGGGTGTTAGGACTTCAACACATGAATTTTGGAGCCTCAAGACCTCATTTTAACTTAACCATCTCTTTCCATGCCCTATCTCTGAATATAGTCATATTCTGAGGTTATCATGGGTTTTAGTACATGAATTTTGGGGGAACACAAATTAGCCCATAACACAGCCCTAGCCATCAAATACAGTCTCCAAGTAACATGGATGATTTAAATCAAGGTCTGGCTGGGCTCAGGAACAAGATCAGCTTAAGATTAAAGCCAACAGACTACTCAGTGTTCATCCCTTAATGGCAAAAGTTCTGAGCACCCTCACGTGACCTTCCTACAGATTCACTAACTGAGCTTGGACTCTCATCCTGTGTGGTTCATTCAGTCTGCAATGAAGGCTGGAGGAGAGAGGAGACCCTGGACAATTTAACTCTGAAAAACTAGCTTTGGATCCTGGGTCCCAGCAGTCTCATCACCTGAATGGTGCTATAGACATAACCAATTGAGACAAAGGAAATTTTTGACCATAGACATTTTCAAGAAATTTCCTTTTAGGCACATAAAATTTATTGAAATTTCCTTGCAATATTTATTAAAAGTAGAGATTCCCAGTTCTGTTCTCCAGTTTTCATTCTCTGAGTCTGAGAGTGAGACCTGAGGATCATTTTATAAGACAAAACAAAACAAGAAACATTCCAGGTTATAACTTGGATTTTAGGCCCCCAAACCTACAATAGGAGAGGCAGGGCTACCTCGTATGGCTGCACAGGTTGTGCACTAAACAAGAAGCTGTAAAAAGCGGCCCAGGGCAGAAGTCCTAGTGTTCCACATCATCCACAGGATCACACTTACGTATTTGTCACTTTATAGTTTGCTGCACAACTCACCACTATTATTTCATAGCACAGCAATTCCATAGGGGGAGGAAGAAAGGCAAGGCCTGAGTGAGACAGTTCCAGGGTGGGAGAGAGATTCCATTTGAGAGGCCAGCAGTATAGGAATTACAGGGTTGTATGGGTCAAGAAACAGTTCTACCCGGGCACAGTAACAAACACCAAGAAGCAGCCAGGTGACAGAAGACTAAAATCAGACCCT
This sequence comes from Homo sapiens, assembly GCF_000001405.40. Taxonomy (NCBI): domain Eukaryota; kingdom Metazoa; phylum Chordata; class Mammalia; order Primates; family Hominidae; genus Homo; species Homo sapiens. The sequence continues at coordinate 26,163,886 of NC_000016.10, forward strand.
GAGATATGAGGGAGGAAGGAAAAAAAAGAAGCAAAGCAAAATGTGACTTTTTTGGGGAAAGACAGGTAGAATGTTCTAAAATCGAGCATATCTGGATTCATATCTTGGTCCTGACACTTCATGAGCTCATGACACCAAATGAGTTCAATCTGCACGGGGCCTCAGTTGTCTTGTGGTCACAGCCTCACACATCTGCAGAGAGGATTATGTGGACTGATGTCAACAACGCTCTCATCTCAGGGACCAGCACAGAACGAATGCTCAATAAATGGCTAGTATTGAGTAGACTTGGATTCAGAGAGACGAGCTTGGCCATTGGGCTAGTCAAGTGCAGGACGGAGAGAATGACTTAAAAGTCCAATTCCATACAGTGATCAATAATCACCTGTGGGAGAATATTGATCTTCCTCTATGGGACTAGACCACCCAGCATCCGCTGCAGTAGAGATGTCCAATAAACTCATGTGAGTGGGAGAAGCTGTGATGGTTGTGTTCATGCTTCAGTCCACAGTAATGACTCCAGGTCCCAGTTGCCAATGATAAACTCCCACTGGTCAAAATTGCCTGCAGTGACATTGAGCCTGGTGGAGAAGAAGTAGAGATTAAAAGCAGTTGGGAGTTTAGGAAAATATGTGTCTTAGAAATTGTCTGATCAACTTCTCTTAATGGCCCCTGTAGCTTTTCTTCGTGGCTTGGGATTGTGAAATCTGTATGCTACTGTAGCAAAACCAAGTTTGCATTTTAGGGGCATAATTCTGGGCCTTTGCTGTTTTTGATGGTTTGTTTGTTTTTATGAGACAAGGTCAAGCTCTGTTGCTTAGGCTGGCGTACAGTGGTGTGAGCACAGCCCACTGCAGCCTTGACCTCCTAGGCTCATGTAATCTTCCCACTTCAGCCTCCCAAGTAGCTGGGACCACAGGTGTGTGCCACCACAACTGGCTAATTTTTGTATTTTTTGTAGAGACAGGGTTTTGCCGTGTTGCCCAGGCTGGTCTCAAACTCCTGGACTCAAGCAATCCTCCAGCCTTGGCCTCCCAAAGTGCTGGGATTACAGGTGTGAGCCACCACTCCCGACCTGCTGTTCTTATCACTTTAAAATCACCTCCTGGAGATATTCGGGTGGGTCATTCTCGCTTCACTCTGGTCTCTGCACAAACATTATCTCAGTATCTTCCAACTCCCCTATATAAAACAGCACCCTCCCTTATTTTATATTCCCTTATTCCACTGTATAGACTTACCACTTCCTGACTTCCTGGTTTTATGTTATAGATGGATTGATTAATTTTATCTCCCTCTAAACTGTAAGATTCTTGAAGACAGGGACTTTGTTTTGTTGGCCACTTTATCCCAATGGCTTGTCCAATGAAAATGGAGGAATGAGTGAGAGCTCCACTGTTTCAGGGTCTTGCTATCTCCAGCCACCTACCGATTTATTATTTTAAAAGAAAGTCTTCCCAAAAGAGATAAGGAAAAAAAGTTTTGTGTGTTCTATCAGTAGTCTTTCATTCATATGGGTTTATTTAATTTACAAAAATTGTGCCATAGGCTGGGCGCGGTGGCTCACGTCCGTAATCCTAGCACTTTGGGTGGCCGAGGAGGGCGGATCACCTGAGGTCGGGAGTTCGAGACCAGCCTGACCAACATGGAGAAACCCCGTCTCTACTAAAAATACAAAATTAGCGAGGCGCCCGGCCTGTAATCCCAGCTACTCAAGAGGCTAAGGCAGGAGAATCAATCGCTTGAACCCGGGAGGCGGAGATCGCGGTGAGCCGAGATCGCGCCATTGCACTCCAGCCTGGGCAACAAGAGCAAAATTCCACTATTTGGTACTTGCTTTTTCCCTTGCCATATGTCATAAAGTTTTTCCTTTAGCAATAAATAGTATTTAAAGTAATATTTTAATATTATCACAGAATACCATTTTCTAGATCCTCCAGAGTTTCCTTGACCTCTTTTTAATGAACATTTTATTTTGCCCAATTTTGTATTATTATAAATAAAGCTATCTGTTAGCTATCTATTGCCGTGTAACAAGTTACCCGGGAACTTAGTGGCCTAAAACAACATTTATTCTATCTCAGTTTCTGTGGTCAAGAATCTGGGTGTGGCTTGGCTGGATCTTCTGGCTCTAAGTCTCTGCTAGGTAGGCTGTAATCAAGGTGTCCAGGCTGTAGTCTAATCTCAAGGCTTGACTGGGAAGGGTCCAATTCTTACACCATGCATGCGGTTGTTGGCAGAATTCAGTTCTTTGTAGGTTGTTGATGTGAGTGTCTCAGTTCCTCACTGACTGTTAACTAAAGACCTCTTTTGGGTCTTTGCCACGTGGTCTCCTCCATAGGCAAGCTTGCAGCCTGGCAGCTTGCTTCATCAGAGCAAGCAAATGAAAGGATGAGAGAGAGGGAGAGAGGGGTCAGTGAGGAGGGAGGGAGGGAAAGAGGACACAAGACAAAAGTCAGTCTTTCTAACCTGAGCACAGAAATGACATTCCGTCTATTTGCCACATTCTATTTGTTATAGAAGCAAGTCACTAGGTGCAGCCCAAACCCAGTGGAATAACACAAAGGTGTGAATACCAGAAGACAGGGTAATTAAGAGCTACGTCAGAAGCTGCTTACCACAGGCTGATATGAATATTTCCATCTTTACCCAGAGATATCTACATACATTTTTTAATACATCCCTGATTGCTTATTCAGAATACATTTTCTAGAAGGAGAATCATTGGGTTGTAGTATGCAGACGTTTATTACTAAGTCAAGTGCTATGCATGTTTTATAAGGCTTTTGATACATAAAGTTGTAATGTCTTCAAAAATTAAAAATGTTACAGCAATTACCCGTCCCCACCCCCTTTTCAGTATTGTATGGGCACACCATTTGGCCCACACACCCATCAACAATAATTCTTTCATTCACTCTCAAGTTAATGGGTGCAACATATGTCACAAGAGTTTTTCAAAGTTTTTTAATTGCTAGGGCTCTAACACATTTCTTACGTTTATTGAGTTTTTGTATTTTTTTTCTGTAAAGAGCTAGTTCCTGCCCTTTGCCCATTTTTCTATCAAAACATATATACTTTTTATTGATTTGTAAGAGCTCTGCATATTTTAAATATTCTATTTCTGATACACAAATAGAAATAGAATAAACATAAGTATTTAAAAAATGTAATATCCAATTTCTGTTTTATAGTTTACAAATACTTTTTCATAGTTTGGAATAGGCTTTTTCAGTTTTGTTTATGGTGTTTTGAATATATACATAATATATACATTTGTGTATATATGAGATATATATTTATATATGTATATATTATATATACATATATGTATATGTGTATCTGTATTACATACATCAGATATATATGTAATATATACACATAATATATGTTGATATATATGTATATGTATTACATATGAGATATATATGAGATGAGATGTATATGTAATATATACATATATGTTGATATATAGAGATGGGTGTGTATATATATGTATATGTATATATGGGTGTGTATATGTATATATAAGTATACATACTTATATATACTTATATATATAAGTACATATTTAGATCTCATATATATGAGTGATATATATCACTATATGTAAATGGGTATCTATATATATGAAAAAATATATGTTTTCATATATAGGATTTCATATGTATTTTCATATTTTTAATATAATTTATATATTATGTATATTATATGTAAAAATATATATTTTTTCATATATATAGATATATACCCATTTAAGGAATATTTAAGGTAAACCAAACATATCAATATACTTCTTTATTTTTTTCTTCTGAGTTATCCTTTAAGAAGTCTTATCTATACCAACTTTGCTCATATTAAGATTTCTGCCTTCCTTCCTTTCTTTTACATTTGACATTATAATGCTTTTTTTCACCTTCTCTCATTTATTGTTTTATGTATTCAAGTAACTATTTAGCTTTTTTCATTTCCTCTTACTGTTATTATTTTTATAAATAAATATTGACCTGCTCTAAGACTATATATTGACTGACTTTTCCTTTTTCTACGGATGTGAAATGTCATATTTTTTATAGTTTACATTTTTATATATGTTTTGATCTCTTCCTGGGCTAGCTCTACTTTTTCTTTGATCAAACTATCCATTCCCACACTGTTTAATAAATATATTAATTTTATTGATAGTATAAGTTGTTAGTATATTTTCATTAGGATATTATTACATTAGTACATTAATGTATTTATATATTAATATACATTATTCTTACTAATTATTAACATTTTTCTAGCTACTCCAGATTGTTTTTTTAATGTAAGAATTATTTCATCAAGTCATAAAAATTGCTAGTTTAATCAAAATCATTTACACCTATAAATTAGGAGAGTTAATATTTTTAAATTTTCTTCTTCCAAATAAAAACATAATGCCTCTGTTTTCTCAATTCCACTTGTATGAACACTCAGTAAATATTTGTGACAATTTTTGTAGATCTTGAATATTTTGTGTCCTCCTTAACAACAATTATAGCTATTTCTATTCCACGGCTTTGTAATATTGGGGAAATTAGTTCACCTCTCTGAACTTCCATTGCTCATCTTTAAACTGGACATGTTCACTGCTACCTCTCACGGACCCTGTGAGGGGTAAATGATAAATCTAAATCTCTCAGAGCAGCTGGCAGCACACCAGGTGTTCAACATGTGTTAGTAAGAGTTGTTGTTAATTTAAAAGGAATTGTAGAACCACATTAGATAATCATGATCATGCCAGACCATGACGGAAATTCCTCTTCCACGTAACAACTCTCTGCACCTGGTGCAATTAGCCTATAAATCTTTCGAAGTGAGGCAATGAGGCAAGGGGATAGCAAACAGCAATCCAAGTTGAGATATTGTGGTTTTAACTCTTTTTGTTCAGTTCTGCTTCACACTCCTTACCAGAACCTTCCAACTCCTTATCAGATGAAAGCTGTTTAATTTCCGATGGACATGGGAATGTCAATCTTGTTGTGTCATTAAGTATGACTTGGCCATTAAGAGTGCTGTATTAATATATAAATACAGGGGTAAACAGATGCTGTTTATCTTCCTACCATCTTATCTTAGTTATTCTAACTCTGGGATTCTATATGATGGTTCCATTGTGTGGTTCTCTCTGATGGTCCTATATGATGGGTCTGTGTGTTGATGTTAAAGGATGACTTATATGATGATTTTATATGATGATTTTAAATGATGACCTATGAGCACTTTCTCTAAGGTACTTATTTTAAGACTAGTACAGAATTTCCATGGGGAGCCCCTCTACTCTGTCGTAGAAGTAGATGTTTAGTGGATGGAGAATGAATGGGGAGGAATTGAGGGTTGGCAGAAGGGTTTTCAGGAAGAGAAGGGGGACTAAGGGTGGCATGGGTGTGAGTAGTAGAAGGAATGACAGTTAGTGGGAAGAAATGACAGTTAGTGGGAAGAAATAGGGTTGGCTGAGGGATGGAGTTCTGGAGCTGAAAGACCAGCAGAAAAAAGAGGAGAGAGTTAGAGGGAAAAGAAATGAAACGAGAAGTCTTAGATTATTCAACTTCTGCAAAAATCATAGTGGAAATGTCCCAAAATGTTGCCAACAATACATTCTGTGACTAAGTCATTATGCAGAGAGATGAGCTGGGGGCTGAAGGACAGAATTAATATAGTAAGTAATTCTATCCCTTTGGCAATGTCTTTCTGCATGAAATAATGATTTTATGTCTCACTTCTCTCCAGCCCGCGCATTCCTCATAACAAACAGTTCCACAGTGAGTGAGTATTTATGTTTCAAGGCAACAGCATAGGCATAATGGACTATCCTCTGAATCTTTTTTATGGAAAGGAATGCCAGGGCTGCCTAGGAAACCTGGGAGAGCTTTCCAGTTGGGAATAATACCACTGCTGCTGGCTGCAGGAGATAGAGTGTGGAATTTGGAACCAGGCAGATCTTCGTTCAGACCCTTCCAGTGCCATTTACTGACTCACCTTCTCTGCAGCTCAGTCTTCTTCTTTGGAAAATGGGGATATTCACATTGACCTCACATGTCTAGCACAGTGGAACACAGACAGGGCTCAATAATGGTCAACCAGGAAGACGTCAAATCTCCCAGACCATGTATTTGGGGGAACACAAAGCTGGATGGCAAAATTCCAGCTTGTGAACAGAAAGGAAGTAATGAAGGGATATCTGTCAGTCCCTGCACATCCCTATGAATGCTGATATAGTTTGGATGTCTTCTCCAAATCTAAATGTAATCTCTAGTGTTGGAGGTGGGGCTTGTTGGGGGTGTTTGGATCATGGGGGCAGATCCCTCATGAATGGTTTATTGCCATCCCCTTGGTGATAAGTGAGTTCTCTGGAGAGCTGATTGTTTTAAAGTGTGTGGCAGCCAGGTACAATGGCTCATGCCTGTAATCCCAGCACTTTGGGAGGCTGCAGTGGGTGGATCATGAGGTCAAGAGTTCGAGACCAGCCTGGTCAACATGGTGAAACCCTGTCTCTACTAAAGATAGAAAACATTAGCCAAGCATGGTGGTGCATGCCTGTAATCCCAGCTACTGAGGAGGCTGAGGCAGGAGGATCGCTTGAACCAGGGAGGCGGAGGTTGCAGTGAGCCAAGATCACACCATTGCACTCCAGCCTGGTGACAGGGCAAGACTCTGTCTCAAAAAAAAAAAAAAAAAAGTGCATGGCACCTCCCCCCTTGCACTCTCTCTTGCTTCTGTTCTTGCCAAGTGGCATGCCTGTTTCCACTTTCTCTTCCACCATGAGTAAAAGCTCCCTGAGCCCCTGAGAAGCTGAACAGATGGCAGCGCCATGCTTGTACAGCCTGCAGAACCTTGAGCCAATTAAACCTCTTTTCTTCATAAATTACCCAGTATTCCTTTATAGCAAGGTAAGAACAACCTAACACAACGCTTACTTCATTCATTCAACAATAATTCATGCCACTTTTGTTCCAAACACTGTGTTGTAGTGATAAGATGGGTGATTATGAAACCTGCCTTTGGTCATCATTTTTATTGGATTACCTTTGTACACTTACTGTGTACTATATGCTAAACCACTAAATGGCATTGCTAAGCATTTTACACTTAATTCATATCATAGGAAGAACCCAAATGGGTTGCAGTTGTGCCCATTTCATAGATTAAAAATACCTCAAGCACAGTAAGTTAAATAACTTCTCTCCCCAGGATCAGACTGTGATATAGCCTGGATTTAAACCTGTATGACACCATTAAAGCCTGTATGACACCATAGTGTGAGCTCTCAACCTCTGAGCTATATTACCTTGAACCTCCCTTCCATTTCTCATAGTTTAGTGCAGGAGGCAGCTATGCAGATTAACACAACAGACTCAGTATGAAGAGCTCTGAGACTGTTGTGTAAGATTCAGTAGGATCATAAACAATGAATTATTGTCTGAATATCAATTGACTATGACTGAATTATCCTAGGCTTTTGGGGATGGCTTGACAAAGGGAATAAACATCTGATTTGAGTCCTGAAAAATTAGCAGGACTTTGCCACACAGACCTGGCTTTCTAAGTGGTGAAAATAGCCCCTTTAAAGCCATGGTGGCTTGACTATTCACAATGCCGGCAATCAGGAGGCACCAGGTACTTTGTGGCTAAAGCAGAGGAGCTCCTTTAGAAAAATGGCAGGACATGAGATGGGAGGGATCTGATGAAACTAGATTGCAGGGGACTTTATTGCCTGTCTAGAGAGTTTGCAGTCTATCCTAAGGGTAATGGAGAGCCACTGAAGCATTTTATGAGAGGAGTGACATGATCAGATTGGTGTTTTAGAAAGATCATGCCTGGTGAGTGAATGGATGGCTAAAGCCTAGTGGCAGATGACACCAATGCTGCGTTGAGCTACCAGCTCAGGTAAGAAATAATGAGATCCTGGCCGGGCGCGGTGGCTCACGCCTGTAATCCCAGCACTTTGGGAGGCCGAGGCGGCGGATCACGAGGTCAGGAGATCGAGACCACCCTGGCTAACACGGTGAAACCCCGTCTCTACTAAAAATACAAAAAATTAGCCGGGCGTGGTGGCGGGCGCCTGTAGTCCCAGCTACTCGGGAGGCTGAGGCAGGAGAATGGCGTGAACCTGGGAGGCGGAGCTTGCAGTGAGCCGAGATCGTGCCACTGCACTCCAGCCTGGGCGACAGAGCGAGACTCCGTCTCTACTAAGATATATATTAATATATATTCATATATATATCTGGTTGTTGTGGCATGCCTGTGATCCCAGCTACTTGGGAGGCTGAGGTGGAAGGATCACTTGAGCCTGGGAGGTCGAGGCTGCAGTGAACTGTGATTGCATCACTGCAATTCAGCCTCAGTGACAGAGGGAGACCTTATCTCAAAATGAAAGAAGAAAGAAGACAGAAAGAAAGACGAGAGAAAGAAAGAAAGAAAGAGAGAGAGAGAGAGAGAGAAGAAAGAAAGAAAGAAAGAAAGAAAGAAAGAAAGAAAGAAAGAAAGAAAGGAAAGAAAAGAAAGAAGAAAGGAAAAAGCTGTTAATCCTTCACTTACAGCCATAGTTGTTTAAGTGCAGTTCCAAGACTAGTCATTGTATCACCCCTGAATGTGTTAGAATTGCAGATGACTGGGGACCACCCCATATCTCCTGTATCAGAAAGTCTGGCATGGAGCCTTGCGACTGGTGATTTATCAAGCAGTGCAGGTGATTCTTGTGCATCCTCACCTTTGTTTGGGAGAGCACCAGCACTACATTGACATAATTAAATATTTGTTGAGCAGAACTGAACGAATGGACACTTACTAGGAGAGCATTATCTCTGAAGTCATGTGTAACCCCAAGTAGTCTTAGTTCCACCTTCAGGGAACAAGATGAAAGTGGAAAAGACATTGGGGGGTGGCTGATATTTTCTTTAAATCTCTCTGAAGATCACTGCATTTATATCTCAGGCCTACCTGCTTCCTAAGCTGTCTGGGAACCCCAGTTGGAAGGTGATTTTTTTTTGAGTGTTTGAGATGAGCAGTTCTTTTAAATCACTGCTTCTCAAGATTTTGAGTTCTTGTCTTCTATCTAGGACATCTTTGTGCAAACCAAGATCATAAAGAATTGTTTCTTATGTTTTGTTCCAGAAGTTTAATAGTTTTTTCTTTTATATTTTGGACTATGCATCTTATTTTTTGCATATGGCATTAGATAATGATCAATATTCATTTTCCTCCATATAGATTTCCAGTTGGTTCATCACAATTTATTGAAAAGGCAACCATTTCCTAATTAATTTGCATTTGCAACTTCATCATAAATTGGTTGACCATGTAGTTGTGTTCTATTTCTGGATTTTCTGTCTACTTCCATTGATACATATGTCTGTTTTTTTGACAATACCACATTGTCTTGTTTATTATAGTTTTATATTAAGTCTTGAAATCAAGTGGGACAAGTCCTCCAATTTTTTTTTTTCAAAATTCGTTCGGCTATTCTAGTTTCTTCACTTTTTCATATAAGTTTTAAAATCAGCTTGACACTTTCTACAAAATAGCTACTGTGATTTTTATTGGGATTTCATTTACATGTAGCTCTATTATATTTGGAGATAAATAAAATATTAACAATTTTGAGTCTTTGCATTTATGAACATGGTATACCTCTTCATTTATTTACATTGTCTTTAATTTCTTTTAGCAATGTTCCATAGTTTTCAGAGAAGAATCTTGCATATTCTTTGCTAAAATTAGTGTTGAGTCTTTTAAGTTTTTTGCACTAACACAAATGAAATTGTTGTTCTAATTTTATTGTCATCTAATTTCTGCTGCTATCCCAAAATAAAATTAAATTTTGTATACAAAATTTTATCCTGGCCAGACATGGTGGCTCATGCCTGTAATCCTAGCACTTTGGGAGGCTAAGGAGGGCAGATGGCTTGAGCCAGGAGTTCGAGACCAGCCTGGGCAACATGGTGAAATCCCATCTCTACAAAATAAACCTATAAAAAATACCCAGACATGGCAGACCACACATGTGGTTTCAGCTACTTGGGAAACTGAGGTCGGAGGATCGCCTGAGCCCTGGAGTCAGAGGTTGCAGTGAGCCAAAGTTGCACCACTGCACTCCAGCCTAGGCGACAGAGTGAGTCCCTGTCTCAAAATAAATAAATAATATATATATATTTTTAAAAATAAATTTTATTCTGCAACTGCTACATTTAATTTTTAGTTTTAGTAATTGTTTTAAGGATTCCTTAGGATTTTCTACAGCTGACAAATAAAATTGTTTTTTTCCTCTTTTCAATAAGAATATCTTTATATTTTTCTTGCCTTATTGGACTGGATCTAGTATAGTACTAAATAGAAGTGATTTGAGCAAATATCCTTGTCTTGTTCTTTAACTCAGAAGGAAAGCACTCAGTATTTCAAAATTAAGAATGTTCACTGAAGGTTTTACATAGGTCCCATCTATTAGGTTGATGATGTTTTCTTTTATTCATAACTTGCTGAGAGTTTTTCTTAATTACAAATGAATGTTAGATTTTGTCAAATTATTTTTCATTTATTAAAATGATTACATGTACTTTTCACATTTATCCTTTCATTATGATTAATATTATTAATAGATTTTGGAATGTTAAGTCAATTTTGTGTTCCTGGAGTAAACCCTGCTTGGTTATGATGCACTATCTTTTTCATATATTATTGGATTTAATTTGTTGATTTCTCAGTGGATCTTTGTGTTTATGTTATCATGAATATTGGTCTGCAATTTTATCATAAAGTTGTCAGATTTTGGTGTCAGAGTAACTCTGACTTCATATAGTGTATTGAGAATTGTTCACTCATCTATTTCCTGAAGTAATTTTTGTAAGATAATTACCATTCCTTCTTTAAGTTATATTTTAAGATGATAATGCTGCTGTTTTTCAGAATAGACTGATAGGATCAATGATTATAAGCAAGGAGAACTGTTAGAAACCTCCTATAATAATCTAGAAAAGAGATAGTGGTTGCTCATTCTAGAATGGTAATCAGATTCCAGATATATACAGGAAGTGAAGCAAACAGGATTTTCAGTAAGAGATGATGGGGGTGTACATAAGAAGGGTGATGTCAAGATTTCAGGCTTTTGGAACTGGAAGAATAGAGTTGCCCTCACATGAGTTGGGGAAGGTTGTGGTTGGAATATGATTTGGGCAAGTCAAGATTTTAGCTCTGGACATGGTAAGTTTGAGATGTCTTTTAGACGTCCTAGCAGAAATGCTGCATAAGCAGCATGATTTAGGAGTCTAAAGATTAGAAATGAATTCTCAGCAGTAGATTCAAAACTGGAATCACTAGGGAAAGTCATGAGATTGAATGTGACACTGAGTGAGTGTGTGAACATGAGAAGAGAAGAGGTGCAAGGACTCTTGGACTTGGCATGCCAATATTAATAAGCTAGGGAAAGAAGAACTACAAAATAAACTGAGAAAGAGTAACCAAGGAGATCGGGCAAAGCCAGGAAAGTCAAGTGAAGAAAGCATGTCCAGGGGGAGGGAATGAACAACAACGTGAAGGCACCTGATAGCTTATTTGTGATGAGACCAAGAATTTGTCACAGGATTTGGCAACTTAAAGGTCACTAGTGATTTGGAAAAGAGCAGTTTTTGAGGAGCAAGCTTAACAGAGAAAAGAAAGAGAAGAATTATAGACCGAAATTGTAGAAAACTACGTAATAGCTAAAGAAAAAGAACAGGAGCTGGCAGGAGAAGTGGCATCAAAACATATTTTTCTTTTGTTTTGTTCTTAAATGGGAGACATAACAACATACTCAGCTGTAAGCACCTCTTCCCTTCCCCTTTCTGTGAATGGCATTCGTGATGCATTTCATACCATTTCCTATACCAGCCCCCTTTCTATTTCAACATTTTTGAAATGGTACATTTTTTTTGTTAATAGAGTCGCTGTTCATGATGCGTGGCTTCTGAATCTCTTTCTGGCTTGAACTCAGTAAACATCTGGCTGAAGCCTCCTGTTCTGTGTCTTAAGGCTTGAAGTTGCAACACGAACAGAATGTCAAGCCTAAACTAGTGTCCTTTTCTTTATTCCCTTCTTGTACGTGAGTAGATTCTATTCATTTTCACCCCTTAAAACCTGTTATCAGTACTTCAGCTTTCAGCACAGGCATCATTTCCTTAAGAAAGGCCTCCCAACCTCCCTGACCTTCCTGCCACCCCCACTATTCTAACTCAGTGGTCCTTCTTCCCACGGTCTCCTGCACGGTGTACGTTTCCTTCAGGGCACTGATGTCAGTTTGTTGTTGCACTAGTATGATGACTTAATTACCTTCTTAAGTGTAAGCTTCATGTCAGTTTCACTTCCTTTCCATAACCTCCATACCCTGGAATTTATTCAACAACCTTCTTCTGTAGATTAGCTATGTGCTGAACCCATTAGGGCTACTGAGAAAATTATGCAATAGGACCTGCCCCTGAGGCACTCACAGTTTAACAAAAGAGATAAAGATTTAAAAAAAAAAACCCATAATTCTAGACATTGTGTTATAATATCTAGGCATACAGGAGTGACCACCCAGAACACAAAAGTAGTGATTTCATTTCCTTTATCTTATCAAAACAATAGATGAAAATAGATATAAAATAATAGGAGAGTTCATAAAAAGAAACAACAATGATTGCTGAACTTTTTTTCTCATGTTGCCTTCACTTTTAACTATTTCTTTTCTCCATTCTCTTGGTGGTTATCTCCGTAATAATACCCTCATTCTATAATTTTTTGATGTACCAACTTTACGCATTGTGATTGACTTCCTACTGTGAGAGAGCGTGAGTTAGCTCTCTTATGTCACCACCAACACAAACTTCCTGTCCCCTTTCCCATTTTCTAATATAGATTTATCACTATTCTTGGTAATTCCACTAATCTCTCCTGACCATTCAAACAGTAGAGTTAGATTTCTTACTTAGTTTGATAAACCAGAGAGACAGACAGTAGTTGTTTGAGCCTGGATTTGAAACAGTAGTGGTTTTTCAGGAGGACAAGAAATCAGTCAAGTGGCAATGACAGTGGGCACTCCAGGCTGGTGATAAATCATGCAAAATGTTGCTGAAGGGGAAAGGATTACATCAGATCTAAAGTACATATGGCATCCACACTGACATATAGAACCTAAAGTATAATTTCAAGTTGTCTGTTGAATTATCCAGGGCAATCTGTGTGCACAGAGTAGGTCCAAAAAAACAGGAAGAAGTAGGTTAGAACAGATCAGCCCTGGATTTGCACAGAAGCAATTCCTATCACCCATACAGTCTCATTAGTAAAAACAAGAAGCCCAAAGCACTTTGCATGAAAAAAATACTTTTCCATTTTGATGTGAAATATTCAAAAATGTCACAGCCTTTTTAGCTGTTTGCTTATTTTGGAAACCAAATAGAAAGAAGTATTTTTCAATTAACTCCTGTCTGCTGTAAATTTGTAAATGGAAAAGCTACATGAAAAAAATATATTTTGCTAATCTTTGGTCTGAGAATTTAATTAAAAGAACATCACATTGCTAAAACCTAAACTTTCCTCTTGTATAGGTTGCTGCATATCAGATTAAATTTTAACCAGCACATCAGAGCATTTCCTTAGAATGTGTCAGTATGCTAGGAACTTGTACGTGCCACAGTGCAAGGAATCTTCAACAAAACCATGTGAGATAAGTGTTATTAGTATTCAGTGAAACAGGTGTAGAGAGCCAGCCCAAACAGCTTAATGCCATTTATATAACAATAGCAATGATTTACATATTGAGCACTTACTAGGTGGCCTGCTCTTTGCTAATCCTTTCACCAAAATTATCTCCTTTCATCCTTACCATGTTCCTAAATAGACAGGCTTTATTTCCCCATCTTTTGGATGAAAAAATTGAGGTTCACTGTCTTGGAATATTATAAATTTCCCACACTTATTGAGTAGGTAAGCTAGGTTCTCTCTCTCTCTTTTTTTTTTTTTTTTTTTTTTTGAGATGGAGTTTTGCTCTTGTTTCGCAGGCCAGAGTGCAATGGCACAATCTCGGCTCACTGCAACCTCCACCCCTCGGGGGTCAAGCGGTCCTCCTGCCTCAGTCTCCTGAGTAGCTGGGATTACAGGTGCCTTCCACCATGCCTGGCTATTTCTTTGTATTTTTAGTAGAAATGGGGTTTCACCACGTTGCCCAGGCTGGTCTTGAACTCCAGACCTCAGGTGATCCACCCGCCTCAGCCTCCCAAAGTGCTGGGACTACAGGGGTGAGCCACTGCGTCCATCAGGATTCTCATCTTAACCCAGCCCTATACCTTAACCAGTAGACCTGGAATCAAAAGGACAATCTCACTTTACCAGCTACTAGTTCTATTCCATCCCGATTCCTAGGGCAAGAGATTGTTAGTGATTGGAACCTTTCTCAATGCCGGAAGGCACGTCATTGCATCATGATGCCTTCTAGGGTTGGAAAGAATAAATTGCCATAACTGAATTCCTTTTGAGCATGCTTGTTAACCCCTCCTAACTGAAGACAGTCTTAAGGCAAATCCACATTCCAAATCATCATACTTCCCAGGCGTCTTAGTGAGAATGCTGGAAGAAAAGACTAGCAATCCACCCACATGCTGAGCTCTAAGATACGCTAGGAATGTCTCTGCCCAAAGACACTTTGTAGAATAGATGAGTTATGGGTTCTCAGAATACGAAGAAACCTCAAAGGCCATCAGTCCATTTCTTCCTTCCTCGCACAGAGCAGGTTTCCTCTTGGTAATATCACTGGCAGAAGGTAAAAAGCACTGGTTTAATGCTTTTCCAAGTTCCCTGTTGTTTGGAGCAGAATCCTGCCACTTACCTGTGTCCATATTTCTGTCTTCTGAATCCACATTAAAAAAACTGCTTCCTTTCTTGACATTTTTTATTCATTTAGTCAACAATAGTTGTCATATTGTTACTGAGTATCAGGTAGACATAATGAGAGGAAAAGATGGTGTGGACAACTAGAAAAACACGTCCAAGAGACTAAAAGCAGAAGGAAGAGCTTGTACTACTTAAAGAATAGGGGGAAAATCCATTATGGCAGGATAAGAGATTGTCTTAGAAAGAAGCATAGCATTAGCTAGATGGAAACATCTTGTCCCTTTCAAGAATAACTTGCAGCCAGGTGCGGTGGCTCATGCCTGTAATCCCAGCACTTTGGAAGGCCAAGGTGGGTGGATCACGAGGTCAGGAGATCAGGACTATCCTGGTCAACATGGCGAAACCCTGTTTCTACTAAAATACAAAAAAAAAAAAAAAAATTAGCCGGGCGTGGTGGTTCATGTCTGTAGTCCCAGCTACTCAGGAGGCTGAGGCAGGGGAACCACTTGAACCCAGGAGGCGGAGGTTGCAGTGAGCCAAGATTGCACCAATGCACTCCAGCCTGGCAACAGAGTAAGACTCCATCTCACAAAAAAAAAAAAAAAAAAAAAAAGAATAACTTGCTTGGAATCATAGGGACACACTAAAAGGACAAAGAAGGTACAACCTCTGGCCAAGTCAGAGGCAATTTATTCCCAAGCATAAATGCTGTCAAAATGTATCCTAATCCATCAAATGAAATAAAAATCAATGAATCAGTTTTGTTACAAATTGATGAATCAATACATAAGTAAGTACTGGAGGAAGAGGTGGCTCTTCCTTATAAAAGAATGCCACTAACAAATACAGAAGAAATGATGGAGTTAGAAAATTATTGATGAGATACTTTTATTTTGGGTTTTATGGGGAACAGGATGTTTATTTATCTTCCTACAGGATACTTATTAATAGCAAAAGGAAAAATAGAAACTTTGTAATGGGTAGATTTAGTAATACCACTTTAACCAGTTGATCAAAGTTAGCATCACAGATATTGGGACAACCTGACATCATGGGTCTCTTAATGATATAATGCACTGAGAAGAATGCAACATCATCTCCATGGAGTTTCTGCCAGAATTCTTAACTCAGATTTAGTTGTGAAGAAATATCAGGTAAACTCAAATTGAGGGACATTCTACAAAATAACTGACCTTCACTCTTCACAAATGTCAGTGTCAAAAAAGACAAAGAAAGGCACAGAACAGTCTTGATTAAAGGAGACTGAAAGAGACACACACAAGTAAATTCCATGTGCAATTCTGGAGTGGATCCTAGACTAGGAAATTTAAATAGCTTAATAAGATATTATTGAGACAATTAACAAATTTTGAATATGAATAGCATTATGAATTGTGCATTACTTAATGATATTGAATTTGTATCAAAATTTCTGATTTTGATAGTTGGCTATGTAAGAGAATCATGATGTTCTTAGTAATACGGACTGAGAATACATAGCATGTCTTACAAAAAAGTGTATCTCTACATCTGTCCATCTACCCATCCATTAATTAAAAAGAAATGATAAATCAAATGATAAAACAAATTGTTTGGCCGGGTGCGGTGGCTCACGCCTGTGATCCCAGCACTTTGGGAGGCCGAGGCGGGCGGATCATCAGGTCAGGAGATCGAGAGCAAGCTGGCTAACACAGTGAAACCCCGTCTCTACTAAAAAATTAGCCGGGTGTGGTGGCGGGCACCTGTAGTCCCAGCTACTTGGGAGGCTGAGGCA
Organism: Homo sapiens; assembly: GCF_000001405.40. Lineage (NCBI taxonomy): Eukaryota > Metazoa > Chordata > Mammalia > Primates > Hominidae > Homo > Homo sapiens. Next base: position 26,180,525 of record NC_000016.10, read on the forward strand.
GGAGAATGGCATGAACCCAGGAAGCGGAGCTTGCAGAGAGCCAAGATTGCGCCACTGCACTCTAGCCTGGGCGACAGAGTGAGACTCCGTCTCAAAAAAAAACAAAAACAAATTGTTTTTTCTGATTTTCAAAACCTCATTTGACCAGAGGTTGTCCCTTTAAACTGCTTTCTTTGTCCTTTCAGTGTGTTCCTATGATTCTGAGCAAGTTAGTCTTGTAAGGGACAAGATGTTTCCATCTAACTAATCCTATGCTTCTTTCTAAGATAATGGAAAAAAACTGATGAATCCAAGGCAGGAGAATATGGGAGTTCCATGTAGTATTCTTACAACTTTTCTATAAATTTGTTATATGAAAATACTAAAATAAAAAGTTACAAATCAAGATTAGCTGGAGGAGTAGGCAGAATCAAACACAGAGATTATGCAAGTCCTTACACGTCATCTTACAGATTCGGGGTAAGAAACTCTAGAAAGGTGTTAATCTTGACAGCATCAAGAGAGGGTGCGAGGAGGCCTCTCAGTCCAGGAGGAGGTGATAGTGGCTGTCTGGGGAAGTAGTATGGAAACTGAGAGGTGTGGAGAGATTCAGGAGGTTTAAGGGGAGGTAGAATAGGCTGGACACTATGATTAACTGAGCAAGTGAGAAAGGAGAGAGTGTGCCTTGAGCAAGCAGGAGGATGGCACCTCGGAGTTGAAATAACAGGCTTTGCAGACTCCACTGGACCTGTGATAGTTTGGCTCTGCCTTTTATGGAAAGGAAGAACCAGACCAGATGTTCTGTTCCATGCTGTGTGTTAAACTCTGAAACTTAGAGCCTGAGCATCTTTATTTTTCCTCTCTTTGGAAGGTCGTTTCACCATTTATCTACCTAGCTTCTATATCCTGTTGATGATTCTAAACCCCCCCCAATATCACATAAATCCACACTCTCTTCACTATCTTCAGTATCACTATTTTGGTCAAAACTGTTATAGTCCCTTTTCTAGACTTTCTGTCTTCTTTAGATCTTAACTTTATCTCTCCCACCCATCTCACGTTACACAATAATGTGACTAAAATGCAAATCTAGTCATCTTTTCCCTACCTTGAAACAATCCTCAATTCCAATAGAATTGTATCCAAGCTTTTTGTCTTGGCATACAATGACTTCAACTACATGGCTTTTCCCAACTTCCTATTGCCATCTCTGACTCCCTCTACTCATTGTGTCAGCAAAGCACAGCACGCAGAAGCACAGGGCGTGGATCCCACTTCTGACACATGACCATTGTGCCACTTTGTACAGGTTTGTTTTTTGTTTAATCAGAGAATCTGTTTCTCATTTAGAACATGGTAATGTTAGTATGTCCATGTTTGTATCATTATTATGAGGATTAATTGAGATAGTGTTGGTAAAGTGCTTGGCACATGGCAATTACTATACTCAAGTTACCAGGAACTTCTCAGGACTCGCCAGACATGTACCCGTCAATGCTAATTTCCTCCTCTGAGTTTTTGCATTCATTTCTATCCCTTGGATTGTACTCGTCTTTAAAGGAACTTGTCAAATGACACCTCCTTTGAAAAGCTTCTAGACTTCCCAACTTCCCGGTAGGTGTCCAGATAAGTGGTAACATAATTATTTTACCAGTTCAGCAGATATTTATTGGGAGCACAGTGTGCCACCACTGGAGACAGACCAGTAAAGAAGACTGTTGTCCCCATGGAACACACATTCTAGTATAGGGAGGCAGAAAATTAAGAAGTAAACAAACACAATTCAACAAGGTAACTGCAGAGAGTGCTAAATTTCGTATAGGAGATTGAACATAATGAAGTAAGAGAGAATGATGTGGGATGAAGGCAATGGTGGGTAAAGCAGTCAGGGAAGAATTTTTTGACTTCATAAGTGAGCTGAGTCCTGAATAAGGAGAAGAACCTATAAGAATAGCAAGAAGAAGGCTACTCCTGGCAGATACAAAGGACTCGAAATGGAACTGAGCTTGCATTGACCCAGGAACCCAAAGTATTTGGGGAATATTGAGCAAAGGCTAGAAAGGAACCAGATGAATTTGAGCAGTAGTTAGGGGCTAGAGGACATACAACCTGAGAGCCATGATTAAACCCTAGATACGTTAATACAAGGACTAATAGCCTGTATGTTCCACCCTATAATAAGAAAATCTCTGCTGGGAAAGGTGAAGCGCTATTCTTGTCTGAGATAGGAGAACAGATGAAGGTTATTTTCTAAATATATTGTTGTTAGGATTAATGTCTATAAAAGAAATATAACCAATGAAGCAAAGTCTAATTGAAAGTATATTGAGGATTACATCCTTGTGCCAAAAGTATTACCATTTGCTTTGCTTGCAAAATAAGGCAATACTGAAAGTTGGAACAAACCTTGTTTTGCACTTAAGTATCTGACCGTCACAGAAAAGATGGACATTTGAGTTGTTTCCACATTTTGGCTATTAGGAATAATGCTATTATAAATATCCATGTACATTTCTGTGTAAGCATGTTTTTATTGTTCTTGGGCATATACCTGAAAGTGGAAGTTCTGGGTAACACAGTAAACTTATGTTTAACTTTTTGAGAAACTGCTAAACTATTTGCTGTACTATTTTACTTTCCTATCAGCTATGTACAAAGGTTACTCTTTTGTTCTGTCTTTCTACACACTTGTCATTTCCTTTCGTTTTTAAAAATTAAATTCATCATAGTGGGTATGAAATGGTATCTCACCACTTTGATTTGCAGTTTCTTTTTACTTTTTTTCTTTTTAGATGGAGTCTTGCCCTATCACCAGGATGGAGTGCAGTGGCATGATCTCGGTTCTCTGCAACCTCTGACTCCCTGGTTCAAGCGATTCTCCTGCCTCAGCCTCCCAAGTAGCTGGGATTACACACACGTGCCACCACGCCCAGCTAATTTTTTGTATTTTTAGTAGAGACGGGGTTTCACCGTGTTAGCCAGGATGGTCTCGATCTCCTGACCTCATGGTCTGCCTGCCTTGGCCTCCCAAAGTGCTGGGATTATAGCCGTGAGACACCGTGCCCGGCCCTGCAGTTTCTTAATAACCAATGACATTGAGCATCTTCTTATATGCTTGTTGACCATTTGTGTATCTTCCTTGGAGAAATGTCTATTCTTTTATCCATTTTAAAAATTAGATTGTCTCTTTGTTGTTGAGTTGTAAAAGTTCTTTATATATTCTGGATATTAAACCTTTAGTCAAACCCAAAGAGATATAAAGCAGATTAGAGTTTACCAGAGTATAAGGGGAGGGGAGTGGGGAATAATTACTTAATGAATTTATGGTATTCAATGGATGATAAAAAAGTTTTGAAACTGAAGAGAGCCCCTGGTTGCATATCATTATAAATATGCCAACTATCACTGACTTGTATACTTTAAAAGGCTAATTATATGCTATGCGAATTTCACCTCAATAAAACTTTTCATGTAAAATGAAAATAAAAATCTCTGAAAGATGGGAGAGGGTTAAATAAATCATCAAGGAGATTTGCACATGTTGAATTTTCTTATATGATGAAATAATTTTTTGATACATTGATTTATCTTATTTCCTTATTATTCCTTGGGCAGAAAAATTTGCTTACCATTACAGTTCACTTCGGCCCTACCTTTAGGGACCACAGACGTATGCACATTCTTTCTTTTCTGTCTGCAAAACTTCTGTTCATTCTTCAAAGTTTAGCTTGAATCACTCTGGAAAGCAATCTCTGACTAGCTTCTACAGATTGTTCATAAGCTCTTCAGAATTAAATAAGTTGATTTCAGTTTTGTATCATGTTCAGTAGTCAGAATAATTGATGTTAGCTGATGCAACAGAAAAACTTGAAATCTTAGTGTTTCAGTCCAACCAAGGTTTATTACTCACTCTATTTACATCTGATACAGTTTCCAAAAAAAGATGAATTGATAGAAGGACATATTTTTGTCTAACGTGTGTGAAAATGACTTTTCTCAGAGTGGAAACCTCGAGGGCTGGGGCTGCAGAAGTATTCTGTGCCTTAGGCAGAAAAAGATTTCATGAGTGGATGCTGGGTGGGGGATGGCTTCTGTTCAGAATAAAACAAGAATGGGAAGGTCATGAGAGTCAAACACCAACAGAGATAGAGAGCTGGATGAATAGTCCTCAAAAGAAGCCTCTCCAAACACCAGAAACAGGTGTAGCCCACAGTAACTTCTTTGGGTCTTCATTTCATAGCCTCAAGGTTTTCAGATTTCCATTGTTAGAAACCATCCACCCCCTCATTCACCTGCCAAAAGAAACCTCCTATAACAATTTCCTGGGAGTTCTTTTCCTGTACTCAATTTATAATGCTGTAGCAGAAATTGCTTTGGCCTAGGTAGAAACGAGCAGGTCTGGGTCTCGGCTTTCACTTACTAGTTGTTTTTCAGTTTCTCATATGGAAGATGAGAGTGTGGCTTATTTTAGCTCTCAATTTTCTTTCACATTTTCATTCATTCATTAATTCACTTGTTTGTTCATCAAATGTTTACTGAAAATGTATACAAGTCACCTTATTACTTGCCAGATACACATAATCCTGTTTTTGTAGAATAATGCATACACTAGCAGGATAGGTGGAAAATTTTTTTTTTTTTTTGATTTGGAGTCTCACTGTATTGCCCAGGCCGGAGTGCAGCGGTGTAACCTTGGCTCATTGCAAACTCCACCTCCTGGGTCCAAGTGATTCTCGTGCCCTGGACTCGCCAGTAGCTGGAATTACAGGCGCCCGCCACCACGCCTGGCTAATTTTTGTATTTTTAGTAGAGACGGGGTTTCATCATGTTGGCCAGGCTGGTCTCAAACTCCTGACCTCAGGTGATATGTCTGCCTTGGCCTCCCAAAGTGCTAGGATTACAGGCGTAAGCCACCATGCCTGACAGGTAGATAATTTTTAAAGCAACTTTAGTGCTGCGAAATAAAGATGAGTAGCTTGTAGTATGGATAAGCAGAGAAAATATAATCTCCTTTAAGGTGATGGTCTGGACGAGGAAAGTCTATAGCATTGAGTTGAGTTGGTTTGGGAAGGTCACAGTGAAAGAATAGTCTAATATTTCTTGCACATGATAAACAAGCCTTGGAATTAAGAGATGATATGGCAACTTAAAGAAAGTAAAAGGATGTCAGTGTGGCTGGGGATAGTGACAGTGGCAAAGAGCTTAAAGAACCAAAGAGGAGCCTGGGCGAGATAGCTCACGCCTATAATCCCAGCACTTTGAGAGGCTGAGGTGGGTAGATCACCTGAGGTCAGGAGTTCAAGACTACCCTGGCCAACATGGTGAAGCTCCGTCTCTACTAAAAATACAAAAATTATCCAGGCATGGTGGTGGGCACCTGTAATCCCACCTACCTGGGAGGCTGAGGCAGGAGAATGGCTTGAACCCAGGAGGCAGAGGTTGAAGTGAGCTGAGATTGCGCCATTGCACTCCAGTCTAGGCAACAGAGCAAGGATCCATCTCAAAAAAAGAAAAGAAAAAAAAGAAAGAACCAAAGAGGAATTGGGTCATCAAAAGTCTCACGTGCTGTATTAAGATTCTGCAATATTCAGGTCTCTATTTATTGCTGGTCCACCCCACTCCCTAGCTGTCTGAGTTTTCTTATACTCAGGGAATGAGAGATGGAAGCCCATCCCATTACTAGAACCCAGTGTCTTTCACATCCTTTATTTACTTCCAAATGTCTCTGGCAATTGCAGTGTCTGTGCTCAGTCCAACTCTCCTGGCAGAAGATGGAAACACACTCACATCTTCCAGCCTGGGCTCAGAACATGCCTTCTTCCCTTCAGAGAGACTTGCTCCTTGAGATATCTAATTTTACAGATCATGGTTTTGGAGAAGAAAACATGTCACCCCAGGAGTGAGTGGGAAATTACTCAGTTCTGGAGAGAGGGAAATGTCAAGACAGATGGGTCAGGCTTCCAACTGGGATCCTGAGCAGCTCACCAGAGAGCCAGGAAATCCAGCACCTTCTTCTCTCCAGCCTGTCTCAATGTCGTGCAGATTTGGAAGCTGGCAAACTCACCACTGGGATCTTTCTCACCTTTGAGCCATTTTTTCCTGCTGCTTCTTCTGTCTGGCCCTTCTACTTCATTACCCTGGATAAGTCTTGCATACCCCCAGCATAAATGCCTCTTCCCTGGAATCTCCCTTCAACATAATGGTGGGTTAGGTGACCTTAGTCTGTGTTTTCACAGCATATTTTAATACAACTTTATCAAAACACTGATCATCCTGTTTGTCATTATTATTTTTATTTGTTTCATATTTTTCTCCTGTGAAACCTGATGAGGGCAGGGTACATAAGTATTTTTTTTTCCACAGGACCTAGGATAGCATGACACATAAATCATAAGACAAGGTTTGGCTGTTTGTCCCCTTCAAATCTCACGTTGAAATGTAATCCCCAGGGTTGCAGATGGACCTGGTGGGTGGTGTTTGGGTCATGAGAGCAGATCTGTCATAAATGTCTTGGTGCTGTCCTCTTGGTATTATTAAGTTCTCAAGCTATAAATGCACACGAAAGCTGCTTGTAAAAAGGGAGCCACATGCTTAACATCCCTCATTCTCTCTCTTGTTCCTACTCATGCCATGTGACACACCTGCTCGCCCTTCACATTCTTTCACAAATAAAAGCTTTCTGAGGGCTCACCAGAAAGTAAGCAGATGCTGGTGCCATGCTTGTACAGTCTGCAGACCCATGAACCAAATAAATCTCTTTTCTTTATAAATTACCCAGTCGCATTTCTTTTTCGTAATGCAAAATGAACTAACACATCGTGCTAAGTAATTTTTGTTGAATGAATGAACAGTCCTGGGCCCCTGCAGTCTCCCCTTGTTAAGCCTTTTACCATAAATCATTCTTCTTTTTTAAGGCCCCGATGCCTGGAATAATCAAACATCAAGACTAGATGAGACCTTGTGATAATAAGTTAGTGATTCCCAAGTTTGGTTGGTGAGAATGCTTCCTTTGTGAGGAAGAGCCTATCAGAATCAGTGTATATGTGAGAGCAGAGAAAATATGTAGTTTAAATAGACGTAGGGTATGCTTTCTTGAATAGGACAGAGAAAGAGAAATTACAGGTAGCTCCATAGGAATTGTACATAACCTGCTACTTGTAGGATCCTTGCAGTCTATACGTCATGCCAAAGAGGAACTAAGAGATTAAAGATTCCAGTAAAGTCTAAACTTCCATTAGTATCGTCTAACCTTTCATCAGACCTTGACATCTTAATACAGCATTGGCAAACGAACAGCCAAGTGGTCTCTGCTTAAACACCTATCCTAAAGGGGAATTCCCTACTGTCCAAGGCAACTCATCACTTAGACCAGGGACTTTTGACCTCAGCACCATTGATGGGTGGGATACAATTTATTGCAAGGGAATGCACCATGCTTCCTGGGATGCAAAGCAGCATCCCTGGCCTCTCCTCTCTAAATTCTAGTAACATCACTATCTCAAGTTGTGACAATTAAAATTGTCTTCAGATATTGCTCAATGTCCCCTGAGAGGCAAAACTGCCCTTGATAGAGAATCACCGACTTAGAACCAGGCTGTCAATAGAATGTGGGCTTCATTAGAGTGTACATCTATTGATTTTACTCTCCTGTGATCCATTTTCTTTTCTTTAAGTAAAAAACAAACCAAAAAAACCAAACCAAACAAAAAACATGACTCTGTTTTTCCTTCTGGAACTATTTCTCCCCTGTTCCCCCAGGATATTTGGTTTAAGTGGGGTTGACTACACAAATGAGAATTGGTTCTGAGAACTGTCTTTGAAACATTAGAGGACAGAATTCCTTTTCCTAATGGAGGTTCAGAGAAGACAGTAGATCTGGAACTACTGGAAACTATCTCGTCAACATAAAGAAAATATCTACCTAAAATGGGCCTAATAAAGAGGAAAACAGGGTAGACATTGTCAGATTCTTGAAGATATTGTCTGAGTCTTTGAATTAAGCTTGGTTCAAAGTTGAATTATCCCTGAGCTTTTTAGTTACATGAACAAAGAATCCCTTTCAGCCACAGTTAGTTTTAGTTGCATTTCTATCAGTTGCAACTGGAAAAAGATGTGATTTTTCACATGTATTTTTCAACTCCTTGTTCTTTCTCTGAGTAAAAAAAACATGAATTCGCTCTCTTTCTCACAATCAAACTTTGCCAGTTTTTGAAGGTGTTGAGACAGGTGAATTTGCCAAGGTCTGAGCTCACTGACCCCTAGGCTTCCACCTTGTGTGTCTCCATTTTCCTTAATTCTCCCACAGCAATCTTTGGGAAGGATAGAGCTGCTGCTCATGACCAATTTCTGTTTAACAGCCTTTGATAGCTCTAATTCCCTATAAGATATGCCCTCATTCCACAGTCTGGAGGTCAGGACCTTTACAACCTGGCCTCAGAAGACACCTGCAGCCTCAGTGTTATCTGTGCAGTGCTTTGCTATGAGATCCCCACGGCATCTCTGAGACTGCAGCATCCAGCCAAGGGCCAGGCATAATGCAAGCCTACAGTGAATGTGTGCCTAGATGAACAAATTAGAAGGATGTTGTCCAAAAGACCACCAGTGTGGCTAAATAGAAGAAAGGAGAGCTTTATTGATGATATCAGTTTGCAAACCAGGAAGAGACAATCTCCAGTCTCTTTCTTCCAAGGGGAAGGGCAGGTTGGGTTTTAATGTCTCACAGGGTCTGTATTACACAAAAGAGTTCTACATATTCAGCAGACTTGGGGGAGAAGCTATAGGTATTTATGAGAGGAGTTGAGCGCATGTGCAGTGAGTAAACGTATACATAATATACATCCCATATTCACTTTGGCATGGGGTTTTAGTATAAAAGTGAGGTTAAATTTGGCCCATTATGTCAAAAGGTGAACTACAGGACACAAAGATAGTTTGTGCACAGCCTGTATAAGCTGCTGAAACTGGCTTAAGGTCTGCAGTTGCTTATCAGAAAAGAATGTTTAAAAGGCCGATCCTCTGTCCAATCAGAGTCACAGTGGTCTGGGCTATAAATCAGAGTTAAGAGGGGTCTGATAATGTGCCTGATAGGTCTGATTATTAGGGAGTTCCGCGAGAGTGTGGTTTTTCTTGTTACCAAAGGAATTTAGAAATTTGCCATGCCCGCCAAGTCCTGAACCCTCTAGCTGTAGGGAACTTTTTGTTTCCTTAACCTCAGGGTTTGTCTTAGTTGATAAATGGGAGTCTATTTTGGTCGCTCAGATCACAAGGACCACAACATTCCTGCTCACTGTGAGAAAGCTTCTTCTCTACAGACAGGTCATCAGCTCCCTGCCTTTGCTGAATGCATGGCCCCTGTGAGATACTGAGTCGAAACAAAGCTGGCAATTCCCTTGCCTGACACTTGTCCAAGAGCCTGTCTTCGTGAGGGTGAAGGAGCCCCCCATGGCCCCTGCCCTGGTAAAGACCATCTGACGTCCAGCCTAGGATGAAAACTCTAGTCCTGACAGCTCAGCCAGCACCTCTGGGCCCTAAAATATCCTGTGACAAACTCATCTACAGGATTTACCACTCAACCTTGTGATTATTTTATTATCTTTCTGTCTCAGGCATTAAATTTGCCCTCCCCGAAGGAAGTGCACATAGCTTATTATTTTCTGTTTAGTGCCTAGGTCAGTGTATGGAACACAGCTGAAATGAACTCATTTGTACAATTAAAAAATAACTAAAGGATGAGAACATAAAAGTTGGTAATAATAAAGAATACAAATTTTGGATATAATCAGACTTGGATTCAAGTCCTGACTATTTGACTTACCAGCTGTGTCACTGTAGATATGTTTCTTAGCTCCTCAGATTCTATTTCTCTGCTTTTAAATGGGAATGTGTATCTTGCAGATCTGTTATGAGGAAAGATATATCTCACACAAGCGTACTACTAGCTGTTTTCGTGATGTTTCTCATTTAAATCTTATCTCCCTCCCTTATCCTCTCTCACAAGGGCAAATGTTCAAATTCTCATTTTACAGGAGAAAAAGTCTAAGAGAGCTTCAGCACACAAAAGTAAGAGGAAACCAAAATTTACTCACCAAGCAGGTGGAAGAGTCGGTATGAGTGCAGGATAATCAACCAAAGAAGAGGGACCTGCCTGCCCAACAGAATTTCCTAAAGTAGCGTGCTCATGTCTCTGTAGGTAGATAAGCCGATTTAATGATGATCCTTTTTATTGCAGTAATTATGTTTGTTTTAACGCATTTTAGAAAAAAATACATAACCAACGTGTTGAACTTGTGACTTGTGGATCTTGAGCTTAGTATGAGACTAAGAAAGGTATGTGACTAAGCAGGAAACAAAAAGGCTGTTCAGAGTTAAGAAAAAATATAAGCATATTATAGCAGTTGAATTAGATGGTTAGGAGGCAGGTTCTCCTTATAGGGTTTGGCTCTGTGTTCCCACCCAAATCTCACCTTGAATTGTAATTGTAATAATGTCCATGTGTTGTAGGAGGGACCCAGTGGGAGGTAATTGAATCATGGGGGTGGGTTTTTCCCATGCTGTTCTTGTGATAGTGAATAAGTCTCACAAGATCTAATGGTTTCATAAAGGGGAGTCCCCTACACATGCCCTCTTGCCTGCCACCATCTAAGACGTCCCTCTGCTCCTCATCTTCCACCATGATTGTGAGGCCTCCCCAGCCATGTGGAACTGTGAGTCCATTAAGCCTCTTTCCTTTAAAAATTATCTAGTCTCGGGTATGTCTTTATTAGCAGCATGAGAATGGACTAATGCACTCACCAACCCCTAATCATTCACTCTACTTATCAGCCCTGCGACCTTAGATAAGTCACTTAAACTATCTGTGCCACTAGTCTTCCCATTTGAGAAATAGGGGTAGTAGCATTTTGCCATATAAGATTGTGAGTGAAGATACGATGAGTTAATACATGGTAAATAGTTACGTGTTCAATAAGTGGCATTATATTATTATTTCATAGCACAGATAGTGTATAATGTCCAATCATGACTGTGGTATGTAAGAAATAACTGAAGTTTGGGAAGGATTCTATATCCTTGCAACACTTGGGATGAAGAAAAATAGTAGGAATGAGAATAAAGATGAGCGTAACATATCCAGGCCATGCAAAGAATTGGATATCCCAATATTGAAGAAGACACACGGCATCCTCTTAAATACTTAGTGAGTGTCCTCTGGCAGAAGGAGGTATTAACTTCATAAAAGCGTGCCAATAGGCTGAGTACAGTGGCTCATGCGTGTAATCCTAGCACTTTGGGAGGGCAAGGTGGACAGATGGCTTGAACTCACAAGTTTGACACCAGCCTGGGCAACATAGTGAGACCCTGTCTCTACAAAAAATACAAAAACTTGCCTGGCATGGCGGTGCGTGCCTGTAGTCCCAGCTGCTCAGGAGGCTGAGTGGGAGGATCACCTGGGCCCAGTGAGGTTGAAGCTGCAGTGAGCTGTGATTGTGCCACTATATTCAGCCTAGGGTAACAGAGTGAGACCCTGCCAAAAAAAAAAAAAAAAAGCATGCCAGTAAAGCATTTCCATGGGTCTCAGGTGTCTGCAAAGTTCTCTGCATGGAGAAAACCTGGCTGAGCTCTGCCCCAAACCTTTTATGGCTTTATTCATGTATACTAGATTATGAGCTTTGGCCAGACATACAGGAGGTCCTGCACCAGCTCTGCCCTTGCTCACATTTTGAGTTATTTAACTTGTCTTTACTGCAGTTTCTAGATTTGTAAACAGTAGTTAATCATTGTACCTACCGCATTGGGCCTAAAAAGACCTAAGACGAATTTAACATAAAGCCTGTTGTATGTTAGTAAGCCTTGGGTAAGCCCTATTTGTTATGGCTATTGTGGTTTTTATCATCATCAACATTAGGAGAAGATAAGCTGTAACACACCGTATTTAAAAAGGATTCTTTCTCAATGGAATCCAAAGAAATCCATTGAAACAAATGAGTACCACACATACTGCATATGTCTACCAAAATACATTTTATAAAACATACAAATTAGTCTGTTGTTGTTGAGATGGTAAATAAAGGGGCATACACTCAGACTCTTGGTGTCAATAGAAATTGAGACTCTCCTTTCAGAAAGTGAACTTTAAAAACATTACATATATGATTATACACACACGCACACGTATACACACACAAACACACAACATCCTTACTGATTAATCTCAGTCCTAAAAAAAATTCTAGAAATAATTTAAGAAAATAAAATCAAACTATACGCCAAGGATATTACTACAATGTTATCTTTACTAGCCAAATGTTGCTTTGCAAATTCTCCTCACTTAGGGGAGTGTTTATGAAATTATGGTACAGAAATTGGAGGCAACAATGAGTATATTTGTAAATAGTAAGTATGTGGATCTCAGAAAAATATTTAAAATGTTTAGACGTAATGATAAATAATAAAATTTTATAAAATTCCTTTGCCCTACGATTGCCACTCTGATAAAATACCTCTGCTTATGGACAAAGATGGGATGCAAGTACCCCAAGGTTGAAATAGTTGGCTATGATGGGGGGATTATAAGTGCTGCTTTTTGAGATTTTTGTGACTTTGATTGTGTAGTTTAATCAGGCCACTATGGCAACAACAGAAGAGAGGAAAGCAGGGCAACGATGTGTGATATCTTCAGTTGTAAGCAAAAGAAAAGTTACCAAGGCTAGTTTAAACAGAGAAAGAATGTATGAAGGATTCTTGATAATTCTAACTCCAGGGGACCAGAAAAAAAATACCAAATTACTCTAGTAATTTGTGGTTATTTGATATTTTCATTGACACCCCTGACTGGCCAAGTGCAGCTGGCATGCTCATACCCTAGCAGCTAAGTAGGCTGAGAAAGCAGCTTTCAGGGTGGGAAGCGGACTGTCCTGCCTAAGAAGAGGAAATCTCCCCAAAGCAGGAACTTAGCTCAGATCAAAAGTGGTCAAACAGTAGCAGTGACAGTACCCACAGCAGTAGCAGTGCCAGTACCCACAGCAGTAGCAGTATTTGTAGCCACCTTTGTAACAATAGTATAGAAGTAGCAGCTATAGTAGCAATAGTAGTTGTAATACTAGCAGTTGTAGTCCCAATAGTAAGAGAGGCAGTAGCTATAGTAATAACAGCATCAGGAGTAGTTGTCATAGTACCAGTAGTAATAGTCATAGTAGCAGTAGTAGTAATAGCAGCAGAAGTAGTTGTCATCATAGTACCAGTAGTAATAGCAAGAGTAGCAGTAGTAATAAGAGCCACAGAAATAGTTGTCATCATAGTACCACTAGTAAGAGTGGCAGTAGCTATAGTAATAATAGCAGCAATAGTAGTCGTTGTCATAGTACCAATAGTAGCAGCGGTAGTAGCAGTAGTAATAATAGCAGCAGGAGTAGTTTGTTGTTGTAGTACCAGTAATAATGGTAGTAGCAGTAGTAATAATAGCAGCAGGAGTAGTTGTCATAGTACCAGTAGTGAGAGCAGCAATAGCCATAGAAATAACAGCAGCAATAGTAGTTGTCATCATAGTGCCAGTAGTAATAACAGTATAGTAGCGGTAGTAATAATAGCAGCAATAGTGGTTGTCATCATAGTACCAGTAGTAATAGCAGTAGTAGCGGTAGTAATAATAGCAGCAGCAGTAGTTGTCATCATAGTATCAGTTGTAATAACAGTAGTAGCAGTAGCAATAATACCAGCAGGAGTAGTTGTGGTTGTAGTACCAGTAGTAATAGTGGCAATAGCAGTAGTAATAATAGCAGCAGGAGTAGTTGTCATCATAGAACCAGTAGTAAAAGTGGCAGTAGCCATAGTAATAATAGCAGCAAGAGTAGTTGTCGTAGTACCAGTAGTACCAGTGTTAGTAGGAGTAGTAATAATAGCAGTAGGAGTAGTTGTGCTTATAGTACAAGTAGTAATAATGGCAGTAGCAGAAGTAATAATAGCAGCAGGAGTAATTATAGCCATAGTGCCAGTAGTAATAGTGATAGCAGAATTAGTAATAATGGCAGCAGTAGTAGATGTCGTCACAGTTCCAGTAGTAATAATGGTAGTAACAGTAGTCATAATAGCAGCAGGAAGAGTTGTCATCATAATACCAGTAGTAATAGTGGCAGTAGCAACAGGAGTAATAGCAGCAAGAGTAGTTGTCATCATAGTACCAGCAGTAAGAGCAGCACTAGCCATAGTAATAATAACAGCAGTAGTAGTTGTCATCATAGTACCAGTAGTACAGTGGTAGTTGCAGTAGTAATAATAGCAGTGGTAGTGGTAGCAATAGCAGTTGTGGTAGTAGCAGCAGTAGTAATTGTAGAAGTGGGAGCAGCTCTTGCAGCAACCGTAGCAATGATGACAGCAATGTCAGCAGTCGACACTTGCACTACACCTATTGCCTAAGCTTTTTATACACAGCAATTTCTTATCCTCTCCACTACCCAAGGGCAGGGCTTTTTGTCCTGCTTCTTTTGTTGTGGTATTTCCAGAGCCCAGAACTACATCTTGGACATGGGATATGTGCAGTACATATGTTTTTTAAATGAATAATTCAATGAGGTGGATACCATTGTTATCCTCAGTTTACAGAGGAGGAAACTGAGGCAGCTTTACTTTAAGTAGCTTAAGTGAAGAAACCATAATTAGGACCCAGGGCATGGGTGCCCAGATTTATGTGCTAAATCACCATAAAAAACAACAAACAAACACTGGGGAAATATTCGCTATGAGGGTTACAATCAGAGACAGAGATCCATCCAGATTGGCTAAAATAAAATTAAAATTCAGGTGCTTCAATGAGCCAAACATAAAAGGGCAAATTTCAGGAAGAAGGGGCTGAGCTGGATGTGGAAGCAGGTCTCCCTGCTTCCTCAGCCATGACATATCCTCTTCAGTGAGAGCAGTGACCGGAGCTCGTTGCTAGGGGAACTGGAGAGGAAAACAACTCACTTTTCCCCAAGGCCCAGAGTATATCAGAGAGGTTGCATTTTAGATGGTAATCCAGCCAAAATAGAAACTGAGGTTTCTGACATATTAAATGCTTTCCTTGACATCATCTCACTTAATTCTCAGAAGAAAAGGTGGTTATGCCCTTTTTTTCACTTTCCAGATGAGGAAACAGAGACAGAGAGCATAATGTATGAATTCAAGATTACACAAAAAAGGTATAAGGCTTGAGCCTGAACTCAGAAATTCTGCTTATAATCTTAAACAATGGGGGACAACTGACTTCTTTTAGCATCTGATGGAAACTACAGACCATCTTCACAGATTAACTTTCCTCTCTTCTCTCCTCTTCTCCTCCTTCCCCTGCCCTTCTCTTTGATTTTGGTTCCTGAGACCCCTTAAGCCCAGCTGATGAACCTCTTGCTCTAAACCACTTTATGAAAAAGCCTCAAAAGAGAACATTAGATAAATTAGCTCATTTTCCTTTGGGAGGTCTCATTTTCCTACGTGTTAAATAAAGAGAGAAATATCATCGTGTTTTGGTGATCCCTGACATCCTCATGACCAGGAGAAATCATCACAGTGCCTGGAAATGCTGTCTCTTGAGGTGACTAGAAATTATTTAGACATGGATTCCAACAGCTAGTTGGAGACAGGAGATCTATGTTCTGTTCCCCCCACCTCCAGCATTAAAAGGTCATTATAAGAATTTGGACTGTATAATGCCTATCTGGATAATGGACCCACAGAATCAAGGTCCTGAGACACACATCACAAGTAAAGATGATGAACCCGTTATTGAATTAGAAAACTAGGAAAGGGTGGAACGGAGAGTGGTAGGTAGAAAGGGATGAAGAGAGACAATTTGGATGAATTACAAGATGGTTGATTAGTAAGGGTCAGCTGCTATAATCCAGAGACCACACATTACAGTGACTGAACCAAAATTGAGGTTTTTCTTTTCTGTTTGTCGAAAACAGTCCAGCGTTAGCCAGGTGGTAGAGAAATTGAGCAGGTGGTTCTGCCAACCTCATGAGGCTTCTGCTTGTGGTTTGAATCAGTTGACCCATTTCTTTCTTTCTCCAGCTAGTCGGGAGGGAATAAGAGACCTGAGGAGTCCCTAAGCCTAGCATTGGTTAGGTTATAATCACATGACCACACATAGCCACAGGGGAGGCTTTGAAATGTGTCCAGCTGAAATGGTATTACTCAGTGGGCAGGGTGGGTAGAGGGGAACAATTGGCAGTCTACTATAAAGAGGAAGAGAAGGCAATGCTTAAAGCTGGAATTTCATGAAGTGTGTGTTCAGGGTCTTTTTATAGGGACCAGGAGTGAGAGTCCAATCATTCCAACAGCACTTAAAGTTAAAGTAGCCTAGGTTAGAATCTTACTTGACAGTAATAGAAGTCAATAGTTAAGCACCCCACCTCCTTCTGGTATTGTAATGGAAGACCTTAATCAGGAAACTTGAGTTCTGGTCCCAGCTCTACCATTACATCCCCCAAATTTGGACCCAGCTGTACTGAACATCTGTTTTTGTAGTTGTTTTCTTGATCTACAACTTCCTGCCTTTCTCTGGTAGCCCACGTTTTTCCTCTGAGAACTAGTCACACTTTGTTTAATGATATGCTGCACAAACCTTTGGATCCAGATTTGAGCATGTAGTTTAACCCTGGCTAATCAGACCATTTCTCCAGCACGGTGATTGATTCAGGGACAGGCATATAGCTTGAGACAGGCAGACCAATGAGAACTAGTCCTGAGGATTTCTATAGAATTGCTCTCATTCTTTCAGGGTTACTAAGAAGATAAAATGCAAACCCCGAGTTATTAGTGGCCATTTTTCACCACTATAGAGGAGTGCCCACCTAGAAATGAAGCAGGGCTGAGAAATAAAGAGAGATTGTAGATGACATTATTCAGAGCTCCTGGATCCAACTATGCCTGAAGCCATTCATCCTGAAATTCATTTAATGAGCAATGAGCAACAAATCCCTGTTTTGACTTTTTCCAGTATGAATTAAGAACTTGAAATGAGAACAATTCTAATACATCACATCCCAAGTCTCCTGATTTTCCTCCTATACTGGGGGGTCTCAAATTTGTTTGTGCAGTGGAATATCTAGGGAAATTCATAAAAAATACAGATTCCCTAAACAAATTTAGTTCAGTCAATCTGAGGAAAGACCAGCAATATTCCAAGGCTTCCAATAGGAAAGCTTCCCAGAAGTTTGTAGCAGGCAGTTCAATTTGGGAACAGCAATTACTGCATGCTGCCTACCAATGTGATTAATGCTGTATGGTTTTGGAAAATCACTGACCTCTTCATGTCACTTTCTCTTTATTTAGAAAAAATCGGATGATATTTAAGTGGCCTTCCTGCTTAAAAGTCTCCCATAGTGACAGTTTCTCTGTCACAGCCCCTTCTTTCCTGTTCCAAGTTCTAATTGTTCCAACCCACACACACACACAGGCACACACTTTCCCATTGTGAGCAGGCACCTCTGAGGCCCTGGCCCATTTTCCACAGCACACTCTCGCCTTCATTGCAAGCACTGACAGGTGCGAGCTGAGAAAGATACAGGCCCCGTTTGAAGCCTCATGATAAGAGAAGCTGGGAGATGGGCTGAGAAGAAGAAACAGAAATATTGATCTCAACAGGCTGACAGGTTTTACTGAAGGTTCCAATGGTAGGAAAGGGTGAGCCCAGACTGAAAAGTTTACACTTCCTCAGTGCAATATTCAACTGCAGCAGTATCTTGATTATAACATTTTCTTGTGCTCACCATATCCCAGAATTCTATACTCCTTATCCTCTTTCTGATATGGGCAACCTTTGAAGTCGGAGGGGCTTGCTGCTTCTTGAACATGCAGTGTTCTTTCATGTCTCTGCCCTCACCTGGCCGGCTCTGCTGCCTGAACTTCCTGCTTCCTTCTGAGGCTTATGAATGACTGCCCACCCCCAGCTCAAGACCCAGGTCAAGCCAACTGTGTCTGTGAACCTTGTTGGATTGCCCCAGGCAGAGCTGTCAGCCCTTCCTTCTGCTGGGCTTCAAAAGCGTGGTGTAGGCTTAGTGACTACTATACTCTGTGTTATAATTATTTGTTCACATGTCTCCCCGACTAAGAGAGGGCAGATACTGCATTCCCAGAATGAAGTCGGAGCTCATTAATTTCTTATTGAATGAATGAACAGAAGAACTGAACAGAGGTGAAGTAAATAGGAAGAAATCTTTATTATAGTCACTTGATTGTGGGCTTAAAATGTGCTGGTGAGCCGGGCGCAGTGGCTCGCCCCTGTAATGCCAGCACTTTGAGAGGCCGAGATGGAAGGATCTCTTGAGTCCAGGAGTTCGAGACCAGCCTGGTCAACACTGTGAGACCCCCCCACTGTACAAAAAAAGTATAAAAGTTAGCTGGGTGTGGTGGCTTGGACCTACCGTCCTGGCTACTCAGGAGAATTAGGTAGCAGAATTACTTGAACCTAAGAATCTGAGGCTGCAGTGAGCTAGGACAATGCCACTGCACTCCAGCCTGGGTGATAGAGAGAGACCCCAACTCCTAAAAACAAAGGTGTTTGTGGAAATCTGTTTAAAATGTGTTAACATGCATAGACATCAAAAAGTATAATTTAATTTTACATAGTCATTATTGTTTTTTTTTGAGATGGGGTCTCACTATGTTGCTCAGGCTGATCTCAGCCTCTCAATCAGCTCAGTCTCCCGAGTAGCTGGGATTACAAACCTGTGCCACTGCACCAGGCTTCGCAGCCATCATTTTGAGCATCCAGTAGAAAAAATGGTTCTCACTCTGGAGTTCATGTCAGAATGACCTGGGGACTGGTCAACACAGATTCCTTCACCCCACCCCAGAGATTCTCATGTAGTAGATGGAGAATTTGCATTTCTGACAAGTTTCCAGGTGAGGCTGATGCTATGGTCTGGCGGTCACACTTCCAGACCTGCAGCTATCCTAGAGTCTAATCCTCTAGTTCAGCAGGATCATTAAAATGGGTAGGATTGTTGTCCCTGCACCCATTTTCTCCACTGCACCTAGTCTATTGAATTCCTCTGCTGGCTTCTCATAATGCAGTTGCAGATTCCTCTGTGACATTGAGAACTGTGTTCTTTCCATCACAAAGTGACTCCTCGCCGTGACGCTGCATTGCATGATGCAGGAAAGTGAGGGGATTTGGGCTGTAGTTGATGAGGAAAATTTACCGTAAGAGGCTAGAACTGGCACTTTTGGAGCCTGTGAGAACTAAGCCAGAGGAGTAGCCAGGGAAATGAGATCAATAAGAAGGAAAATATTAAAAGGGGTGTGAGAAGCAAGTTGAAAATTAAGAATTTTTTTTTTTTAATTTTAATTTTAAGTTCTGGGTACATGTGCAGGATGTGCAGGTTTGTTACATGGGTAAATGTGTGCCACGGTGGTTTGCTGCATCTATCAACTAATCACCTGGTTATTAAGCCCCGCAAGCATTAGCTATTTTTCCTAATGTTCTCCCTCCTACTACCCCACCCTCCAACAGGTCCCAGTGTGTGTTGTTCCCCTCCCTGTGTCCATGTGTTCTCATTGTTCAGCTCCCACTTATAAGTGAGGACACGTGGTGTTTAGTTTTCTATTCCTGTATTAGTTGCTGAGGATAATGGCTTCCAGCTCCATCCATGTCCCTGAAAAGGACATGATCTCATTCCTTTTTATGGCTACATAGTATTTCATTTGGACTATAGCAAGACAGATTGAACCTCTAGGATGTTCCTTGAACCAGTGGTTCTTGCCCATGGTTGTCCATTAGAATAACCAGGGGAACCTCTATGACAAGCCTATGCCCTGGCCCCACTCCAGACCAATGGCATCAGATTCACTGGGGCCTGGAGCTCAGGTATTGTTATGTTTTAAAGTTCCCCAGGTGATTCTGCTGGGGAGCTGAAATTGAAACTCTCTTCTAGGGCCCCTTTATTTCCCCAGGACTTAAGATTTTAATCCTTGGCCTCGGACACTGTTTAGTTGCATGCTTTAGCTATACCTGCTGTCCTCTTGCCATTCTGCTCACCATAGGGCTTCATCTGCATGGGAGAGCTAAGCCGGGGAACAATGACCTCTCCTTGCATGGGCTGTCTTGCTTTATAGATGGGCTCTTGATGGAAACTAGAAACATGGAGAGAAGCTATCTACTTGACCTTTCCTCACAAAAGCAACCAGATCAGCCTATTCCTTTGTCACCATCTACCACTTTAGCCCATTTTACTTCCAAAATAACATTACTCTCTCAACGTCGTATATATTTGTGTGTTTACTTATGAAACATACACCTCTTTCCACTAGAATGTAAGCTGTATAAGGGCAGACCTTCTCTGTCTTTTGCACCACTGTCTTGGTCTACAGCCTGGGTGGCTCAAACAGGATACTTATTTTCTTGCAGTTCTGGAGCCTGGAAGTCCATGATTAGGGGGCCGGCTTTGTTATGTCAGGGTGAAGGCTCTTTTTCTGGCTTGTGAAATAGATAGCTGCCATCTCCATGTGTGCTTACATGCCTCTTCTTTGTGTGTATGTGAAGAGAGAGAGAGAGAGGGACAGAGACAGAGAGAGTGCAGGCTCTCTTGTGTCTCTTTTATTCTAAGAGCACTCAGTCCGTTGGACCAGGGTCTTGCCCTCATGATCTGTTTATCTCCCAAAGAACTCACTCCAAACACCATTACATTGGGAGTTAGAGCATCAACGTATGAATTTTGGGGGTATACAGACTTTCAGTCCCTAACAACAACCTGGGGTCCATTCCCCAGGACCCAGCACAGTGCCTGACATATAGTAGGTACTGAACACCTATCTGTTGAAAGAATTAATTCAGGAATTCCAGAGCTGACCTTACTCACAGAGTCTTGTGAGCAAACAGAGCCTCGGTTCTTTCAGAGAAAACCAAAAATTGAAGATTCAACTAAAATGTTATTTTTTTTCTCCTTTGCCTCTCCTTCACATCTCCTTCATAATGGATACAGCTCAGCCTCCTCCATGCTGAATGCTAAAAAGGGTGGCCAATGGTGGATAGTCTACCTTGACTTTCTGAATCCTGGTTTCCACAATGTTTTGTCTTGCAAGTGCTTCCTTCCCACCCACACAGCAGTTCTGGAGAGGAACAGCAGGTTTTGAAAGGCTTCTTTTATTTTACATCCATTTGCCAAACATGAAAAAAAATGTAAAAGGAGAAGGGAGGCATAACAGAGTAAGATGTGTGTGTGTGTGTGTGTGTGTGTGTGTGTGTGTGAGTGTGTGTGTGTAAGCTTATGAATGTTTGTGCAAACTGTATAAGAAAGAGAGGGCGGTTTTTATAAATGGAAGACTCAATTATTTAAAGTCTAGTTCACTGTAGGCACTCAAAGTGCTTTTATTGGATGAATGAATGAATGAATGAATGAATGAAAATAAGACAAATGAAGGGAGAAACTGATTTGGAGAAAGAAGTGCCAGACATTTACAATGGAGTCAATAGGCAAGAGGAAAAAAGGGGGGAAATTACAGATGAATTAGAAGTTCTTAAAGAATATCCCATCTGAGAGAGCAAGATAGATGAAAGGAAAGGAGAGGGTCAGTACTAGATTTCTGCTGTACCAATAAGCTGGTCACTGCCCTAACCCCTTTTCTTTCTATTAAAGCCTACTGTATGTCATCTCATCCTCACCCGAAAATAAACATTAGCCTCAGTCCACTAGTGAATGGTACCTAATACAATTCTTCCTACTTGGAGTAGAGTGACAAATGACCACAAATTCCTCTTATCCCAGTGCTCCTTTGCAATGTGACTTTGCCATTCCTTCCATTAAGAGGTGGAGTCTATTTCTCCACCTTGAATCTGGATTAGTTATGTGACTTGCTTTGACTAAAGGGTTATTAGCAAATGTGATGGTGACAGAAACTCAAATAGCACTTAGGCCTTGGAGTTTCTTCTCTCATGCTCCCATGGGCATCCTAAGAGCATCACAGGAGGAAGCCCCAGCTAGTCTGCAGGATGATTAAAGTCATGTGGCCCAGTATCTTCTGTCACACAAGCTAACAGCCTGTCAACCATTACACCTGTGACTGAGGCTATTCCAGATCATCCAGCAGACCAGCCAGCTACCCAAAGATGCGTGGGAGAGTCTAGCAGAGATAGGTCATACTTGCCTAGACCATAAAAACACTCAATCAACCCAGAGAGCTACAAAGTAAATATGGCTGTCATTTAAGTCACTAAAGTCCTGGGGTGTGCTTGTTATACAGCACAAACTGATGCATCACCTTAGAGCTGAGATCCTTCATGTGATGAATAACAGACCATGGATTTTAGCCTGTTTGTATTAGCTTTCTTCTCCTGAGTAACAAATTACCTCAAATCTAGTGGCTGAAGGCAACACATATTTATTATCTTACAGTTTTGTGAGTCAGGCACGGCTTAACTGGGTCCTCTATTTAGGGTCTTACAAGGGTGCAGTCTAGGTTGGCTGGGGATCAGTCAATAGAGCACCAACCTTTGCTGACATATTGCAATCCGTTATGATTGTAAAACTGACAGCTTCAGTTGTCGTCTGCTCCTAGAGGTCATGCCCTATTCCTGGATACATGGACCTTCAAGCATAGGTAGCCCACAACATGGCAACTTGGTATAATCAGAGCCAACAGAGCATGAAAGAAAGACTCCAGCAAGATGAGCACTACAATCTTAGTATGATTATGTACACGTAGTACATTTATTCTGTTACCTTTACCATATTCCATTAGTTAGAAGCAAGTCATAGGTCCTCCTCATATTCAAGAGCAAGAGACTACATAAAGACATGAACATCAGGAAATGAGGATCCTTGAGAACCATTTCAGAAGCCACCTACTACATTAACTTTAACATACTGATCTGCAAGGGACATTCTGCCTCATTTACTCTTCAGTGAAAAGATATTTATTGAGTGTTTCCACATGGCAGGCACTGGGTACACAGCCATAAACCAAGTCATGGGGGAAGGGTCATGTTGATCGTTAACAGTCATGTATGTGATGGTGAAGACTTCAGCTTTTACTCTGAGAGGGAGGAGGATCCATTGGAGTGTTCTGAGTAAAGAGAGGCAGAATCTCATTAATGTTTTAAAATCACCCCTATGGCTGCTACTTAGATAAGAGAGTTCAGAGGGAACAGCTAGAAGGTTACTATAATATCTTGGAGATGAGAGAGGATTGGATCAAGAAATACCAGTAGAAGTAGAAAGAAAAGGTGAGGAGTGACTTACTTCCCAATCAGGGACTTCAGGCTTCTCCTGGGTCTCCAGCCTGCTTGGTGGGAAGCAGATACTGGGCTTCACTTTCTGTCAACTCTTTTCCTTAGGGAGACGAACCCCTTCAATGGGGCTCTGCTTTGGATGGCTGGGATACCTGCAGTGTTTTTACCACTAACCCTTGGATTTGCTCCAGTCTGCTTCTTGAACTCCATCAAAAGGCAGTTAGGTGTAAAATTTTACTGTCTTTCGTGTCAAGAAGAACTGGGATGAAACCTACTGGTGACTGGCTGAATGAGCCATATTTTCCCATCTGCAAAATGGTGGTAACAATGTCCCAGGTTTGTTTGTGGACCAAGTAAAATAATTCAATCAAATACTCGCTAGAACAAAATTGGTCTTTTCTCCCTGGATATAGTTTGAATGTACGTCTCTGTCAAATCTCCTGTTGAATTGAAACTCCCAGTGTCGGAGGTGGGGCCTGGTAGGAGATGTTTGGATTATGGGGATGGATGCCCATGAATGGTTTCGGCCATCCCCTTAGTGATGAGTGAGTTCTCGCTCTGAGTTCACATGAGATCTGGTGGTTTAAGTATGTGGCACCTCCACCCCCACTCTCTTGCTCTTTTACTCCTGCTCTGACCATGTGATGTGCCTGCTCCCGCTTCACCTTCCACTATGAGTAAAAGCTTCGTGAGGCTGCCCCAGAAGCAGAGACTGGAGCTACACTTCCTGTTCAGCCTGCAGAACTGTGAGTCAATCAAACCTCTTTTCTTAAAAATAACCCAGTCTGAAATAAGCCAGGCACAGAAAGACAAATACTGCACGTTTTCACTTATGCGTGGGATCTAAAAGTCAAAACAATTGAACTCATGGACATAGAGACTAGAAGGATGGTTGCCAGAGGCTGGGAAGGGTAGTAGGGGGCTGGCCATGGTGGGCGAGGTGCGGATGATTAATGGGTACAAAATATAATCATTAGGTTAGTGCAAAAGTAATTCTGGTTTTTGCCATTTAAAGGGCATTGCACCAACTTACTAGAAAGAATGAATGAGACCTACTATTTGATAGCACAATGGAGTGACTATAGTCAATAATAACTTAATTGTACATTTTAAAAATAACTTAAAGAATGTAATTGGATTCTTTGTAACTCAAAGGATAAATTGTTGAGTGAATGGATACCCCATTCTCCATGATGTAGTTATTTCACGTTGCATGCCTGTATCAAAACATCCCATGTACCCCATACATATATGCACCTACTATGTACCACAAAAATAAAAATAAAACATAAATAAAAATAAACTATCCAATCCCAGGTATTTCTTTACAGGAATGAAAGAATAGTCTAATGCATCCCTCCTTCCATACAATGCCTGTCTGATCTTGACCTGTCGTTGAGTAATTCTTGCCTGGTTCTGGCAGAGTCTGTCTCTATTGCCTCAATTTGACTGTGATGGTAAGGAAAGCACGTGGACTGTGGATGCTTTTGAAACCTACTGGCAGTTTATTTAGGCTGAGATGGTCAATCCCTCCTCCATTCTATTTCATTCGCAAAGGTACAGAATGCAAATCCACCTGCAGCTCAACAGAACTGCCACTCAGCTCAGAGCCAACACCATCAGCATGTCTTGGGATGGTCAAGAGGAGACAAGAAAAATTACATAGAGTAATGACACAGAATTAAGGCTGTTCCTGTCACCATCTCTGGCCAGGACCACATGTACTAGCGGAAATACCCCAGCAAGTGCCCGTGTTCCCGACCAAAATGCCGAGAAAGAGAAATCTCCCCACAGGTAGAAAAGATGTAGCATTTACAATGAAATACTTGAGACCATACATTTCTGTGTGCACCTGGTGCTTGACTGGTTACCTGACTTTTCAAAAAATTTAGGATAATGAAAAAAGAATACAATTTTCATTGAGAAGCATTTATGGAACATCTTCTCACGCCTACTACCGTGCTAACAACCTCATCGCAGGAAAATAAAGATATGAAAAGAACTCGTCTAATCGCTGGTATCTCTGAGATTCTAAGAGATAGGGCAGTACAAAGGTACTGCATCAATCGCTTGAAGGCAATTATTGCAAGGTAGAGGGCTCATAAATTAAACTGTCGGACTGGGCTGACAATGAAAACCCAAATAAATCAAGCATCAGGCAGGAAGGGGTTAATTAGAATAGGCTTTAGCTACTTCCTATAAGCTGCTAGTGACAGTCAAATCTATATTTGTATGTCCATTAATGATGTTAATTAGGCTCATTAAGATTACAAAGAAAGAAGAGACATGTAGAGACACCTGAGTTTATTGTAAGGATGCAAGGAAGTTACAGGTAACAATAAGGCCCAGGGTTTGGCTATTCTGTGATTACAAAGGAAGGCACATTAACACCAATACTCAAATCTCCCTAATTCTAACCCTGATCTTATATTTGGAAACTGGGCTCTCTCCCATGGCTTCCCTACAGAATGCAGGCAGGTCACAGGGTGACTCAGAAGGATGGGAACAGATACACTCACATTCCTGTGTGTCCCCCACTACACTGACACGTCCTCTTCTGTTGTCAGTGCCATATATAAACATGCCAGCTTTTCAGGGACTGTTTCCTAATCTTCCCCACATCCTCCAGTTATCAGAGCAGTGTTGGGTTCCACGCCAGTTTGGCAAGAATTTTGCCCCCGGTTCTGGGCTAAACTTTTGTTGCTTTGGCCCTGTGTTTTACAAAACCCTTCAGCTTTTGGTGCACTTCTGAGTGACTGAGGCCATGTTGTCCCCTGCAAATAGAAACCCTTCTCTCTACCTTTACATGAATTATCCATGGGCATAGCAATTCACAAAAATGAAATCTGAGTACTGAGGGCTGCAATGGGGAGTTGTTTCAATATACTCCTCCATGGCATCTGAGCTTCAGTTGTAACATGGGCAGAATTCCCTGTGACATTAGGCAAAGACTACAGAATTTCAGGATGAACAGGAACTTCGTTCAGAATTTATCAGCATCTCTAGGGTCTCATTGGTTTCTGGAGTCAAATTTTTCCATCTCTGACTGTGCTGTGCCTACTGGGAATCTGTCTGATTCCACTTCAGTATCTACTGTCTCTCAGCTTATTTTTTATTGCTTCTTTCTGTGGATGTCTAGACTTCTATGCTGTCTTCTGTGTCTCTATTTCTTACATGAACTCCCCAAGAGAAATAATCTGATTGAGACATTTAATGACTCTCCAATATAGTCAGTTAGTCACCATGCAATAGAGCCTGTCCATATTGGGCAAGATTCCCACGTTGGGTCAACTCATTGACTGTTGTTCTGAGATTGGTGAAACCCTGACCTTACCAGCTACAGTCATGGTTCAAAGCCTGGACAGATATGCATAAAAATGGGCTTGTGTTCTGGCTGCTCAGTAGGCACCCGTAGATGTTAAGAGGTAACCTGAGATTCAGAAACTCTTCTTCAATATAGCCAAGCTCCAGCCTCAGGTATCCAACTTTCTCCTACGTGTATCCACCTGAGCATCTCAAAGGCATCACATCTTAAAATACACTCTTCAGTCTCCCCATCAAAGCCTTATTTTATCCTTACATATCAACTCTGACTTAAGTCTTCCAGGCCAAAATCTTGAATTTTTCCCCTTGTATTTGATGAAAATACATTCAGTCCAACAGAAAAAATAACTATTGGTTACTAGGCTTAGTACCTGATTGACGAAATAAGATGTATAACAAATGCCCTAATATGAGTCTACCTATATAACATAGCTGCACATGTACCTCTGAACCTAAAATACAAGTTTTAAAAAAAGAAAACATAAAACTCCTTTAGAGGAGGAACAAGTTAAACTGTTTTGGTTTGCAGGTAATGTGATCTTATATTAAAAAACAAACAGACCAAAAAAACCTCTGAAGACTCCACCTAAAAACTGCTAGAACTAAAAAATTAACTCAATAAAGTTGCAGGATACAAAATCAATATACAAAAATTAGTAGCATTTCTATACACTAACAAAAAAACTAACCATAAGAGAAATCAAGAAAACAATCCCATTTACAATAGTTACAAAAATAACAAAATACTTAAGAATAAATTTATCTAAGGAGATGAAAGACCTGTACACTGAAAACTATAAAATACTGATGGAAGAAATTGATGAAGACCTAAATAAAAAGAAAGTAGTCTGTGTTTGTGAATTAGAAAAATTCGTACTGTGAAAAGATTTATAATATACAAAGCAATCTACAGATTCAATGCAATTTCTATCAAATGTCCAGTAATATTTTTCATAGAAATAGAAAAAACAATTCTAAAATTGGTGTGGAACCCCAAAAGACCCTGAATAGCCACAAAAATCTTGAGAGAAAATAACAAAGGTAGAGGCATCACATGACCTGTCTTCAAAATATACTACAAACCTATAGTATTTAAAACAGCATGGTACTAGCATAAAAACATATGTATAGACCAATGGAGCAGAATAGAGACCCCAGAAATAAGTCTATGCATTTAAAGTCAGTTGACTGTCATCTAAGTTGTCAAGAACACACAGTGAGGAAAGGACAATGTCTCTGATAAATGGTATTTGGACAAGTGGATATCCACATACAGAAGAATGAAATTAGATCCTTATCTCACAACATGTACAAAAATCAACAGAAAATGAACTAAAGCTTAAATGTAAGACCTGGAACTGTGAAACTACTAGAAGAAAACATAGGGAAAAAACTCCATAGCATTGCCCTGGGCAATGATTTTTTGGATATGAACCCCAAGACCACAAAAGCAAAAACTGACAAATGGGATTATATCAAACTATAAAGCTTCTGCACAGTCAAAAAGTAATCAACAAAATGAAGAGACAACCCATAGACTGGGAAAAATATTTGTGAACCATACATCTGATAAGGGGCTAATATCCAAAATATATAAGGAGCTCAACTCAACAGTAAGAAAATACATAACCCAGTTAAAAAATGGATAAAGGATTTGAATAAATATTTCTCAAAGGAAGACATACAAATATCCAACAGGTATATCAAAAATGTTCAGCCTCACTAATCACTAGAGCAATGAAAATTGAAACCAGAATGAAATATCACCTCACACCTTTTAAGATAGCTAGTGTCAAAAAGATGAAAGCTAAGTATTGGCAGAGATATGGGGAAAACAGAGACCTGGTGTACTGTTGGTGTAAATGTAAATTAAGAAAATTAAGAAAAACAGCCATTAAGGAAAATAGTATGGAGGTTCCTCAAAAAATTAAAAATAGAACTACCACATGAACCAGCAATCCCACTGCTGGGTATATATCCAAAGGAAATGAAATCAGTATTTCAAAGAGATATCTGCACTCCAATGTTTATTGCAGCACTATTCACAATAGCCAAAATGTGAAATCAACCTGTGTCCATCAACAGACGAACAGGTTTTTAAAAATGTGGTATATATGCACAATTAAATACCATTCACCCTAAAATAGAAGAAAATTCTCTTATTCGTGACAACATGGATGAACCTAGAGGACATTATACTAAGTGAAAAAAGCCAGGCATGAAAGACAAATATGATGTGATCTTACTGACGATGGAATTAAAAAAAAATTTGCACTAACAGAAGTAGTGGGTAGAATAGTGACTACCAGAGACTGGGAAAGAGGTGGGGGTTGGGGGGCTGGGTAGATGTTGGTTAAAAAAATGCACAATTTCAGTTAGATGGGAGGAATAAGTTCAAAAGATCTATTGTACCACATGGTGACTATAATTATTAGCAATGTATTGTATTATTGAAAATTGTCAAGAGAGTAGATTGTAAATGTTCTTACCTCAAGAAATAGTAAGTATGTGAAGCAATGCATATAATTTAGCACTTCATAGAGTATTAATATCTCAACATTTGTACACAAAATGTATACAATAAATGCATACAATTATTGTCAATTAGAATTTTTTAAAAATGTTAAAAATGTGAAACCAACATGAATAAGACACCACTGGCCCAAAATAGGACAATTAGAGTCAATCAGAATACTACCTGCAGTAGATTAAAATATAAGTATGTTTAAATTCATAAGTTCATGATGATTCTAAAAAAAGTAACCATTCATTGTTTACTGTCAGGAAATGCTAGGAAACCAGCTCATTGTTTGAAAATTAGTAAGTAAAGGGGAGAATTAAGCATTTATCCTGACTCTTCCATATTAATTGTGTATCCCAGCTAATGAAAGAGGAAAAAAATAAAATGCAAATATCACTATTTTGCGACTTCTAATGAATAGAGCTAGTCAATGATCAGCAGTGGGTGCTATTATCACAAAAATGGAGACAGTCAGAACTTGCACACCTTCTAATGGAAGTATGCATCTCCCATGATCGTCTTACCAAAAATTTGAAGTAGCATCTGATCAAGTCTCTGGATCTATCATTAATCCACAGAAAATACAAAAAGTGGAAAAACAACTGGCAAAATTCAGACTGTGGGACACTAGAAGAAATGACTCAGTTTTTCTCCAGCTGCCTATATTTATGTCTATGCCTGCAACTATGATTATGTTCATGTCTATGCCTATGTCTATATTTATGTTTATATCTATCTCTATGTCTATTTCTGCTTCTATGTTCATGTTTATGTCTATGTCATATCAGTCTCTGTATCTATATTTATGTCTATATCTATATATCTATGTTCATGTCTAACTTGGTATCCATGCCTTCTTTTTTTTTTTTTTTTTTTGAGACGGAGTCTCATTCTGTCACCCAGGCTGTAGTAGTGCAGTACTGCGATCTCAACCTCACAGCAACCTCTGACTCCCTGGTTCAAGCGATTCTCCTGCCTCAGCCTCCCGAGTAGCTGGGATTACAGGCGCTCGCCACCACGCCTAGCTAATTTTTGTATTTTTAGTAGAGGCGGGGTTTCACCATGTTGGCCAGGATGATCTTGATCTCCCATCCTCGTGATCCACCTGCCTCTGCCTCTGCCTCCCAAAGTGCTGGGATTATAGGTGTGAACCACAGCATCTGGCCATATCCATGCCTTCTTATCTGTCTGTTGGAAGAACATAGACAGGGGTGACCTATCTATTAAAGGAGACAAGAGACATATAAGTCAAACACAATATATGGATTTCATTTGAGTTCTGCTCAATCAAATTGTGTAACAATTTTTAAGACCATCAGTAAAATGTAAGTACTAACTGGGCATTTGGTGATATCAAATAATTATTGTTATTTTTTAAGTGTGATAATTGCATCAAGATTCTATTTCTTTTTCTAAATAAGTTCTTATCATTCATAATCATACACAAATAAACTATTTACATAATGTCTGAGAACTTTAAAAAACGTATTCTAAAAATGTAGCAACAGAGAAAAGTGGGTGAGGGTGTAAACAAAATCAGATGGAGTTGAAGCAAAGTGATGGGTACACAAGGTTTTATGATGTTATTTTTTCTACTTTTGTAAATATTTGAATTTTTATAAATGAGGGGTGGAGGAAAGTATAATTCCCCTCCTTCCTATT
Organism: Homo sapiens; assembly: GCF_000001405.40. Classification (NCBI taxonomy): domain Eukaryota; kingdom Metazoa; phylum Chordata; class Mammalia; order Primates; family Hominidae; genus Homo; species Homo sapiens. Next base: position 26,211,208 of record NC_000016.10, read on the forward strand.
CCTTTTGCTACTTCTGTTATTTCTTTAAATCTCAACTCCACTGTTTTTCTCAGAGTAGCTTCAAAGGACGTATGTCATTCTTTCTGCTACCTGGAAACTGAGATGGCCAGATACTTTTGTTTTCAGAACTTCTTGCAGCTACAAAGGAGACCACAACTCCACCAAACAAATACACCTGCCCCAGATTTCAAATGGAAAGAACAGAGACTGTGTAAATTTCAGTCTGTGAGTTACCCAGTATCCTCTAATTAAATTCCCTGTCTATTTAATTTGGCTAGAGATGGATTCTGTTGCTTGTAATCAAAAGCTTTACTGAAACAAAAGCTTTCTCTGATTCCTAGTTTAGTTCATACCTTTGTTATGGGTTTTCATAAAACCATTTGCTTGCTTTTTACAGAACTTGACACAATTCTAGTTTATTTGCATGCTCACTTGATTAATACACGTGTCTCTAATCATAACGTCAGCTTCTTGAGTGCAGACGTTGCACGTGTTTTGCTTCACCTCTTTATTGCCAATGTTCAGCCCAGTGAATGCCCTGGCATATTGCATAAGTTCAGTAACTATCTGCTGAATGAATGAGTACAAAGAGGAGAATGAGGGTGTTGTATAATGTTCACAATAAAACATTATCATTTCCTTTTGGACACATGGATGATTGTACTTAATCCTGCTTTGGGCAGGTGGAATTACATAATCAGGTTATGTCAAATAGTTTGTGTTCCTTTCAGTTGAAGGCATTTAACTGTGAGTGTGAAACTTTCTACTTCTCTTTTCCTCTTGCAGAAACCAAGATGGCCCCGAGTTCCACACGGAGCACTGCAGGAGAGCAGTCTGTCAGCCTAAGTGACTGAGTCTGTCAGCCTAAGTGACTATGTATAGTGGAGATGCTGAGCTGGACTGCATGAAACATTTAGGTTGAGAAAGCACTAGAAAAAAAATAACAACAACTTCTGTTGCATTAAGCCATAGAATGTTGGGGGTGTTGTCATCTCAGCATAACCTACCCTATGCTGACAGATACAAGTAAAAGAAAACAAAATGCAAAAAAGAAGAAGTGGAAGAGTTAGATATTTGTAGACAAAAAGAAAACAGCAACAGTGAATTTAGTCTACAGTAGACAAATTTTGGGGCTTCTTGATGGATGTTTTTGGAGTTTAATCTCAACTCTACCACTTACTATCTGTGTGATATGGAGTTTCTTAACCTCCCTGATCCTCAGTTCCCTCATCTGCAAAACAGAAAAATCAAGTGATACTGACTTTCTGGAGTTGTTGCATAGATGAAAGTTAAATGAGATAATTTATGTGTAAGCACCTTACCTGTCATGCTGTGGGTGCCCAATGAATGATGATTAAATGAGTGAATGAATGGAAAGAAGTCACAGGTGAAGCCAGGAAGGGCAGAGGTGGAGGAAGCCATGGAGTTAGAGAATGCCTCCAATTGCTAAGCAGGCCCTTGCTCTGAATCTCCCAAGTCTGTCACTGTGCATTGTAATTTAGTAAATCATTTCATGCAGTGGAGTGTTTGCTTATCCAATCAAGAAGTGGATTTATGCCTAATTCTGGCGGCTTCTCTGCAAAGTGTTGTGAGCTTCAGAGGCTCCCCAGCTTGGGAGCCAGATTGCCGCATAGTGATTTATGTGATCGGGGAGGCTGGCCCCACAGCCATGAGCATAGGGCATAAATCTGAGGCATGCAGTGAGCCCTGATTCGGTCTGGCACACCTTGGCAAAGCACCAGGTACGAGCTCCTACTCACCTACTGCAGATCCTTGATGTTATAATGCAAAGGGTGAGGGCAAGGCGGAGGCTCTGAGGCTGCTCAGTCTCATTTATTCATTCGTTATTCAACCAGTAATTCTTGAGCATCCTGTAAGTGCCAGGCCCTGTGCATGGTGCTTGGGATAACCCCAGCTCTCCTGAGTCTCATATTCTGGCAAATAACTGTATTGCAATGTGAGAAGTGCTGTGATGAGGGAAACACAATTTACTGTGGCGCAGAGGGTGGCATCTAAGCTAGTCTTGGAGCATGAGAGTTGACTTTCCAGAAGAGAGGATCTCTAAACTGAGACATAAAGGACACTTCTAGGAAGGGGGAATGGCATTTGCAAAATCAAGGAAATGAGTGGCAGAATGAAAAAGAGAGAAGATAGAAAATTCTGGAGCAGAAAGTCATTTGGTAAGGCAGAAGACTAGAAGTGGAGTGAGTGGGTGGTGAGAGAAGAAGCTGGAGGGGCGGCAGGGGTCTGATGGTAGAGACCTCTCAGACTATGCTAAAGAGTTTGGACTTCATCCACAGGGCCATGGGAACTTGCTGAGGCAGGGGTGCAGAGTGATCAGAGTTTCTCTCCAGAAAGTTCCTGTGGGCTATTCTTTCTTTTTCTTTCTTCTTTTTTTTTTTTGAAAAGGTATGTTAACTTTTATTTTAAGTTCAGGAATACGTAGGAAGGTTTGTCATGCAGATAAACTCATGACTCAGGTGTTACTTAGCAGATTATTTAGTCACCAAGGTACTAAGCATGGTACCCAACAGTTTTTTTTCCCCTGAATCTCTACCTTCTACCACCCTCCTTCCTCAAGTAAGCTCCAGTATCTGTTGTTTCCCTCCTTCTGTCCATGTGTTCTTATTATTTAACTCCCACTTATATATGAGAACATGCAGTATTTGGTTTTCTGTTCCTGCATTAGTTTGCTAAGGATAAGGACCTCCAATTCCATCCACATTCCTGCAAAGGACATGATCTCTTCTTTTTTAGGGCTGCATAGTATTCCACAGTGTATATGTACTATATTTTCTTTATCCAGTCTGCTGCTGATGGGGGTTTTTGTTGATTCCGTGTCTTTGCTATTGTAAATAGTACTACAATGAACACATGCATGCATATGTCTTTATCGTAGAATGATTTATATTCCTCTGGGTATACACCAAGTAATGGGATTGCTAGGTCAAATGGTAGTTCTGTTTTTAGTTCTTCGAATAATTGCTTATGGGCTTTTCTGTGTAGCTTTGACTGGTGGAGATTGGAAGACCAGGTAGGTAGCAGAGAGCTCCAGGTGACAGATGCTGGTGACCTGAATTAGGATGTGGCCAGGGAGTTGAAAGGTTGGGCATAAAGCAAATAATAACAGTTAACATTATGTAAAGCACAGTGTCACTGATTGAATTTTTACAAGTTTAAGCTGTAAGCACTACTAGTGTGTCCTTTTTACAGATGAGAAACGTGAGGCATGGAGAGGTTAAGTAACTTTCTTAAGTTTAAACAGCTTGTAAATGACCCAGCTGGGATTCAAACCCAGGCAGTTTAATTCCAAGATCCATGCATTTCACCCATGTGCACTGACTGCTATCTTGTTAGACTATGAGCTTTCCAAAAAGTCAAGATCCAAGGTCTGTATTATCCACAGCACTTGGCACAAAGTATGGTGCCTGATAGGTGCTTAATTACTGTTGTTGAAGAAACGACTGAATTGATGAATAGCACCTGACCCGCCTAACTTTGCATAACTGCCTGGCTACTTTCTAGCTTTGACCATTCCAGCAAGTTCTGTTTACCCTGTCAAACCTCCTTCTTCTCCTCTGTAACAGAGATTTAATTAGAAAACGAGGGGACTACCTCTCCGGGTTTCTTGGCACATTCTGTGTGATAACGAATGTGAAAGTGTTTTGTAAATGACGCAGTCTTCTGCCAGTGGTGGCTATTACAATTGCTATTGTAGGAGCTGAGACGCCACATTGGAATTCCAGGCGGCATTTTTTTTTCTGTTGAGCACCAGAAGCTTCCTTTTCCTTGGAAGTCTTCAGCACAAATTAATTATTGCTATCTGTGTCTAGAGGCTGTGGCCACCTGGCCATCCATCTCTTACTGACAGCTGAGGTTCCTATGAGCTCAGGAGTAGGAATCACTTCTCCTGGAGGCGGCTCCTTTTATTCCCTATTTACTTCTACTTTAATCTGCATATTATCATCAGCACAAAGCCCTCAGAATAACATCTGACAAATGACGCCTATTAAAAAAAACTATGCACTTCTCTTTCACCGTCTTCTAATTTGGAATAGCATTATAACTATGCATCGCTAGACAAGCAATATTATGTTAAGAACATGATAAAATACCAGCAGCTCTGTAATGGCACCCACCAAATGGTAATTTCTGCTTCAGAAATTGGTCATTTATTTGCTGGTCTGTTCTTACGTTCAAATTAGATGAAGTTTAATATACTGTAAAATTGAATATATTCTGTCCTTTTCAACAAATATGGCATGTGTGAAAATGATTTATGGCTCATGGGAACCTCTAAAATGTAAAATAATCTCTTTTTTTGTGTGTTTCTTAAGTAAGTTATGGCCTGAGAGTTTAAACACAGGAAAAGCAAAACTTTATTAAGCTCCAGGCCCTAGTTCTTCTGTAATCAGGCCGTGGTAAGAACAGGAGCTGTGGCCCTGCGCAGATTACAGTGGGCTGTAAGAGCAGCCACATTAATTGCTACATTAATTTTATTCTATTAACTATAATTGGGAGAAAAGCAAGTCTTCCCCAGTGAGTGTTATAATTTGCAACTTAATTTTTAATAAAGCTGTGTCAAGACCATGGTGCTTAGCACAGGTCATTTCTTTCAATGGGTGTTTGGCATCCTGCTGCTAGCCAACCATAAGAATAGCTGCTTGAAATGTGTGGATGGGGGCAAGAGAGAAAGGAGAGGAAGATGAGGAGGGAGAGCTTACAATCCTCCCAGGGATCAGGGATGAGGAACTCCTTTCTGGAAAATGCTTGACTTTTCCCTTTCTTCTCCATCTCCTGTTCTCCATAGCCCCTCTCCAAGCCCAAGGGAAAACTTGAGAAGCCCAGATGTCTAAGGCAGTGACCGTGCCACTGACTCACTTTATGACTTCAGATAAGTCATTTGAACACTTGAGCCTTAACTTTCTCTTCTGTAAAATGGGAGATTATAATAATGATAGTAACTGACTTTTATAAAATCACATGCATCATAGACCAGGTAGTGTTCCAAGAGCTTTATATGTATAGTATTCCATTAAATGCTCATGGTCACCCCATGATGTTTGTATGTTATCATTCCCCCATTTTACAGATAAGGAAACTGAGACACAGAGACATTATGTAACTTGCCCCAGGTCACACAAATAGTAAGTGGTGGAGGCAGGGTTTGATCCCAATTTGTTCAACCTTGGATTCCATGCTTTAAACTGCTGGGCTAAGCTTGCCAGAATTATAAGGAAACGTAAGGGAGACGGTGGATGAGAATGGGCTTGGTGGTTCTTCATTGGGAAGTCTTTTGTCCAACAAACACTATTTGATCCTTATTTGCCAGACACAGCCCCCTGCACTGCGGCGGGACATGGATGAGAAGAAAATTGTGATCTTTTGTGCAATTAAAATATCATCTGGAAGTACTCTATGAGCACACATCTTTCACCCACCAGCTGATTCCTGGTGACAGCAGAACTTCCTGCCACTCAGATTTAGTGAGAAGTCCAGTTCCAGCAGGTAGAGAAGGGGAGGGAATTAATTTTTGTCAGAGTCATTCCCGACATGTGCCAGTTTACTTATGCTATTTGTTTCATTCTCATAACAACCTGACAAGGTATACTTTAATATTCCTATTTGACAGATTAAATAGCTGAGGGCTGGTCTGCAGCTATAAGACTTACCCATGATCCCACAACTTCTTAGCCTCTCGACTTCCACCTTTAGTCCAGCTTCCCCTCTCAAAGCAGATGACCCTGGTAGATCTTACCTGGAGCCAAAGGGAACAATTAGCCCAGAGCAAAAAGAAGTTTCTGAGCAGGTTACAGGGCAGTGGAGGAAAATTTGGAGATACAATGGCAACCCAGGGTAGTGTAGAGGCTAAGAGCAGAACAAACAAAAATGTAATTGATAAAGGAGCATAGAAATTACCGATGGAGACTTTCAGCCAATCAGACCTGGGTTTAAATTTTAGCTCCTTCATTCCTAGCTAAGTGACATAAGCTCTTGGAGCCTCGGTTTCCTCATTTCAAACAAGGCCATAGTGAAATGTTGACTTCCTAGTATTGCTGTGAGAATTTAATGAGATGCTCTTTGAGTGAATGATCTTAGCCCTTGTGCCCTGCAGAGAGAAAGCTCCTAATTAAAGATTACTCTAATTATATTAGGAATTCTTGTTCTCGGGTCATGTTGAAGAAGAACATCACAACCAACACAGTCCTCAGTATAATTGGGAAATATTCACCCCATAATTTATAATGGGCTTTCTTCTCAGCTCTTTCCCTTTAGGCTAGGGCAATTTATCAAATATACAGCAATCCCCAGCTGACCAGTGAAGAAAGAAAGACACATTAACCCACTGTTGCTCCCTCTGCTTCTCTCGGTCTGGGCTGGGACCCTGGACTCTGTGTGTTTCATGCATGCTTTAGGTGACTCCTATGACTGGGTCAATTTGGGAAACTTTACACCGGGTGGTGGTTCTCAGCTATACTGTGAATATCAGCCACCTGGGGAATTTTTTACATTGCAAATTTCTGATCCTCCCTCCACCCCTACAAAACTGAAATTCAGAATGTGGGATCCCAAAATCTGCATCTTGGTTTGGTTTACTCGTGTTTTCTAATTACAGCCTCAATTTTCATCAAACTATTTTATAGTTGTTTCCATATCTAGTGTCTCTGTATCTCCAGTGTCCATCATGGGGTGCTGAATGCTCAATGGGTTCAGGGGAATTCATGGACTCATTCAGTTATTCACCTATTTATTGAGCAACTAGGTTTTGACTGAGGTTCTCGTAGTATTCTTAGTGCTGAATTACAACAGAATAAAATGATGTGCTGATGCCCCAATATATGTTTCTAAAAATCTAAGTTCCTCCTTCATAATTTATAAAATATTCCCGATTTATTTGGGGGAGAGATTAACCTCATTTCGCATATAATGAAACTTCTAAATAAAAAGAGGCAGTTGTTTTCTGGGGAACTGGGGCAAGTGACTTAACCTCTAAGGAGCTTGGTTTTCTGGTCAGGAAATATGATAATACTCACATGGTAGGTTGTTCTGAGGGTCATCCCAGATGCTTGCAGAGTACCTGGTACACAATAGGGGCTTGGAAAATGGTAGATATTCAAAAAGATACACACACTCGTATGCTCCTCACAGCACTATTCACAATAGCAAAGACATGGAAGCAACCTAGGTGCTCATCAGTGGTGGACTGGAAAAAGAAAACATGGTACATATATAGTATGGAATACTATACAGCCATTAAAAAATAGGCAGGCAGATCACAAGGTCAAGAGTTCAAGACAAGCCTGGCCAACATGATGAAACCCTGTCCCTATTAAAAATACAAAAATTAGCCAGGCGTGTTAGCGTATGTCTGTAATCTCAGCTACTCAGAAGGCTGAGGCAGGAGAATGGTTTGAACCCTGGAGGCAGAGATTGAAGTAAGCAGAGATCACGCCATTGCACTCCAGCCTGGCAACAGAGTGAGACTCCATCTAAAAAAAAAAGAATGAAATTATGCCTTTTGCAGCAACATGGATGCAGCTGGAGGCCATTATTCTAAGTGAATTAACACAGAAACAGAAAAACAAATACCACATATTCTCACTGATAATTGGAAGCTAAACACTGGGTACACATGGACGTAGAGATGGGAACAATAGACAGTGGGGACTCCAAGCGGGGGAGGGAGGGCAGGTACTCCCTGATCCTGAAATAAAAGTTGAAATTAAAAAAAAAAGAAAATGGTAGATATTAATAACACAGTCTTAATTATAAAGAAATTGTCTAAAGAATAGTGTTAACTGGACATTATTTTCTCTGATGCCTATTCCCAGGTGAATAGCCAGGTAAAAACTATTAATTCTGTAAATTCATCTGACATGCCCTGTGCTCTTTGTCTAATTTCGGAGAATTTTTTTCTTCCCTCTCCATATCTGTTTCCTTGCTGCTGCATATGCAGATTAATAATTTCCATCTTGGCGTTTTCCTTTTTCTCTCTATTACTTCCCATCTTTTTCCTTTGTCACCTCTCTCCTTTTCTTACTTTCACCCCTCTTGATCTTCTCACTTTCCTCTTCCTCATTACATCCTAACGTATATCTTTTTTTTTTTTTTTTCTGATTTTCCATCTTCTCTTTTTGGCCTCTCAGGAGCCCAAAGAAGTTCTTCAATGTTTGTTCATGAAAATAGTGTGTTCCTTATTATTAATGTTAAAGTGGATAAGCTGAATGCTTCATCTTCCTCTTTCAAACCAACAACAAAAAGAGGAAAGGCATCACTTTACAATAAAATCAAATCACTTTTTTTCTTTTTATTGTGTGACTGTCAATGGAAGCGTAACCCATGCCTGCGTGTCAGCAGCGACAGCAGTGGTGTATTTCCTACAGAATGAAAGAGAAAAAACATTTTCAAGATGACCTGGTTCCAGCACTTACTCTTCTTCTAAACTAGCTTTAAGAGTCTGAGGATGTCATTTGACTTATCTGGTCTTCACTTTCACAGTTATAAAGTAAGTGGGTGTGGGTTGTACCAAACATCTCTAAGGTACTTCCTAGTGCTAAAATTTCCATGGCTTTAATCTTTCATTCATTTCCTATAGAAATGCTATCAAGTGCCAAATTTCATTCGCCTGACAAGCCTCACTAGGCACAAACAGAAGGTATTCAATTGCAAATAGAGAACAATTGACATTATTTTTTTTTAAATTTTCTCAGGGTCTAATGCACACTACTAGACTTTGCTTTTTCTCTTACCTTTGTAAATGTATTTCTACGGAGTCCCAAAGGGCAAGAGGAGAGTTATTTTAGGCATGAGGAATGTTCTCAAGACCATCTTTTCCTGCAGACAATTTTTAAATCTACTCCTTGAAGGTATTTAAAAGATGCAATAATAGTATATTTCTCGATTCTTTAGTAGCTGCCATACTGTTTGCCTTTTGGGGTCAGGCAAACTCTTTCCTTCCCTGATTGCTAATAATAATGTCCTTTCATGAAGTTTTAGTATTTCCAGGGGAAATCCTGCACACTTTGAAATAATTTAGTTATTCACAGTAATACTAAGGAGCAGATGGATAAAATACCTTGCCACCTGACACAACTCTTAGACACTTCATTGTTATGGTGCCCTTCCTTGAATTCATTCTCATTTGTCAGTTATTCCCTTGAAGTGTGACTCTGAGAATTGTCTTCAGTACTGTATTACATCGTGTCTCCAGACTCCAGATTTCTGCAGTGCTTTAGACATATTCTCAATTGCAAACATGTCTGCTTGTGGAGGATACAAACAAGTTGCACACAAAATGCCCATTAAACTCACTTCTTCCCACATTCTTCTTAGATTACCAGTTTATGTGAACTCCATTAAGACCTACTCAGTTACCCAAATTAGAAGTATCCTGAACCATTCCCTCTGCTTCTCTCCTCCCCTGGAGGTAGCTATAGCCTATCAACTTGACCTCAAAATTATTTCTTAATTCAGAATCCTCTTCTCTGTCTCCATTGTCATTATTTAATTCATAATCTAATGTTCTACCTAAATTCCTGAAACTACCTCCTAATTCATCTTCATACCCTTACTCTTGCTAATCTATTACATTTGCATTTCAGGAGATAGAATTACATTCCTAACTTGAAAACTTTCAGAGGTTCTGCATAGCTTTCATGATGAAGCGAAAATTCCTGAACTCCTTCTGGCACACAAAGCCTTTCATAATCTACTTCTTCTCTACTATTTCCATTTTTCAAACACTGTTGGGAAAATGACATTCTCTTTTTGATAGGTAGGCTAAAATGATTATAAGATGTAAGCTTAGAGCTATTGGTGGATGTCTTTGCCATCTTCTTGGGGAAATTCCCAAAATAGATAAAGGCAGAGCTATGACTCAGAGAGAGAGAGAGAGAGAGAGAAAGAAGAGGGTGTATAATAGCACCCTGATGATATGCAGATTGAAGATGTAGTTTCAGTCATGACCCTGAAGCTTTCATGAATTCCAATTATGTGACACAATAGTTGTTTTTTTCTGATTCTGTATTCATGCCAAAGTTCACAAAATTTTTCCAAATTTTATCCAATTTTTACTCAAAAGAGAACAAGTTAATTAGAATTGTCTTTTCTCCAATTGTATTTTTAAGTATACTTAAAATGGACTTTAATTATTCTATCATGTCCTTCAGTAAGAAGAATAAAAAAAAAGTTAGACCCTGAAGTCACACTGTATCTAATCTCTTTGTCTCTTTTAGTCCTCCTCTAAGAGGGAAACTTCTGTTATATTAAGGTAAGTATGTTGCAGGAGAGTGGCAGTGAAACCATAATATTATTAATAGCTTCTAATTGTTGATTACTATATACTAGACCCTTTAGACACATTATGTCTAATCATTGTCCCAACTCATGTGATATCCAATTAACCTATTTTTACATGTTAAAAAATGAGAGTCTGAGAGGTTAAATAACGTTAAAATTACATAGTCAATGGATAAGTTTGCTGAATTTAATCCCAGGTTCTGTCTGACTTCCAAAATGAATATTTAGTACATTATACTGACTATTCAAACTGTAGATTAGAGCTGTGTTCCCCATATGAAAGAATAAAATAGTATTGATTGAGCTTTGAGTATGTGTCAAACACTGGTGTTTTCATAAACGTCAACTTTATAAACTTTTGAAGAAAGGTCAAAACCAAACTGGCTAAGTAATCAGAAAAATTAGGGTGCCATGTATTCATGCCATTGAATTCAGATGTAAGTGTATTTAACATATCAAGGGAAAAAATAAAATGATGATTGATTCATCTCTAACAAAACACTCCTCTCTTTAAAGACTCAATTCTTCTTTTCTAGAATGTGGATATAGGACTTAATGACCTAAAAGCTTCCTTCCAGCTTTACAATTTTACAGTTCTATGATAAATCAATTGGTTCAGCAAAATGCAGTGGATCAGCTAGGATTCTATTTGGCAGCAACTGAGAGAGTCTGAAAAAAAAAAGTGGTTTAAAAAAAGATCAGAGTTTATCTCCTTCATGTAAAGATTGAGAGGAAGGCCATCCAAGGCTGGTATGGTGGTTTTCTTTCACAAAATCTTCCGGGATCCAAGCTCCTTCTGGCAAATGGCATCTCCATCATGATCCAAGATGGGGGAAAATATGGGTTTCTATCACACACCCTTGTTTGTAAGTAACAAATCTTTGAAAATGACCAACATCTTTGCCAAAAACTAAGTGCTATCTAAATAGTAGATCATAGCCCAAGGTAAAAGTGAGATATGAAAATTAAATTTCAGTTTTGTAAACAGGTCTCATGAGAAACAAATAATCAAAAACTTACCAACCACAACCACTCTTTGTTATTTCCAAAGTAAGGCAAATTTATTGACTTATCTTGGTCCAACATTTTTACCTCATTAAGTTTCATATTCTTTGTCCCTAACATAAAGTAATAATACCTACCTTTCAAAATTTTTGTGAGAATAAGGATGAAATGAGGCAGATACATTTGTTATTATATATTTTGTTTTTATAATATATATCATGTAGGTTTACTCTATGCAAATGATTATAAACGTATAAAGAAATTAGTTAAACTAGAGCCCTTTTGCTTATTTAGCAAGAGTAATCCAATTTAAGCAAGCTTAAGCTTTATAAAAGGGAAGCTAACTGACTATGATAATGATTTCAGGAACAGTTGGGATTCAGTTGTTCAAATGACGTTATCAGAGTTTTCTCTTTCTTCTCATCTTTGATCCACTTCACTTTCTATTGGTATAATTTTCATTCAGGTTCTTCTATTCTGGTGGCAAAGACAGCTCCAAGGGCAACCATCTTGACAATTCATCAATTCTAGCAGAAAGAAAGGGCCTCTGTTCTAATTCATCCTGGAAATATTATTAGCATCAGTCTCATTGGTTCTATTTGAGGCACACACTGAAGTCTGAACCAACCACTGACTCCCCTTTAGAGAGAATAACTTTATTGGCTATTTCCGATTTATCAAGCACTTTATGGTTTTGAGATTAGCTACCCACTTCAGTGCTGGTTGCTGTGACCAGAAGAGATGCCAGACAGATAATGCAACAATTTGAACATAGAAATTAGTTTCTATGCCCTTTTATAAATCACAGACTTTTAGAGTCTGGAGAAACTACAGAGATAATCTATTTCTGCCCCTCATTTTATATATGATTAGGACTAAAAGGTTAAGTGATTTGCCCAATGATATAGAGCTGGTTAGTGAAAGATCCAGGGTGAAAACACGTTTCTCTTGACTCCAGTTCAGTGATTTTTCTCACTATACAACTCTGGCTCTCTTTAAAGGATAACTAATCATAAGCTGATTTGTGATAAAGCCAACCAATTGCTTTTCCCCTTCCATAAGCCATTGACACTTCTCTCAACTAATTTTCGTTGTTTGTGATTCAGCTTATTACTTAGGCTGCAAAAAAATGGAACAGGAATTTAGTCTCATGAAAATCTGTGGTGCTTTATTGAAACTCTCAGCAACAATATATTTGGTATTCTCATTTTTATTTTCTAGAGCTGTGACTTAACAATTCCTCTGGAAAAAATGTATTATTATTTGTTCATATGAGCATAAATTAAAATAATATTTTTCACTCCTAAAAAATGCAAGTTTATTGAAGGAACATTAAAATAGAGGAAAATGGCATAACCTTCGTAACCCCACTGCTCAAGAAAAATGACCATTAATGTGTTGGTGTATAATGATATTATATAATGAATCATATTACACATACTGTTCTGTAACTTACTTTTTAAAATAACTAGTAGCAAACATTTTGCAAGTCAATAATTATATCTACTATAAATTAACTATAAGAAATTTATATCACCAATTTGAGTGGCTCGTTGTTTGAATTAACGCTTATTTATTTAAACTATTCTCATGTTGTAGGATATTTAGATCATTTCCAGTTTTTTTCACCATAATGAACAATATGATGATGAGCGCATTATGTTTTTGGATTGTATTTCAGTTGGGATCACATATTGTAAGAAACAGAAGTCAATCATGACTAGCTTGAATCTGAAAGGGGATAAGAGGAATTTGTGGGAATGATTGATAAAGCTCACAAACTTACTTGGATCACAAATGGAATAACTAGACATCAAAAAGGAGGTCCTGAAAATCCAATAGCAGAAATAATGGGAAGTCTGTTGATGCAACTACCATGCAGCTGTGTCCATTTCAACCATTTTCTGATTAAAGTCCAGGAAGAGGATCCACCAGGTTTATCTTGCATCCACATTCACCATTTGGCCAAGAGGACACATGGCATCTTTATTTAGAGTTCCATCAAAATAAGAAAAAGAAAAAGTCATGGCCAAAAAAATAATAATAATAATAAGGGCATCAATGAGAAAAACTGGGAATCCCTGCTAAACAACAAAAAACAACACCAGAATACACTTATTCGGTTATTTCTTAGATTAAATTGCTAGAAATAAAAGTGATTAGTCAGGGAGATATAAACTCATTTTTAAAATCTAAATAATGCAAAAAATTATTGGCAGCTGAAGAACTAATAAAGAAAGCTATTGTTCATAATAGATTTATAGTAGGTTGTTATAAGAAATCCCAGGAGGTTTGTCTCACTCTGCTTTTCATATTATATTTTAGAGTTACCATAAAAGACAGAGGGAACATGGGAGGGATCTCATGCCAAAATTCTTCATTCTATGGTTTATGAAATATGTAGCTAGTGCCTTAAAGCAGGAAGTCAAAAATAGAGGAATGTGAGCACTTTTATTCTATTGCAGAAAAGAAAAAAAATTGAACCTTTTGTACACAGGTTCTTATGTTTAAATACAATTATATAAAAGTCAGGAAAGCATAGTGGTTAAGAACAAAGGCTTTGGGTCCAAACATACCTAGTTTGAGTTCAGGCTTTGCTACTTTCTAGCTTTTTTACTTAAAAAACTATTGATATATTTGAGATTCAGTTTTCTCATTGGTAAGATATGTCTAATATTAGAACCTAACCTTATAAGGGTATTATAAAGGTGAAATTAAATAATTCTTATAAAGACACTTAGGAGAAATGACTGGACTATAATGTGATCAGCTAATATCAATACTTAAAAAATAAAAAAAAAACGTTTTGATTTATTACTGGTGGAGTGAAGTGGCTTCAGTCTTTCCTAAAAGAATGCAGAATTCTTTATCATTCCCCACCACTATCTGCAAACATAATTATGAAAGAATGGCTGGAGGATCATACAACACTGTGGGATGGGCCTTTCCTAGTCCATCCTCTCCTGAAGGAAATTTTTAAGCCATCTCCTTCCTTAGCAGTACTCTACAACAGCCATTTTCATAATAGCTTGGAAAGAGTCTTACTGCCTCATAACTACTTCACTTTTTTTTTTTTTAAGACAGAGTCTCACTGTGTTGCCCAGGCTGGAGTGCAGTGGTGCAATCTTGGCTCACTGCAACCTCCAGCTACCAGGTTCAAGTGATCCTCCTGCCTCAGCCTCCTGAGTAGCTCGGATTACAGGTGTGCACCACCATGCCCAGCTAATTTTTGTATTTTTAGTAGAGACAGGGTTTCACCATGTTGGTAGGACTGGTCTTGATCTTCTGACCTCTGGTAATCCACCTGCCTTGGCCTCCCAAAGTGCTGGGATTACAGGCGTGAGCCACTGCACCCAGCTACTACTTCACTTTAAAATTACTTTTTATTTATTATTTAAAATATATCTTACTATATGAATATATAAAAAATATGTGCAGTCTCTTAAACAAATGTTGTTGGGAAAACTAGATCTCCACATTCAAAGAATAAAGTTGGACCCTTATTTTACACCACAGATTAAAAAAAAAACCCTCAAAATAGATTAAAGTCCTAAATGAAGACCCCAAACTATACAACTTTTAGAAGAAAACATAGGGGAAAATCTTCATGACATTGGATTTGGGAATGACTTTTTGTATATGATACCAAAAGCACAGGCAAGAAAAGTAAAAATAGAAAAATGCATCTACATCAAACTTAAAAACTTTCATGCATCACATTCTACAATCAACAGCATGAAAAGGCAACCTACGCCGGGAGAAGGGTATTTGCAGATCATATATCTCATAATGGACTAATATCCAGAGTATATAAACAACTCCTACAACCTAACAACAAAAAGTCAAATAACTTTAAGGTGACCACCTATAGCTTCAACTAATGGTCATCTGTACTTCTTTCACTTTGAAAAATGAGTGACTCCACATCCCCTCCCATGGCCTAAGCCTCTTCCAACCTGCTTCCAAAATATGGTTGAATCTTCATGTACCAAGTGGCTAAATTGTTCGAGTGGTTTCTTAACTGTTAACTCTATAATGAGCCTTTGTGTATGTATATTTGTGTATATATGGATTTGTATGTATGTGAATACGTATATATTTGTGTAATGTTTGCCCATGTTCCAGTATCCACCATGATGTGGTAGGAATTACAGATGATAAGGCTGTTAGCGAATTACTCAGAATGGCTCTGCTGATTACAAACCATTTTGCTTCAGGATGGAGTACTGACCTACACATAACACTTAGGGCCTAGATGTTACTTAAAATTATGGCCCATTTGGATAAAATATCTCAAATGACAACGTGATCTTAGAGCAGCAGGCAAGAGTGCAATTGTGATCTGTGAATCTGAGAGGACGCTTCGGCTTTATTTATGTAGTTGGTTAGAGACATCAGATTTTAAAAAATCGCCAAGCTGGAAGCAGTGTCTTAATTGCACTTAATTGTCATAAAGGAGCTCAAATAAGAGAGGTTGTCAGGATTAAGAGTGGCATTCAACCAAAAGTCTATTTGACCAAGAAGGCCTTAATTACTGTGATTTACTCTAAAGTTGCCTGTATCTGCAAGTCAAACTCCTTTATTTCCTCAATTCTGCACAGAATAATATAAACCATCCTTTCTGTAGGACTTCCAATTAATGACCAGCTATATTGGTAGTAGAATATATATGTGGAAACATAAAGCTGGCATAGGATTCCTACCATTGATTGAGCCTGGTTCACAGTCCCCTCACCTCTTCCCTGGCCATTTGCTCCTATTTTTTTTTTGTTTGTTTTTTGTTTTTTGTTTTTTTTTTATTGAGACAGAGTCTCGCTCTGTTGCCCAGGCTGGAGTGTGGTGGCACGATCTTGGCTCACTGCAACCTCCACCTCCTGGGTTCAAGCAATTTCAAGCAATTCTCCTACCTCAGCCTCCTGAGTAGCTGGGATTACAGGCACCCACCACAACGCCTGGCTAATTTTTGTATTTTTAGTAGAGACAGGTTTTCACCATGTTGGCCAGGCTGGTCTCAAACTCCTGACCTCAAGTGATTCACCCGCCTCGGCCTCCCAAAGTGCTGGGATTACACAGGTGAGCCACCGCGCCTGGCCTGCTACTCTTTTATTAGGCTTAATCTGAAAGCTGTTTCCCCATGGAAGGCTTTTATGAGTCCCTTGGTCAGGCAGATTCACTTGTTTTATGGTGTCTTGGTATCATATATTTGTCCTAACATAACCCTTCTCTTCTTTGAAATTGCTAGATTATCGTTTGTCTTTCCTTTGCGAATAGCAGACAGCAAGTCTGTCTTGGGCTCTACTGTATCCCCAGGGTCTAGATCAGTGAATGGAACCGAGTATTTGCTGGATTAATGGGTGTTGAGTGACAGAATGAGTAAATGAGTGACTGAAGGGTCAGGACTAAATGTAGAAATGGAGTCTCCTGATTTCCAGGTTCAAGACACTCTTTTCCATCCACTGGGCTTATTTTAAGACTCCAGGCTCTTCTAAGGGAGTCCCAGAAGATGCCATCATTCCTCCCCATGCTTGTGCCTTTCACAAAGCATTTCTAGGTAAATTTCCCAAATGTTCATTGCCTACATTGGGCCATGTCCTATGCTTGGATTGAGGAACAAGGGGTGTAAACACCACTCTTGAAGTGCTTTTTGTTTAATAGAGGTAGAATACAAGTTCTAGAGCCAGGCTGCTTGGATTTAAAGTTCAACTCTTTCATTTCCCAGCAATAAGACCTTGAGGAAGCTATTTAATTTCTCTCTGCCTCAGTTTTCTTATCAGATAATAGCAGAATCTATCTCATAGTGTTACCATAAAGATTAAACAGTCAATAATTGCACAACACTTAGAATAATGCCTAGCTCATAGTGAACACTAAGCATTAACTGTTATTATTATTTTTGCAAGTAGGTTTTGGATAGAAGTTTAATTCTGGGGAAAAAATACCTTTTCTCTAGCACCATTTTCTTACCTTTTTATGGGTAGTCAAATAAAAAAAGAACCACTGTATTTTCTTGTCATACTGTCTCCCTACTTGCTGGCTGTGTGAACTTGGGCATATTCTTTATTTTCTCTAAGCCTCACTGTCCCCACCAGCAATATGCGACCAGTAATAATATCTCCCTCCTAGGCTGTTTTAAGAGCTAAAACAGAAAGTAAAACACCCAATACTTCCTGGTCCATGATAAGAGCTACTGAGCTGTCCACAGGAGCAGTACCTAAGAAACAGGGATATGTCCCAATTGCTGGAAAAACTGGGCCACCATCAGTCCTTTGTCCACGAAGTAGCCTTCTCTAGAAAACCAGTGACTTTCTTGATGTCACAAAGACGTACCTCTAACTTCAGCACTAACGCTTGATAGGCAACAAGGCTTAGTTGCTTTCCTGTCCATCCAACTTTTCAATGGATTTTAAATTAGTTGAGCATCTTACTGTTTCTCAAGGCAATTCACTAGGTGTTACGGAGGAGACAGTAATGAATCTGACTTCCCTCCTTCAAGTCAATTAGAAAGTATAAGGAATTCTTGCGATAGTTTACTGAGAATGATGATTTCCAATTTCATCCATGTCCCTACAAAAACCAAACACTGCATATTCTCACTCATAGGTGGGAATTGAACAATGAGATCACATGGACACAGGAAGGGGAATATCACACTCTGGGGACTGTGGTGGGGTGGGGGGAGGGGGGAGGGATAGCATTGGGAGATATACCTAATGCTAGATGACGAGTTAGTGGGTGCAGCGCACCAGCATGGCACATGTATACATATGTAACTAACCTGCACAATGTGCACATGTACCCTAAAACTTAAAGTATAATTAAAAAAAAAAAAGAAAGAAAGTATAAGGAATTCACAAATAGATCAAAGGTCAAAAGAGAGTAAAAACAGAAAACATGCTTTGTAGACATCTTATATAAATAGTATCATACAATATGAACTCCTCTCTCTCTCTCTCTCTCTCATTCGTGTGTGTGTGTGTGTGTGTGTGTGTCTAGCTTCTTTCACTTCACATTTTATTTTCATGGTTTATCTATGCCATAGAATGTATTGGTATTGTCTCCATTTTTATTCCTGAATAGTCTTTTGTTGTTTGGATACGCCATGGGTCTGGGAGTGGGGATGGGAATTCACTGTAACCAGGCATAAAGAATATTATTGGGGTGATGAAAGTGTTCTAGAACTGGATTATGGTAATGGTTGCACAACTCTTATTCAAAATCATTAAATTATATACTTAAAACGGATCCATTTTATGGTAGATAAATGATACCTCAATAAAACCATTAATCAAATATTAATTGCAAATAGAACTGAGAGTGGAGAAATCATTTCTGGTTTTGGACATTAGGAAAGGCTTCCTGGAGGAGGTGGCATACATGATGGACTTGATAAGTTGAACTGGCCCAAACGCTAATAGTGTCCAGAATTGCCTGCTATGAGCCCTTCATAAGACATCTCACTTAATTCTCAGAACAACTGCATTGTACAGATGAGGTAACCTGGAAGCAGATGTTGAGTGGCCAACGTAAAGCTACGCAAGTAACATGTAATGGAACTGAGCCTGCAGCTCATATCCCTTCAGCATCAAAGCCCAGGCCTATAACCACTCTAGAATCCCACCTCTGGTCACTGCTCTTAAATCTCTGCAAATACGGGGATGCAGTGGTTTTTTTGGAGCAATCTGTCATAATCTTGTTTGCCCAAAGACGGCCTAATTTGCCACTATCTAACCAAATTCAAACCTTATGGCAAGGTAACGTAATAAAACCACCCTTCTAATAACGCACCTGCTTAAGGCAAATGAATTGCTCAGATATAAAATTAGAATTGCGCTCTCAAAGTGCACGAGACCTGGAGGATACATTGTGCTTTAACATTGATTTCAATTACGTCTTAACCTTCAGCATGATGATGTGACATTATACTCTTCTCTCACTGACTGCTGCTGTACACTTTCTTTTATTTCTCTTGTTAAATATGAGCTTTGCCGTGTTCCATCGATCTCTGCAAATATTCTGCTGTTTACAACTTTGATAATCTTTGTGTAATCTGTAGGAGTAATTGGATTCCTGCAAATGTGCCTGAATTTTCAACAGCACTGAGATGGGGAAAAATGGGGAACCCGACACAATGGAAGAATCCCAGGTTCAGAAACCACTTTTGTTCTCTAGTTAAAGTTGACCTTTTCTCTCAGGTTTGAAAGGTTATGTCCTAATAAGTTTGGATGCTGTAACAGAAAGGATGTGGTTTCTTTAAATGAAGCAAGGCTGTAAAAGTCACTGCTCTGTGGCCCCTTAGATTCTATTACTGCTGTGGCTGGTTATTATTTTATTCAATAAAATAAGGATGAAGGGGTTCTCATGTGTTAAAAAACATCACTCTCTTCTGGCAAACAGACACACACACACACTCACACACACACACACACACACACATGCACGCACACAAAACCTTTGAGTCCTTAGTTTTGTTACTTTTTGTGCCATTAGCCCTTCCTAGGGCTCTTTTCCATCAACAAAAGGAACATGGAAGGGAAAGTGGCCAGTGCTGGTTTCTTACCTTTTAAAAAAATTCTTCTTTTTTTAATTTTTAATTTTTATCAGTACATAGTAGGTGTGTACTGGTTTCTGATCTTGACTCTGCTACTTGCTAGCTGGGTGACCTTGGGCAAAGTAACCTCTCTATGCTTTACTCCCCTGTATTTAAAATAGGAAATAATAACAATATTTACATTATAGGGTTGTTAGGAGGATACATTAGTTAATTTTTCAAATGCTTAGACCATCGGCATAGAGCAAGCATGACAAATTTTTTAGCTAAATGGAATTAAAGGGGAAAAATGTCATATGGATGCTATTTTGCTAGAGTTTAGTTTATGGTGGGGCTTGGTACTTTTATATCAGGCTCAGAAAAGCACCTTTAAAAGAAGGGAGCCACATCAAGGAGGGTGACCTCAGGGCCTGTGAGACAGAGAGGTGACGGTGTAGAAGAGATCACATGTGACAGCATTCCCACAGCCTGGCCTCCACCTGCAACAACCAGCACTGTCCATCATCACTGTCCCATTACCAATGAATTATTTTTACTCTTTTTAAATAAGTGAAGTATTAGCTTTGATGTTTTCTGATCATGACAATATTTTTAGATAAGAACATTTTAAACATTCCAACAGTAAGAGACTATTGAAAATAAATGAAATTCATTGAATAGAAGTAATTAAAATAATAATGTAACTCTTTAAGCATTGCAATGGAAAGATGTTAATGATATATTGTTATGAGCTCATTATTGGGAAAAATGTATTTAGGAGTAAGTATGGATGGTTATATGATGATTTGGCATTTTATTTGGGTTGTAAAATAGTGGCTGATTTTTTTTTTCATTTCTTTATTTTTACCCTTTTTTTGGTAAATTTCTTTATTGTTTGTCCGATTCTTCTCAATTCATGTAAAAGCTCATGCATCGTTTAAATTTATGCCAACTGTTGTACCATCTTGTCCAACCCCCCACCTCATTGCTATCTGACCTTTAGGCATTCTCTATGATGAATAAAGACTTCGGCATGTGGTCTTCAACTTCACCCCAATTACTACCACTTTTTCTGGGACTTCAATATGCAAAGGTGGCTCAAGCCAGCATCCTGTCCTCACAAGACCTTGACTTCCTTAGAGCCAAGGAGGAAGTCTTCTGTATCCCACCAACTCAGCCAGCCACACCCACCCAGAACCACCCCCTGCATGGTCCCCATTAGAAGCTGCTCCTCTCTGGAATCACTGATTCAAACACCTCAGGCTGACCACCCCCTTCTATCCCTCCAATTCTCTGTGGGATATATCTGTGTCTGTGTGTCACAGATACCTCCAACATACAATGACTGAAACTGAGAGGAGTCAGATGTACACCCATATATTTAAACTTTAATCAAATTTGCTGATGTCAGAAGATTGGGGCTCCCTTTCCTGTGAGCAGTTTTGAGGTGGAAAGGAGCTGCAAAGACTCATGCCAAAGTACAGACTCATGTGTCGATAATTCTTCATAGATCAGGGCATTTTATTAACTGCAAGACAAGTACATTCTTAAATAGGTGGCTGAGCTTGGGTTTTTTGTACACTACCATAAACACATGTATTAGAGTGATGAGCCTCTAGTTGTTGTGGCTGAGTCTTGTTGCTTCAGATGTAAGTGGTCAGATACGCAAGAATGGCAGCAAGGACACCACATGTGGACACCACAATTGTCTTTTGAACCAGTTATAACATCTATCCATTCTCTCATGAGTTGAATGGAATATTTTAAGACATGTTTGTTTTATATCTGTATGCCTGGCATGATTTTAACTTGTTTTAAGATATCCTTTACTTCTTTTAGATTTCACAACATGCTCAATGGATTTACCTACCATAGATAGGTAAACACTGTTGACAGAGAAGAGTACCTCATGCATGCTTCAAACCCAGGAGTGTTTTTTGTTTTTTTTTTGTTTGTTTTTGACTCCTCTTAATTGAATCCAAAACACCAACAGAACTTTGTTGATGTTTCGTTTTTCTATATTTAATTTTCCTCTCAAATAAATTTATATTATTGTTTTGTTTTTGGTATATTTACAGCAGATAAATTATTCCCAATTTTTGGCAGCAGTGGGTGGGAATTTATTTTTATGGTCTGATCATTGGCAATCTTTGGAACTAGATTAATGGTTTATAGAAATCTAGTCTATATTGGGTGAGAGACACAAAGAACTGGTTTGTCATTTTTGAGGTCTTTTTAGTTCAAGTCAATTAAGAATTTCATGCCTTCCAGGAGTAGAACAGCTCTTTCACGTGTGGGCCAGTGAGTTTTTCTCTTTCTGTGTTTACTCTTGATCTATGGATGAAGTTGTAGAATTGAAGATATAAGCTCTATTTCTCTGTACCTGTATGTCTATGTGTCTGAAATTCAGAAATGCCTTTACCTGTGATTGTGTGCGTAATGTTTTCCTGCCTCTGCATAGTATTAAAACATGGGCATATAAAATCTCTTAAAGGAGCTGTTTTTATTGGCGTATATGTGCTTTTATAAATCTAATATTTTTAAAATTACATGAAAATAAGGATATCATATTATGGATATTTTAAATATGCTAGATTTTAAAATCATCTTCCACAAAACTATTTTAATGATTCAAATTCACATAATTTAGGTAAATCTTTGGCAAACAAGACAAGATTAATCTTTACTGTTTAATTAAAACAACGATTTCTTCTTTGATCTATCAATATTGAATATATTACAAATGCACCTTTAAAACAATTGGGTATATTTTTCCTAAACTTATACGTGTACACTGATTACATAGATTAGTATTACTTCTAGGTATTGTTTAACATTATGAAAAACGTAAATGTAGGTTTAACCAAATTGAATCATTTTTCTGATGAACTTATATGTCCATAGTAACAAGGGTTTTGCTTCAGATTTTGAGACTCTGTTGCTAGGTGCATATATGTTTATAATTCTCATATATTCTGGATGGATTGACACTTTTATTAATTTATAAGATTCTTCTTTGTCCTTAAAACAATTTTTGAATTGATGCCTGTTTTGTGTGATGTTAGTATAGCCACCCCAGGTATCTTTTCTTTGCCATATGAATGGAATATATTTTTCCATTATCTCACTTTCAACATATTTGTGTCTTTGAAACTAAAGTAAGTCTCTTGCATAGACATCATATAGTAAGACTGTTTTTAAGAAAAAAATCATTCTTCCAATTAATGCCTTTTAATTAAATATTTTAATCCATGGTATTAAATATAGTTAGTGATAAGAAAGGACTTATCTTTGTGATGTTAAAATGTGTTTTCTTTAGGTCTTATATCTTTTTCCCCTTAATTCCTTTATTTATACCTTATTTTGTGATTAACTGATTTTTTACTAGTAAACCATTTTGATTCCCTTTTCATTTATTTTCCTTCTCATTTATTTTAGGTTTTCTCCCTGTTAGTGGTTACATGGGGGATTACAATTAACATCTATATTTTATAACAATCAAGTTTGAATTAATACTAACTTACTCTCAATAGTATACAAAAAAATACTCTTTTACAAACTGTACTCTCCCTAAGTTGTTATTATCAAAAATACAACTTAATAGATTGTGTGCCAATGAACATATGTTTATAGTTATTGTTTCAAGTATTTGTCTTTTAAATTATACAGGAAAAACTCATTTTTCTTACTTGTATACCTTAGTCTACTACTTTTAATTATCTTTAGTAGAATCAACAGATAATCAAAAGATAATCAAACGTTTAAAAATTCTAGTCTTCGAAAACATTGTGAATAGAGTGAAAAAAGCAGCTACAGAGTAGAAGAAAATATTTGTAGATGATTTATCTGATAAAAAATTCAACGCCCAGCTAATATATATATATATTTTTTGTATTTTTAGTAGAGACGGGGTTTTACCACATTAGCCAGGATGGTCTCGATCTCCTGACCTCATGATCCGCCCGCCTTGGCCTCCCAAAGTGCTGGGATTACAGGCGTGAGCCACCACGCCTGGCCAAAAATTCAAAATATGTATATATATTTTAGAAACATCACAAAATTCAATGATAAGAAAATAAGCCATCCAATAAAAAACCGGTAAACATATTTGAACATTCATTAATCAAAGAAAATATAAAAATTGCATATAAGCACACAGAAAGATTCTGAAAGTCATGAGTCATAGGAAAATGCAATCAGATGTCACAATGAGATACAGCTACCAACCAATCAGCATGGCTAAAAAAATTGACAATACCCAGTGCTGGTGAAGTGAGGAGCATATGGAATGCTCATGTATTGCTGGTAGGAAAATAAAATAGTAAGGCCACTTTGCAAAAGGATTTACACGTTTCTTATAAAATTAATCATATACCTACTGGTCAGTAGTCCATTCCTATGAATTTACTAAGTAAAATGAAAACTTATGTTTTTTTAAAAAAAACCTCTCCCAGTACTTTGGGAGACTGAGGTGGGAGGATCTCTTGAGGACAGGAGTTTGAGGCCAGCATAGACAACATAGAAAGACCCCATTTCTACAAAAGCTTAAAAAAAAAAAAAAAGCCATTCCTGGTGGTTCATGTTTATAGTCCCAGCTACTCGGGAGGCTGAGGCAGAAGGATTGCTTGTGCCCAAGAGTTTGAGGCTACAGTGAGCCATGATTGTGCCACTGCACTCTAGTCTGGGCAACAAAGTGAGACCCTGTCTCTAAAAAGCAAAAGAAAAAAAAAAACTCTATGAGAATGTTTATGATGCCTTTCTTTGTAATTTCCCACACTGAAAATAACTCATGTCCTTCAACAGATGAACGCATAAATAAACTGTAGTCAATTCCCTCCAATGGAATACTACTCAGTAATAAAAAGGAATGAACTGTACACATAACAGCACAGATAAATCTCAAATTCGTTATGCCAAGTGAAAGAAGACAAAATTAAAGGCTGCATTCTATATGACTCCATGTATATATAATTCCAGAAAATGCTTAATTATAAAGACTTGTGTTTGCCAGGGGCTGTGGGCTGGGGAAGAAGCTGACAAGGAAGACACACAGGGAAATTTGGGGGAAGATATGAAATTTTGTGTATTTTGATTGTAGTAGTGATTACATAGCTGTGTACATTTATCCACACTCAAAGAACTACACACTAAATAGGTTGAATTCTACAGTATGTAATTATACATTAATAAAAAAATGAAAATAATGCTGGGCATTGTCCTGTAAGTCTAACTAACTAAATATTCAACCATCCTATGCTGTAAAGACCATAGCTGTTCCCAGTTTTTTTTTTTTATATTTAGTCAAATTGCCTACAAGAAGAAACTGAGGCAAAGGGAAGTCTTTCCCTGGATCATCAGCCATTAAGTAGGACATGGGCGTCATGCCTTTGTTCTTCACCTCAAGGATTTGCCATCAGACAGATTCATGTCAGTCTGTTGCAGCCACTATTTTACAGAGACAATAAATTCCTAAGGACCAGAATGCCACAGCCTCTATCCAAGGCGTCATCTTTTATTTACTATGATGCCTAAGTAGTTACCATATCAAAAATGGGCAGAGGTGTGAGAAGAATAGATGAAGTTTGAAGAACTTTAATTCCAAACTATGGAAAAAAATGATGACATGAATTCTGATAAAGTAGAAAATCTTTCTTAATTATTGTATTGCTTTTGCCACCCAAATCTAATGGTGAACACTGCTAAATTCACACTGTTCAGTTTTGTTGAGCTCCTTTTTTCTTCTATGTTGAAGACAACTGATTAATGGCTATAAATAAGAATATGTATATGGATATAAATAACTCGTATTTATCCCACTGTTTAAAGTATACCAAATCCCTCTTAGAAGTCCGGGGAAATGATCTCCTCTATCTATGCATATAAATTTACATAATTTTATGCATATAGCTTTCTTAAGATTCAAACCCAGAAAATTGCAGACAGTCTCACCAAGGGAGGTGTTCACCCTTAAGTTCTCTCCAATGAATACTGTCCCATTAATTTGAGATCTGGTTCATCCATTAGCAATCACAGTTTCGAGAGCTGGCAGAACACAGAACCCTAAGGTTGGATTATACACAAAGGGATGATTTCATTTTATCTTCCAGAATACAGATTCAAAAAATATCAAACTATTTATTTTTACATCAATATAAAAATCATCCAAATAGTTACTTCATGGAGGTTGGCATACCAATTTATTTAAAAGAGCACTGTCATCTCCTTTTCAAATTCTAGAAACCTCTCACCTTATTTGAGAATTTAAAAGATAACTGCCAATTTGGGGAGAAATGGACTCTGCATATAGCCAAATAGAAGGTGAATTATTTGTCGAATAACTGCCTGTTTTCATATAGATATAAAAAAGTTGTACAGATAAAAAATATTCATTGTTTTATCTACACAGAATACAAAAAAATCTATAATCTTACACCACAGACAGAACATATTTTACAAAATTAAGATCATAGAACACATAATATATCCCAGCTTACATTCAGATTATTTTGCTTAATAGAATACCATATGCGTTGTCTTGTGTCATTAAATATTCTTCTGCAACGTGATTTTAATGGCCTTATAATCTTTCATTGTATGACCACATCATAATTTATTTTGCAAATCTTCTATTGTGAATACTTATGTCTTTGTAATTTATCACTATTATAAATAATGTCGTGGTAACAGCCTGTGTGCATTTCTGAGTATTTCCTTTGGATAAATTCCTGGAAGTAGAATTACTAGGGGAGAGGATATAAACACTTTTATGAACCTTTGGATACATCTTGCCAAATTACTCTCAAGAAAGGATAAAACAATTTATTCTCCTACCATCGTGACTTTATTATCCCACCACACCCTTGACAACAGGAGATTTTCCATATGTAATTTTATTCTTTGTCAATTTGATAGATGAATAATAGCATTTCATTGTTGTTTTAATTTGCATCTATTTGATTACAAAATAGGCTGATTCTATTAGGTCTATAGTATCCACATGTATGCTTGTGAATTTCAATTCATGTCTCTTGAGTCTTTTTTTGTTAGATGTTCCTCTTTTTTATTGATCCACTGAGGTTATTTAAATATTAAATATATTAGCTTTGGAAGAAAAGCTGGTGATAAGAATGTGCATAGAAAACATTCTGATAGCATAAACCCCCGACGATTAATGCTGGCTATTTTATCTCTGGGGATGAGGATAAGTGGCAAGAAAGAAATGATGGTTATTCTCAGTTGACCGTTTCAACCTGACCCATTCTCCAGCCTTTCCTGTTCTCTATGCCCCAGGAGGCTGATCCCTATGCATTAAATTGCTAAGGCCCCTCTTGCCCTGTATTTTCCTGTTGGTTTCGCCTAATGGGCATCCATGACAATAGATGAGAGGGCAAGAAGAGAGAGAGGAGGGGTATTTATATTCTCTCGCACTCTCTGCATGTTCTTTCTTTCTTTTTCTCTCTCCTTTCTTTCTTTCTTTCTTTCTTTCTTTCTTTCTTTCTTTCTTTCTTTCTTTCTTTCTTTCTTCTTTCTCTCTTTCTTTCTTTCCTTTTTTTTTGATTTCGAAATCTTGCTCTGTGGCCCAGGCTGGAGTGCAGTGACATGATCTTGGCTCACTGCAACTTCCATCTCCCAGGTTCAAGTGATTCTCCCACCTCAACCTCCTGAATAGCTGAGATTACAGGCACCCACCAGCACCCCTGGCTAATTTTTGTATTTTTAGTAGAGACGGGGTTTCACCATGTTGACCAGGCTGGTCTTGAACTCCTGATGTCAGGTGATACCTGCCCCTGCCTCCCAAAGTACTGGGATTACAGGCATGAGCCACCACACCCAGCCCTCTGCCTGTTTTTCTAGGATTCTGGTCTATCCTGCATTCCTCTGTGCTCATAGCTTCTGTCAGATGTGGATCCAACTGTTGGTCTAGAAACTCACCTCCTTTCTTATGGCCACTGTCAACCTGGGTGACACCAACTTCCGGCTGCTGCTGGTCCTTAGTATGCCACCATCCTCTGTTGATTCCCTTCTTGGTGCCAACATCTCTGCATATTGCACCTTTATTTAGCTTTCTGTTTAAAGTGTGTCCATTGAGTGTCTCACCTGCTTCTGGCAGGACCCTCTCACACAGCAGGTGATTAATTTTTCACCTTAAATATTCCTGTAGTGTTTGTTGATTTCATTTTTTTCACAATAATTGTGTAGGAATTTTGCAATTAATTGTGGTTTCCCTGGCCACTGAGATTTGTTCTTCTGTCATTTGATAAACACTGTTCATTTTTCTATTGAGTTATTGGCCTCTTTATCATCAGTTTGTAAGAGTTCATTGGCTATTACTGATTTTTAGCCATTGCATATTATCTACACTATAAATATAAATGTTCCCCCAAGCCTAACATTTATAT
This sequence comes from Homo sapiens, assembly GCF_000001405.40. Taxonomy (NCBI): domain Eukaryota; kingdom Metazoa; phylum Chordata; class Mammalia; order Primates; family Hominidae; genus Homo; species Homo sapiens. The sequence goes on from NC_000016.10 coordinate 26,239,438, forward strand.
TTTGATTTCGTTTAAAATATGTTTGGACATACAAACATAAAATTATATTTAGTCAAATTGCCTACATATTCTTCTGTAGCCTCTGGGTATGCTGTCCTGATTAATAAACTTCATTATCCTAAATATATACAGCCTAAATATATATAGTTTCCTTCTCGTTGATGCACATTTAGGCTATTTCCAATTTTTGGTTATTTTGAATAATGTTACGAATACTTGTGTGCAACTCTTTGTGTGAATATAAAGTTATTCTTTTATGTAATGTAAGGTAAAAGTCATTCGTAGTCAGGAAAATGAAACTAATGCAGCAATTGGAGGAGAAGCAAGATGGCAGAATAGATGGCTCCACCAATTGTCCCCCCAATAAGGACCCCAATTCAACAACTATCTACAAAGAAAAATCACCTTCATAAGAACCCCAAATCAGGCAAGTCTTCATCGTATCTGGTTTTAACTATGTATGGCTGAAAGAGGCACTGAAGAGATAGAAAAAACAGTCTTGAATCACAGATACCACCTTTCACCCACAGCAGCAACAGCGTGGTGCAGAGAGCATCTCTGGGTGCTGGGGCAAGAAGAACACAGCAATTGTAAGGCACTGAACTCAGTGCTGTCCTGTTAGAGCAGAAAGGAGAACTGGACCAGACTCAACTGAGGCCCGCCCACGGAGGGAGCATTTAAACCAGTCCTAGCCAGAGGGGAATCACCCATCCCAGGGATTAGAATGTCACTTCCTGCAAACCTCACCACTGTAGGCTATAGCACTCTGTGTCTCTAAGCAAACCTGAAAGACAGTCTAGGTCATAAGGACTATAAATCTAAGGTGAGTCCTAGGGCTGAACTGGGCTCAAAGAAAGTGGAGTGGGGGAGCATGCAACCTACTGAGACAGCAGCTGGGGTGGTTAAGGGAGTGCTGGCATCACCCCTCCCCTAACCCCAGGCTGCACAGCTTGCAGTTCTAAAAGAGACCCCTTCCTTCCACTTGAGAAGAAGAGAGGGAAGAGTGGGGGAAATAATTTGTTTTGCATCTTAGATACCAGCTCAGCCACAGCAGGATAGGGCACTGGTCAGAGTTGTGAGGTCCCTGTTCTATGCCCTAGCTCCTGGACTACATTTCTGGACACACTCTGGGCCAGAAGAAAACCCACTGCCTTGAAGGGAAGGCCCCAGTCCTGGCAGCATTTATCACCTGCTGACTGAAGAGCCCTTGGTCCCTGAAAAACCATCAGTGACACCCAGGTACTACATCAAGGGCCTTGGGTGAGTCTCTGAGACTTTCTGGCTTCAGGTGAGATTCAGCACATTACTAGCAGCAGTGGCTATTGGCCAAAATCCTATTTGAGAAAAATGGAGGAAAAAGTAAAGGGAACTTGGTCTTTACCTTTAGGTACCAGCATGGCCACAGTGGGGTAGAACACCAAGCAGGCTTCTGGAGTGCCTGATTATAGGACTTGACTTAGATGGCATCTCTAAGTGCCATCTAAGTGCATCCTGGAAGAGAGCCCACTGCCTTGAAAGGTGAGTCCCAGCCAGGTAGCATTCTTCACAAGTTGTCTTAAGAGCCCTTATGCCTTAAGGGAACGTCAGCGGTAGTCTGGCAGAACTCCCCAGGGCCTGTGGTGGCAGTGGCTACGGGGTAGGCTCCTCTGCCTTTCGAAAGGGAAGCGAAGAGTGGGAACAATTGTATCTTGTGTGTTGAGTGCCAGCTCAGCTGCGGTATAGTAGAACACAAGGTAGACTTCTCAGGATTTTGACTCTAGTCTCTGACTCCTGGGTGGCACCTCTGGACCACCTGGGCCTGAGGGAACTTGGCACTCTGAAGGGAAGGATGCATGCCTGTCTGGCTTTGCCACCTGCTGATTATAGAGATCCAGGGCCTGGAGCAAACATAGGTAGTTGCCAGGGAGTGGTTATAGCAGGCCTTGGGTGAGACCTAGTGCTGTGCTGGCTTCAGGTCTGACTCAGCACAGTCATAGTGGTGGTGGCCACAGGGGTGCTTGTGTCACTCCATCCCCAGCTTTAGGTGGCTCAGAACAGAGAGAGAGACTTTGTTTGTTTGGGAGAAAGTAAGGGAAGAGAACAAGAGTCTCGGCCTGGTAATCCAGAGAATTATCCTGGATCTTGCCGAAGACCATCAAGGTGTTACCTCTAAGAATCTGCAAAAACTACAGCATTATTGGGGTTGGGGGTGCCCATGAAGCAGTTACAGCTTAGATCACAGCACCCAAGTCTTTTCAAATATCTGGAAAGCCTTCCCAAGAAGGACAGGCACAAACAAGCTTAGATAGTAAAGACTATAATAAATATCAAACTCATCAATGCCCAGACAGCAAAGAACATCTACTAGCATCAACACCATCCAGGAAAACTTGACTTCTCAAATGAACTAAATAAGCCACCATGGACCAATCCTGGAGAAACAGAGATATGTGACCTTTCAGAGAGAGAATTCAAAATAGCTGTGTTGGGGAAACTCAAAGAAATTAAAGATAACACAGAGAAGGAATTCAGAATTGTATAAGCTAAATTTAACAAAGAGATTGAAATAATTAAAAAGAAGCAAGCAGAAATTCTGGAGCTGAAAGATGCAATTGGCATAACGGAGAATGCATTTGAGTCTTTTAATAGCAGAATTGATCAAGCAGAAGAAAGAGTTAGTGAGCCTGAAGAGAGGCTATTTTAAAATACACATTCAGAGGAGACAAAAGAAAAAAGAATAAAAAACAGTGAAGCACACCTACTGGATCTAGAAAACAGCCTCGAATTTGTTCAAGAGCATTGAACAGATCTTCCAGACAAAGAGACTGCAGCCTTAATCAGAACTATAGACCAAGTGGATCCAATAGATAGTTACAGAACATTTTATCCAAGAGTTGCAGAATACATATTCTTTTCCTCAGTACATGGATCATTCTCAAGGATAGACTATGTTAGGTCACAAAATAAGTTTTAAAACATTCAAAATAATTGAAATAATATCAAGCATATTCTCTGACCACAATGTAATAAAACTAGAAATTAACAACAAGAGGAATTTAGAAAACTATACAAATACATGGAACTTAAACAATATGCTCCTGAATGACCAGTGGGTCAATGAAGAAATTAAGACAGAAATTGAAAAATTTCTTGAAAGAAATCATAATGAAAATAGAACTTATCAAAACCTATGGGATACAGTAAAACCAGTACTAACAGGGAAGAGTATAGCTATAAGGGTCTACGTCGAAAAAGAGAAAAAACTTTCAAATAAACAATGTAACAGTGCATTTTAAAAAACTAGAAAAGCAAAAGCAAAACAAACCAACCAAAATTAGTAGAAAATAATAATAATAAAGATAAGAGCAGAAATAAATGAATTTAAAACAAAAAACACAGAAGATCAATGAAACAAAAGTTGTTTTTTAAAAAAGTTAAACAAAATTGGAAAACCTTTAGCCATCTTAAGAGAAAAAGAGAAGATACAAATAAATAAAATCGGAAATGAAAAAGGAGACATTACCACTAATACTGCAGAAATTCAAAGGGTCATTAGCATTAGTGGCTACCATGAGCAACTATATACCAATAAGTTGGACAATCTAGAAGAAATGAACACATTTCTAGACACATACAAGCTATGAAGATTGAACCAGGAAGAAATAAAAAACCTGTACAGACTGATAACAAGATTGAAGCCATAATAAAAAGTGCCCCAATAAAGAAAAGTCCAGGACCCTAAGTCTTTAAACATTTAAAGAAGAACTAATACCAATCCTACTCAACCTATTCTGAAACGATAGAGGAGAAGGAAATACTTTCAAACTCATTCTACACAGCTAGTATTACCCTGATACCAAAACTAAAGATGCATCAAAAAAAAAAAAAGAAAACTACTGACCAATGTCTTTCATGAATATTAGTGCAAAAATCCTCAATGAAATACTAGCAAAACAAATTCAGCAATACATTAGAAATATCATTCATCATAACCAAGTGGGATTTATTCCCGGGATGCAAGGATGGTTCAACATATGCAAATCAATCAGTGTGATACATCACAGCAACAGAATGAAGGATAAAATTCATATCATCATTTCAATTGACGCCAAAAAGGCATTTGATAAAATTCAACATCCCTTCATGATGAAAACCCTAAAAAGGTTATGGAAGGAACATAGCTCAATCTAATAAAAGCCATATATGACAGACCCACATCTAGTATTATACTGAATGGGGGAATCCAAAAGCCTTTCCTCTAAGATCTAGAACACAACAAGGATGTCCACTTTCACCACGTTATTCAACATAGTACTGGAAGTGCTAGCTAGGGCAATCAGAGAACAGAAAGAAATAAAGGGCATCCAAATTGGAATGGAAAGGTGAAATTATTCTGGTTTTCAGATGACATGATCTTATATTTGGAAAAACCCACAGACTCCACACAAAAAACTATTAGAACTGATACATTTAGTAAAGTTGCAGGATACAAAATCAACTCACAAAAAATCAGTAGCATATATGCCAACAGTGAGCAATCTAAAAAATAGATGAGAAAGTAATTCCATTTATAAAAGCCACAAATAAAATTAAATATCTAGGAATTCATGTAACCAAAGAAACAAACAAAAAAACCTCTATAATGAAAATGACAAAACACTGATGAAATTGAAGAGGACACCAAAAAAAATGGAAAAAATATTCCATGTTTGTGGAATAGAAGAACTGATATTGTTAAAATATATATATTCCCCAAACCAATCCACAGATTCAATGTAATCTCTATCAAAGTACTAATGACATTCTTCATAGAAATTTTAAAAAAATTCTAAAATTTATATGAAACCACAAAAGACCCAGAATAGCCAAAGCTATCCTGAGCAAAAAGAACAAAACTGGAAGAATCACATTACCTGACTTCAAATTATACTGCAGAGCTGTACTTACCAAAATAGCATGGTACTGGCATGAAAACAGACACATAGACCAATGGAACAGCATAGAGAAACAAGAAACAAATCCACACACCTACAGTGAACTCATTTTCAACAAAGGTGCCAAGAACATACACAGGGGCAAGGACAGTCTCTTCAATAAATGGTGCTGAGGAAACTGAATATCCATATCCCTGTCTCTCACCATATACAAAATTAAAATCAAAACGGATTAAAGACTTAAAGCTAAGACCTCAAATTATGAAACTACTGCAAGAAAACACTGGGGAAAATCTCCTGGACACTGGTCTGAGCAAAAACTTTTGAGCAACACCCCACATGCAACCAAAGCAAAAATGAACAAATTGGATCACATCAAGTTAGAAAGCTTCTACACAGAAAAGAAAACAATCAACACAGTGAAGAGGCAACCCCCAAAAAGGGAGAAAATATTTACAAATTACCTTTCTGACTAGGGATTAATAACTTGAATTTATAAGGAACTTGAAAAACTCTATAGGAAAAAAAATCCTATAATCCAATAAAAAATGGGCAAAATATTGGAATAAACATTTTTCAAAAGAAGACATGCAAATGGCAAACAGGCATATCTGATTATCAACATCATTGATCATCAGGGAAATGCAAATCAAAACTATAATGAGATATCATCTCACCCCGGTTAAAATGGCTCATCCAAAAAACAGAAATAACAAATGCTGGCAAAGATGTGGAGAAAAAGGTACTCTTGTACACTGTTGGTGGGAATGTAAATTAGTACAACCACTATGGAGAATAGTTTGGAGGTTCCTCAGAAAACTAAAAATAGAGCTACCATATTATCCAGCAATCCCACTGCTGGGTATATACCCCAAAGAAAGAAAATCAGTATATCAAAGAGATATCTGCACTTTCCTGTTTGTTGCAGCACCGTTTACGATAGCTAAGATTTGGAAGCAACCTACACGTCCATCAACAGATAAATGGTTAAGGAAAATGTGGTACGTATATGCAATGGAATACTATTCAGCCATAAAAAGGAAGGGAATCCTGTCATTTGCAACAATGTGAATGGAACTGGAGATCATTATGTTAAGTGAAATAAGCCAGGCACAGAAAAACAAGCATCACATGTTTTTAATTATTTGTTGGATCTAAAATTTAAAACAATTGCCCGGACATAGAGAGGAGAAGGAGGCTGGGAAGAGTAGTGAGAGGTTTGGAGGGAGGTGGGGATGGTTAATGGCCACAAAAAAAAATAGAAAGAATGAATAAAAGATTGACTGCACAACAGAGTGACTATAGTCACAAATAACTTAATTGTGCATTTTAAAATAACTAAAAGAGTATAATTGGATTGTTTGTAACACAAAATATAAATATTTGAGGGTATGGATACGCTATTCTTTATGATGTGATTATTTCACATTGCATGCCTGCATCAAAACATCTCTTGTACCTCACAAATATGTACCTACTATGTATCCACAAAAATTTTAACATCAAAAATAGAAAAAAAAACGCAGTGACAAAATATGACTTTAATTTCAAGAGTTTGGAGAAAATTGAAAATTATAAAACTTATTCCTGGTGGGCATAATGGGAAAAATGTTGTCTCAAAAGTTACTGGAGAAAGTATAAATTTTTATAGTCTTTTTGGAAAGCAAAATGGCAACAGCTCTTAAAATTAAAAGTACACATGCTGTTCAACCCAGCAATTCCACTTCTGGGAATCCAACCCATAGTAATAAAAGCATCAATATAGTAGGAGACATATACCAGGATGTTCGTTGCAACATTGCTTGTAATAGCAAAAATAAATGCCGATGACAAAGACAGGCTTGAAAAATCCATGTAATGGAATAGTTTGAAGCCACTTTAAAGAATGAATTATAGCTGTAACAGTTAGAAGGATTTCTATGAGGTATTGTTGAATAAGAAAAGAAAGGTAAAGAAATATATTTGATATACCATTTTTGTTAAGCTAACAATGATAAAAATGTGTATCTATGCACAGGTATGCATAAATTTGCAAATAGTTACATGATAATGAAGAAAAGCAGAGAAGAACTTACAACCGTTTTGTTAGCACAGTTAATTGGTTATTGGATTTGGAAGTGGGGCAAGAAAAACACTGTAATAGAAAAATAAAACTCACCACCTGTGATATGATCCCTTATTTGTTTATTATAGTAAAATAAAAGTCTTCATCTACTCACAACACTTCTGACACTAAATGTGTGGGTTTTCTACACCAGGCAATTTAATTCTCTGCAAACACCAACTGGATGTCCTACAATTAAATTCAATTTGACATCAATTACCTGAGTTAGCACAGACCCTGCAAATTAAAGGCTCAATCTCACAAGGCTGCCCCCGACCTCAGATACCAATTTCAAGTAGTGTGTCCCCAGGATATCCACACGTCTGTCTGACTTGGCTACAAATTGTGGGTTCCCCATGACCCTCTTCTCGGGCTTGATAATTTGCTATAACACCTCACAGAACCCAGGGAAAACAGCTTACTATTAGCAGTTTATTATTAAAATTATTATACAGAATACAAATGAAGTCAGATGAAGAGGTACACAGAGCAAGGTCTGGAAGGGTCTCAAGCTCAGGAGCTTCTGTCTCCCTAGAGTTATGTACATGCCACCCTCATGGCATGGGGATGTGTTGACCAATCTGAAAGCTCCTGAACTCTGTAGTTTACGGTTTTTGCACAGGTTCCATTATGTAGGCATGATTTATTAAACCATTGGCCACTGGTGACTGAACTCAATCTCCAGCCTCCCTCCCCTCAGAAGTCAAGGGATGGGGCTGAAAGTTCTAACCCTCTGATCACATGGTTGGTTCTCCCCATGACCAGCCCCCATTCTCCATGAGCCAACTCATTAGCATAAACTTGGGTTTATTATGAAAGGGGCTCATTATGAGTAACCAAAAATGCTCCTTTCACCCCTGTTACTCAGGAAATTACAAGAGTTTCAGAAGCTCCATGCCAGGAGCTTCTATATATGAAGAATATATTCCTTTCTTCTATGGGGAGAAAAACAAAATACATACTCATTATATCACAATGGAAATATGCATATGTACCTATAAATAAATTAGAAAAAGGACTAGATTTGTATCTATTGACTTGTAGAGATACCATGATAGACTGTCAAGCACAAAGGCCATGTTGCCTAGTAATATGTAAATGAGTAGCAAAGAAAACCCTATATATGCATACAGATACATAGGCTGATGTACGGTTATATGACTTAGAAGAAAAATTACAAACATCCTAGATTGTTCATTTTAGGAGAAGTGAAGGTAAGAAGGAGAAAAGGTGGGTAACGTACCAGGGTAATCGTGGTGTTGTATATACAGAGCTTTCTATTCTGTAGTATTTCAAGCAAAGTATTTTTGTCATCTGAAAAATAAAATTAAAAAAATAGGAAATAGAAAGAAGAGAGAAACCCTATGATAGGTCAATTCCAAAGGGTTTAGGGAGGTAGATATGAACACTGCCTGGGAAAAATAGGAAAGACCTAACAAGAGAGTTAGTTTGGATGTTGTCCCTGTCCAAATCTCAAGTAGAAATGTAATTCCCAGTGTTGGAGATGGGGCCTGGTGGGAGCTGATTGAATCATGGGGGTGGATTTCCATAATGGTTTAGCACCATCCCTCTTGCTACTGTCCTCATGATAGTGAGTTCTCCTGAGATTTGGTCTTTTAAGTCTGTAGCAGCCTCTTCCTAGCTCTCTTGCTGCTGCTCCGGCCCTGTGAAATGCCTTCTCCCCCTTTACCTTTCTCCATGATTGTAACTTTCCCAAGGCATTCCCAGAAGCTGAGCAGATGCCAACATCATGCTTCCTGTACAGCCTCAGAACTGTGAACCAATTAAACCTCTTTTCTTTATAAATTACCCAGTCTAAGGCTAACTAATTTAGCATATCCGCATTTCTGCTCATGCCAGTCCATCCTATTGAATCTGTCTTTCTTCCTTCACTTCCTTCTCCAAAAATTATTTAAGTTCTGTATCCTAGGCACTGAGTTTGAAATATGAACCAGAATGTAATTTGTGATTTTGAGAGATTCACAAGTGGAACAAGTGGAACAGATAGACAGAATATTAGGGCATTGTAATATAGTGTTATAAGCACCTTAGGCTCAGAACCCAGAAAAGGAATCTTCAACTCTGCCCTAGGATGGGCAGAGAAAGAAGGCTTTCCTGAGGAGGTGAAATGTGAGGCGGATCTTCACAGATGAGAGGGAGGAGAAAAAGAATTCCAGGCTATTCCTTTATAGGGCTTCTCCCCTTTTTCCATTCCAGGTATTTCTTTATAGCAATATGGGAATGGCCTAATATAGGAGGCTATCTGAAACAGAGCTTGGAAGGACAGAAAACATTCCTCAGGTAGAGAAGTAAGTAAGTCATTCCAAGAAAAGCAAACAGCATGTGCAAAGACACAAAGATATGAAAAAAAAGTGTCTTAAAATTAAATGAGACTGGAGAGAAAAAAAAGTAATTTGGGACTGTTTCATGGCATACTGAGAAGCTTGGGTTTTTATACAGCATCTCAGGGTATCTCAGACTCAGCTTCGTTGACATTTTGGGTCTACGCATGATAGGATGTTTAGCAGCATCTCCATTAGATGCCAGTAGCAACCCTCTCCCCTCAACTCCCCGGCCAGTTGTAAGAACCAAAAATATCTCCAGACATTGTGAAATGTAACCTTGGGGACACAATCTGCCATTCACCTCCTTGAGAACCACTGCTATGGTTAATAGGGAGTACGTTGTTTAAAGCAGTTGAACAGCTGGATCCATACTGATTCTTACCATGGCCTTTCTGGTGGAAGACAGATTGGAGGGGGAGGGGGGCAAGGAGACACCCAGGGAGGCTGATGCAGCAATTTATGTACAGAGTGAGGACAGCCCAAAATAGGGCAGTGTCTACACACCCAGAGGATGCTCTTCCTCCTAAATCCATCTCAAATCCATCCCTTCCCTCTATACCTAGTGAACCTTAATTTTTGCCTTGTCCACCTTTTCTAGCCTCTCCCCAACCTAATCATCACTGCCAGAGAGAACTTTCTTAAAAGCAAATCAAAACATGTTTATTTCTAGCTTGGGAACCTACAAAATGCCCCTAACATTGGCAGGATCAAGAACAACCTCAGTGTCGAGAATGAGCCCCTTCCTGAGCAGAGCTCTACCCACTTGCCTTGTCTCCTGTCTGTCAATTTCTAGGTCATGTGTTATGAAAACCTACTCGCAATCTCTTGATTGTGTCTAACGTTTCTTAAGAACTTCCTCTTAGCCTGGAATTCGTTTTCTCCTCCTCCTCATCTGTCAAGATCTGCCTTACATTTCACCTCCTCAGGGAAGCCTTCTTTCTCTGCTCATCCTAGGGTAGAGTTGAAGATTCCTTTTCTGGGTTCCAGTCCTACAGTGCTTACCATGCTATATTCCAATGCCCTAATATTCGGTCCATCTGTTCCACTTGTTGTGAATCCCTCAAAATAAAAAATTGCATTCTGGCTTGTCTTTCAAACTCAGTGCCTAGTATACAGAACCTAAATAATTTTTGGAGAAGGAAGAAAGAGACAGATTCAATAGAACAGACTAGCACAAGCAGAAATACGATGTGCTAACTTAGTAATTGTACACATAATTTTAAAAAGAGACCGGGGATAATAAAATGTCTCAATAATGGACTTAATCAGTATACTTATAGAAGAGATACTTCAGGAAGAGGGGAAACTTGAGCTATTCGTAGTAGAAGAGAAAGAACTCTTGGGTTGTAGGAATTCATGGTCCAGAGCATGCAACATTCTGATTAAATTTAGCCTTTCGTATATTTTCTTTGGCTCCCAAACCATTGCTGTATATTTTCTTTGAAAAGTCAATAGAAAATAATGATTAATTGTAGAGTTTATGATAACAATTTAAACAACTGAAAATAAGGTATCATAAAATATTAATTTCTGCCTTTTCCCAACATGGATTGCTGAATAAGAAACCAAGAGGAGTGAACTGGGTTGCTACAGAAGGTGAGAACCTGCTGTGGCCGAGTGGAAGGACCAAGGAGCAAGATAAACAGTTGGTATTTTTTTTAACCTGTTAATGAACTTGTATTACATTTATTACTATGATCATATATTTTGCAGATTCGTGGGCAGGCAGGAGTCTGACTCTTATTCCGAATATAACCAACATAAGGTTTATGGAAGAAAAACTAATTGTAGAGACTACCTGCAGGTGTAAGTAAGGGTCCTATGCCTGAGAAGGTGGTTGAGCATGCAGTTAATATGGGATTGGGGAAGGCAAGGGTCTAATGCTCAAAGAAAAGTCCTGAGAAGCTGAAGGCACTCCAAAGTTGTGGATTCTTTGCATGTCCACACTGAGGAGTGGATGTTCTCCAGGACTCTCATTCACCCACAGCAGCCACTGGACTAGGTCCTGAGTGGGTCCATGCAGGATCTGAAGAATGTAAGGCTTTGCAAGGGGATTGTGCTCTCAGATTGCAAACATGTTTGCTGAGGAGTCTTGCACATGGTGTTTTATGGATTAAAGAGAAGAGCAATAATGGTGCTTTACTCTCAATTCCCGGAGAAAAGTAACCAAACCTGAAATTGATTTTTTTTCTTTTGCTAGTTGAATACTTAATGTTACATATTAAGCAACAGGATTTTACAATTCACTAGCCCTTCACTTACAGGGAATTAAGCAATAAAAATCCATTCTCTACCAAATGCCAAGAGCCAAAGCCATGCAGTAATAAGTGAGTGAGCCTATTGAGTGATTCAGTCAGCGCATTGATTTCTTGTTTTTCCAAATATCTATTTCGTTGCGATATGTGGGAACTACTTAATAGACTCCAAGGTGTTTTCCTCCTACTTTCTGTAATTTCTTGCCTTCTTTTCTCTGCTCCCTCAGCTCAAGACTCAGGAACCCATTAGTGTCCCTGTTGCTAAAACACTTGTATAGGAAGCTAGTGCGTCACTGCCTGGGATCTCTTGCATCAAGGAATTCCCAAATAGAGCTTATAAAAATTAAATGTGAAGCAAAAAGGAGCTTCATTTGATCTTTACAAGATCCTTGTGAACTACATACTATTATGTTTGCTAATAATATGGTTTCTGTTTATATAGATTAGGAAAATGAGCCACATGGAGGTAGTGAGCAGCTGAACTAGAAATGGAACCAAATGCCCTGGTTCTAGTCCTCGACCCTAACCTTCATGCTATGCTTTCTCTATATCTGCATGTTATTCTCCAGAAACATTTATTGCCTTTGGTTAACTCCCATCCAGTACCACTTATTCATTAAGGAAATGGAACATGGTAGGCATTCAATGGACAGTTGAGTATTGGTTCATTGAGAGGATTTTGCTACTCTGACACAACCTAATATTTCGCATGTTGTGTGGCATAGCTATGAATAGAGCAGATGTGAAGAGCAAGAAATGATGGCAATCAATAGCCTCCGAGACCACAGTTCATAAACTGCTGGTGTTTTATGGAGCTCTAAAAAGGGCTTATGCATCCTTCAGGACCAGGGAGGGAAAGACTTTCCTTGCTTTGAAGAGTTGATGAAGACAGGTCAGGCAGTGTCTTCACATTCTGCCCAATCCCTAGAAACTCCTCGTCCATGAACCAGGATCAGGCACTGGCATAGAAAGATGATTACCTCCTAAATAAGTCCCATCATAAAGCTCTTAGTCAAACCACCCCATCCTAATAGGGCAGTAGAGAGGGAGGAATTAATGGAAGAGACTTCAGGGCCTTATTGAGCTGATCACAATGGCCTCATTTTCTGCATTAATGGTTTTTAGCTGTGTCAGTGGAGTCCTGAGAGTTCTGCAGAGTTACCTGCTGTGGCCAGGTAAAAGGGCCAAGGAGCAACACAAACATTTGGTATTTTCTTATCTGTTAATAAACTTGTATTACATTTATTACTTTGATCTTAAACAGAAAATAAAATGAAGCAAAAAAAGAAACAATACCTAGTAACTACCATTATCAAACCTAGATCCACCATTATCACCCTTTTCAACAACTACTCTTTAACAACAACAACAACAAAAAACTACATGCAGGCTCTGAGCTAAAACTTTAAAACTTTACAAGCATTATTGAAATTGGCCAAATTTTCCAACAATTTGGATGTCCATAGAAGTGCAGCTTGAGAAACTTACATTTATGCAAGTGATGCACCTGCTGCCTGGTTGACCAGCTCCTCTTCCTTACCCCTCCGTATGGTTACAGTGAGACACTAGACCCCTCATTCAACCTCCTGCAGCCTGTTGACCAACTACTCTTCTTTACCCTGCCTGTTTTCCTTCCCTGGTATAATAACCTTTATCTTTAGTTGGGAGAGAGAGAGATGGATTTGAGGTTTGTCTCTTATCTTTCTCACTGATATCACCCAAATAAAGCCTTCTCCCCTGGCTTGTTGTCTTAGTCCCCTTGTTGTCTTAGTGATTGGCCTTCTGTGCATTGAACAATGGTGCCTAGACTGAAACTCTGGCATTTTGTAACATTATTACAAGTTTACACAGCCAGTACGTGGGAGAGCCAGGATCTGAACTCAGTGTCTGCCTGGCTCCAAAACCTGGGACGTTAACAATCTTGGTATTACTGCGGCTACCTGAACCATGCTTCTTTCTGTACCATGAATGGACTTTGAGATAGGATTTCTGTTTTCTCAGGTACCAGCTATTAGTGCATCTTTGATTCCAGCCTCGTTGTGTCCTGCATTGCAGCTGCTGAATCAAGGGATGGAGTATAGTTTTTCTGTTAACCCATAGCAGGAAAAGTTAAGGTTGAGGAGTTTTCTGAATAAAGGACTATCTTTGGCTGCCTGGAATGTCTGCTTTTCCCTATCCCTTACTGGTACATTTGCCTGGTTGACTTCCATTTGCTATTAAAGACTTTACCTCCTCTACAAATGAATGTAACTCCCCCCACCCACATACACACTATACCTCTGTTATCATAATGTTTCCTTATTTTTCAGTTTTAGCACTTAACATCCTGTGTTGTGACTCACCGTTTATATATCTACCTCTCCCACTAAAATATGGATTTCATGTAGGCCAAGACAAAGACACACATACACACACACACACACACGGCAAGACTGTGATTCATTAAATAGTTGCTGGATGAGGAATGAACAAATGAATGAGTGCACACCATGGACATGCGGATAATTCTCGTTGATCTTTCTCTTATAAAGCACCAATTTTAGGCATTTAAAAAAAAAGGTAAATTTACAACCAACAAAGGTTGAACTAGCTTGTGAGAAAATTTATTAGTCTGGAAAGGAAAATGTTGACAGAGTTACAACACAGAAACACAAAGTCTTTCTCTTTCTCTTTGTCTTTCATTTTACAATGAAAGCAAAAACAAAAACGCCTGTGGAGTGGTTGAATAATTGGCTCACTCTGAGGGATGGGGCAGGGTAGGCTAGCACAGCAGCTACCCTTCCTGAGTAGCCATAAGATTAAAATGCAGATTTCCATCTGGGCAACACGGGGAGACTATTTCTAAATAAATATATATTTTTAATTAGCCGAGTATGGTGATGAGTGCCTGTAGTTCCAGCTACTTGAGAGAGGCTGAGGAGGACAGATAGCTTAAGCCCAGGAGTATAAGGCTGCAGTGAGCTACGATTGCACCACTGCATTGCAGCCTGGGTAACACAGGGAGACCCCATCTCTAAAAGAAAAATGCAGATTTCCAAGTGCTGCTCCAGGAAATTCTAATTTGGGGTTTGGCTTTAGGGTGTTTTTAAATTTAGCAATCTCGTATATTCCATTGATTATATGTCACATACTATTCTAAGTGCTTATACAAATTAACTCACCTAATCTTCATAAAAACCCTATTTTCTTCGTGTCACAGATGAGTAAACTGAAGCACGGCAATGTCGGGCCATGTGCTCAAGGTCATATGGGCTATAAATTGTGGAATCAGGATTGAGTGCAGGCAGGAGATGCACCATGGCTCTGACGCATTTTCATGTTTCTGGACCAATGTGCTATAACACTTCTAGAAAATCCTTCCCACCAACAGTGTATAAGTGTTCCTTTTTCTCCACAACCTTGTCACCATCTTTTATTTTTTGACTTTTTAATAATAGCCATTCTGACTGGTGTTAGATGGTATCTCATTGCAGTTTTGATTTGCATTTCTCTAATGATCAGTGATGTTGAGCTTTCTTTCATATGATTGTTGGCCAAATGTATGTCTTCTTTTGAAAAGTGTCTGTTCAGTTCCTCAAAGACCTAAAGACAGAAATACCATTCAATGCCAGCATCCCATTACTGGGTATATGCCCAAAGGAATATAAATCATTCTATTACAAAAACACATGCATGCATATGTTTATTGCAGCACTATTCACAATAGCAAAGACATGGAATCAACCTAAATGTCCATCAATGACAGAATGAATAAAGAAAATATGGCACATATGTACGATGGAATACTATGCAGCCATAAAAAAGAATGAGATCATGTCCCTTACAATGGAGCTGGAGGCCATTATCCTTAGCAAATAACACAAGAACAGAAAACTAAATACTGCATGTTCTTAATTATAAGTTGGAGCTAAATAATGAGAACACATGAACACATAGAGAAGAACAACACACACTGAGGCCAAGAGTGAATTTTGGAAGAAGGGAGAGGATCAGGAAAAATAACCAATGGGTACTAGGCTTAATACCTGGGTGATGAAATAGCATCAGGAAGGAAGAACATCGTAAGCAGAAATATGAGTAAATACAATAGATTTTCTTTCTCCTGTTGAGTTTTCTGTATTAATTTTGACATTGGAAGCCAAAGTTATAATGATGATGTGGTTGCAAATGTATGTAAAAGAAATATTTAAGATAATTACATTATAAATGGGGGAGGGTAAAGGGATATAAAAGGAGGTAAAATTTCAGTTCAATTGACAAAAATATTAATAACTTCACTTGTAGACTATGATAATTTATGTACATATAAGGCAATATCTAGATCAACCACTTAAAAAGCCACACAATGAGGCACTCTCAAAAACTATAGATAAATCAAAATTGAAATCTAAAAGCTATTCAAATGGTGCACAAGAAGGCAGGAACAAGAAAACAGAAGTTAAAAACAGAGAGAACAAACAGAAAATAAAAAGGCAGGCTTAAGCCCTAAAATATCATGATTATAAGTGGTCTCAATGCAACAAATAAAAGACAGGGAATGGCATAATAGATTTTTAAAATGACACAAATATAAGCTGTCTACAAGGAATTCACTTCAAATAGTATGATGTAGGCAGGTTTAAAGTAAAAAGATGGAAAATGATTTATCACAGAAACATTAAATGAAGATAAGCAGGATTGGCTGTATTAAGATCAGATAAAATCAATTTTAGACCAAAGAAAACTGCCAGAGATAAAAGGGTCAGTCCACAAAGAAGAAATAATTATCCTAAATGTGTATTCACCAAACAACAGAACTGCAAAATATGTGACACAAAAACTTATAGAACTAAAAGCAGAAAGAGACAAATTCACAATTATATTTGGTGATTTCAACACCCATCTCCTCTGAAAAATTGATAAAACAAGGCAGAGAACAGGGCAGCATATAGAAAAACTTGACACCATCATCAACCAACAAGATCTAACAGACATTTGTAGAAAATTCCCCCCAACCCACTAACCACAACATACACATTATTTTAAAGGGCACATGGAACATGTGCCAAAATAGACCATATACTGAGTCATAGAATAAACCTAAACAATTTAACATAGTTGAAATCATACAGAATGTGCCTTCTGATCACAAGGGACTCTAAGTAAACCAACCAACAAACAAAACAACAACAGGAAGAGAACAAGAAATCACCAAATATTTGGAACTTAGCAGCACAATTTTAAATAAGCCATGAGTCAAAGATGAAGTGTCAAAGATAATAAAAATAAAGACATTGAAGAGAATAAAAATGAAAATACAACATATCAGAAATCTATGGGAAACAGCTAAAGCAGTGCTGATAGGGGAATTTGTAGCATTAAGTGCATACAGTAGAAAAGAGGAAATGACTTAAATCAATAATTGAAGCTCCCACCTCAAAAACATAGAAAAGTGTAATAAACCTAAATCATGCAGAAGGAAAGAAAATAATAAAGACAAGAGCATAAACTGATGAAATTGGAAACAGAAAATCAATAGAAAAAAATCAATAAAACAAATAACTAGTTCTTTGGATATCTGTTCAATGAAACTGACAACTCTAGCAACACTAGCAAAGGAAAACAGAGTAGATATAGATTGCCAACATCGAGAATGACTATCTTGATGTTACCACTATAGCCTCCGTAGACATCAAAAGGATAGTAAGAGAATACTATGAGAAACTTTACACACAGCAGTTTGATATCTTAGATGCAATGAACCAATTCCTTAAAAAACAAAGTACCAGAACTCACCCAATGCGAAACAGATAATTTGAGTAGCCCTATTCCTATTAAGGAAATTGAATTAGTAATTTAAAACCACCCAAAAAGAAATCTACAGTCTCAGATGGTAAAAATGTTCATCCTTCCCAAATTGATATATGGGTTTAACACAATTCTTAACAAAATCCCAACAAAATATTTTGCAGATACAAACAAAATTATTCTTAAATTGATCTGGAAAGGCAACTGAACCAAACTAGGTAAAACAATTCTGAGATAGAAGACTAAAGCGGGAGAAATCACTCTACCCAATTTCAGGACTTACTGTGTACCTATGGTAATCAAGACTGTATGGAGGGATGAACACAAAGGTCAATGGAACAGAACAGAGCACCCAGAAGTAGATCCAACAAGCATGGACAACTTACTTTTGCCAAAGGTGCAAAAGCAATTCAATGGAGGAAAGACCTTCCTTTCAACAAATGACGCTGGAGCAATTGGACATCCACAGGCAAACGAAATGAAAAAAGAAAAAAAAGAAAAGGAAAAAGAAATTATATTCAAGTCTCATACCTTACATAAAATTAATTTAAGCTGAATCATAGTTTTAATTATAAAAAAGTAAATCTAACTTTTCTAAAACATAAAATCATAGGAGAAATCTTTGAGATATGGAGCTCTCAGAGTTCTCAAATTCGATATTAAAAGCACATCAGTGAAAGGAGAAACTGATCAATTGAATTTCATCAAAAGGAATAACTTTTTCAGTGTGAAAAAAAACCCTGCTAAGACGGATACGAAGCTACAGACTGGAATAAACGGTTTGTAAGCCACATTCCTGACAAAGGGCTAGTATAAAGAACTCTAAATGCTCAACAATAAACAAAACAAAACAAAACAAAACACAATTACAAAATGAACAAAAACCATTAAGAGATATTTTACTGAAGAAGATATACAGATGGTAAATAAACACATGAAAAGATATTCAACATTATTAGCCATTAGGGCAATGTAAATTAAAATAATTGGATATTACAACATACCTGTCAGAAGAGCTAAAATGTAAAATCAACATAGTAATAACCCTGAATGTCAAGAGGATGTAGGGGAATTAGATCCCTCATACACTGCTGGTGGATTGTAAAATGGTACAGCCACTCTGGAAATCATTTTTGCAGTACTACCGTATGACCCAGCCATTACACTCTTGTGTATTTATCCCAGAGAAACAGAATCTTGGCATTTACACCAAAACCTGTACATGAATGTTTATGGCAACTTTATTCATAATGGCCAAACTTAAAATAACCCAGATGTCCTTTAATGGCTGAATGGGCAAACTGTGATACATTCATACTATAGAATACCATTCAGTGATAGGAGCGCCAGTGGTGCAGTTGGTTAGCCCTTGGTACTTATGCAGAATACTATTAAGTGATAAAAATGAATGAGCTGTTGGTACATATAACAATGTAATGAATCTTAAGGGAATCATGTTGATAAAATCCAGTCACAGTAAGTTACATATTGCATAATTTCATTTATACAACATTCTTGAAATGACACCTTTATGAAAATGGAGAATAAATTCACAGTTGTCAGAGGTTAAGGAGGAGGTACAGGTTAGAGGCGAGAGCGTGTGGCTATAAAAAGAACCATGAGGGCTGAGCGTGGTAGCTCACACTTGTAATCTTAGCAGTTTGGGAGGCCTAGGTGGGCAGATCACCTGAGATTAGGGGTTCAAGACCAGCCTGGCCAACATGGAGAAACTCTGCCTCTACTAAAAACACAAAAATTAGCTGGCCATGGTGGTGGCCGCCTGTAATCCCAGCTACTCAGAAGGCTGAGGCAGAAGAATTGCTTGAACCCAGGAGGCAGAGGTTACGGTAAGCCAAGATCACGCCACTGCACTCCAGCGTGGGTGACAGAGTGAGACTCCATCTAAAAGAATAATAATAATAAAATCAAAAACAAACAAAAAGACTATGAGGGATCTTTGTGGTGATAGAAATACTCTGTATCTTGACTGTAGCAATGTCAATATTTTGGTTTTGTTATTACACTATAGTTTTGCCAGATATTACCATAGGGAGAAACTAGGTGAAGGATATTATGGAATTGTCTTTATGTTTTTTTTTACAACTATATATCAATCTACAATTACATAAAAAGAAAAATTTAATTCAAAGCGAAGATCATAGAGGGCTCCATGTCATTAACCATTAGGTTAAATGGTTTGAAATCAGCTAACACTTTTAAGACAAAAATGACATGGGTCAGAATTAGGATCCAGCTTCTTGGATGCCTGGCTTTGCATCAGCCTCACTGCACGAATCATCAGTTCCATACCTTGAAAATGGGATGTGTAAATCAAGTCTGACCTAGAGGGGGATGCTGGGGTGTGAAGAAGCAATGTAGGTCTTTATAGACAGCAAGTCCTGGAACCTGGAGGGAGGAGAGGTCATGGCTTGCATGGACCTGAGGGCAGGCATGAACTGAGATCTGAGGGATGATGAAAGTGAACTTTAGCTTAAGAAGAGGAGGACTGGAGTTGGAGGTTTCCTGGAGAGAGCCCTCTTCTTGAGAACTGGTCCCGCCTCTCTGATTTATGGGACAAAGCAGCACTGACTAGAGCATTCTTGGTTAGAATGTTATCAAGATCAAGGCACTTTCAGGGAAAAATAAGTTTTGAGTGTGAATAGGCTGATTTTCTTTCTTTTTTCCTTTCCTGTTCTTCTTTTTCAGGTTATTCTGCCATAACAGCAATGATCTGAAGGAAGATGTGTTTTATTATTTGATCCCTTGGAATATGTAGCCTCTCTCTTGGAAAAGTTGACATCGTGGCAGAGGAAAACCCCATTTAGTGGACCACTCCCATTTCCAGTTGAGAAGAAAATAGTCACTGTGACCTTCCCTGATTGTGAAGGATGGGATTCCTTAAGTGAATTGCTTTGGTTTAATGAGTACAAAGGAGAAAAGAGGGTATCTGACTGTTTTCTCACTGAGGGCAGGGACCACACCAGCCCCGTTCTTCCTTGTGCTCAGTGTAGCTAAGTGTGTATCTCTAGAACCTGGATTGGGTGCTGATTCGCTGTGTGAAGTTGCCCATGCTTTTTAGCCTTTCTGATCTTTAGGTTTCACTTTTGCTTCCAAAGGATGTACCTATGTGCTCCCATCTACATGAGGCTGAAATGCGTGGACCTGGAGATCAGATGCAACTGCTTTCAGGTCTGGCTTTGGGATCTTGGGCATGTTACTGGAATCTGAGTTCTAAGTAAACAGAGATGATGTCCTCTTCCTTTTCTCCCATTGACCTCTAGCACCTGGAATAGGTTCTACCACCAAATAGGTGCTCAGTAAGCATTTGTGAATAAATGAACAGCCCTATCCCTCACTTATTCCATCAAGGATTTGCCTGAGCCTATCCTTCTGCACCATGTACTCTAGGCAGTCCCTCCATGGACCTTCTTTGCTTTATAAGGCAGATGATGATGTTGGTTGTGATTCCAAGTCCCTGGTCTCCCCAGCTGGGTCACGTTGCTGTGGCTCTGCTGGGGTGGTGGAAGGAAAGACACACCTTGAGAATAGAATGCATTACCTGGAGGCCTCCATTAGGAAATGCAGTGAGCAGGCACATTCTCACTCATGTTCCAATAATGTTTTTGATGCAACTAACACAAGGGCTAAGCTGAAGGTAGAGGACAAGAATGGAGCATTCGGAATTGAAGGGAACTGAGTTCAAATCCAGTTCTATTCCTTTCTAGCTCTTACCATGTCCCATGTAAACATTTACTGGCCACCTGCTGGGTGCAAGGTATTGTTTTAGATACTGGGTATACAGTAGTGAGCAAAAAAGGCAAGGCCTCTGTTTTCCGGGATCTAACATTCAGTGGAGGTGGACAGACAATAACAGTGACATAAATAATTAAAACAATTTCAGATACTAATACATGCTATAAAAAAATAAATAGCTCATGTAATGAGTTCAGGCAACAGATATTTATTGGGTATCTATTATGTGCTAGGCACTGTTCTAGGTTCTGGAGATACAAAGAGTGAAGACAATAAACATTACTCTCATAGAATCTACAGTCTAATGGAGGAAGACATACAATAATAAATAAATGAGTGAAAAGGCATGGTGTCTTGTGCCTGCAATCCTTGCACATTGGGAGTCCAAGGGAGGATGATCACTTGAGGCCAGGAGTTGGGGACCAGCCTGAGCAACAAAGCAAGACCCTGTCTCGACAAAAAAAAAAATTAAATAGAAATTAGCTGAGTGTGGTGGTGTGTGCCTATAGTTTCAACTACTCAGGAGGCTGGATTGCTTGAGTCCAGGAGTTCAAGGCTGCGGTGAGCTGTGATTGCACCACTGCTGCACTCCAGCCTGGACAACAGAGTGGGACCCCTGTTTCAAAAATAAAAAAAGAAGATAACATACATGTTGGAGTTGAGTGGTGATAGAAATTGTAAATATAAATGAAGCAGGTGAGGTGAAAATGTGTGTGTGACTGTGTACATGCTATTTTAGACAGGGCAGTGACAAAAATTCTCTTTGATACAGTGACAGACATTTAAGCAGTGATATAATTTCTAGTATCAGTTTCTGCTGAAAATGTGGAAGATGGGATTTAGCTCCGAGGTTGTAGTGAGGACTAAATGAGGTGCTAAATTTGAATGTGCCTGAGCAGGTGCCTAGAACGTGAAACAGACTCAGGAAGCACAGGTTATTATTACTGTTGTTATTGTTGGTGGTGATCAGTGTCTGTAACGAAGGCCTGTGAAAACAGAGTCAAAATCAGTATTCCTTTCACTGGAGTCTCAAGAGAAAAACTGTCCATGAAGGGAAGGAAGAGCTCAGGGAAACACAGAAACCTGAGGCTCTTTGTTTTTCTCCGTCACAGTAGCATCTGCTGGAGGCTGAAATCTTAATTAGCTTAGACAGGTGAGTATCCCCATTTCTAGGCTTTTTCCATTTGTGATGTTCACAGAGCTAGCAGGATTGCTGGCTGTGTGCCTGAGGGTGTGTGCGTGTGGGAGGCAGCAACTCCTCCAAGCATGGGGCTCAGGCTGCCAGGTGAGACAAGCCTCTTGTATATGGTCTAAGGATGCTCTGCTGTCTGGTCCTCTCCAAGGGATGGTTAGAGGAAGCCACCTCCACCTTCCTAAACTACTCTACTCATTTTTCACAACCTGGATCTGGCCCAGCTCATTCAGTAACTGGTTTAGCAACCTGGAGAAACACATAATCACAAGCTACTGGTGAAGAGAATTTAGACATGCTACTATGACTAAAAATGAAAAAATAAATGGTCCAGGCCATACGCAGAGACTGCTAGCACAGTAATATTCTTTAGTGATCACTGCTCTGAACATCTTCGTTTGCAATTGGGAAAATGGTGCTATTTACTGCCTAAGCCAAGGCCACACAGTGAATTCATGATAAACTAGAAGTCAGAAATCATATTTATGCTTTTTGAGCTGAGGCCCACAAAACTCTCAGGAATGACAATTGTGTCAGTGTGTCTAAGCAGAAAAGCAGAAACGACTTCAAGTATTAAATGGACACTGATATGGTTTGGGTGTGTCCCTACCCAAATCTCATCTTGAACTGCAGTTCCCACAATCCCTAGGTGTCGTAAGAGGGACCTGGTGGGAGGTAACTGAAGCATGGAGGCCATTACCCCAATGCTGTTCTCGTGCTAGTGAGTGAGTTCTCACAAGATCTGATGGTTTTATAAGGGGCTTTCCCCCTTTTGCTCAACACTTCTCTCTCCTGCCACCATGTGAAGGATGTGTTTGCTGTCCCTTCTGCCATGATTGTAAGTTTCCTGAGGCCTTCCCAGTCATGCGGAACTGTGAGTCAATTAAATCTCTTTCCTTTATAAATTACCCAGTCTTGAATATTTCTTCATAGACGTGTGAGAACAGACTAATAAAGACACATGGAGAGGAACAGCACACACTGGGGCCTATGGGAGGGTGGAGGTTTGGTGAGGGAAAGGATCAGGAAAAATAACTAATGGGTACTAGGCTTAATATCTGGATGATGAGATAATCTGTACAGCAAACTCCATGACACAAGCTTACCTATGTAACAAACAGGAACATGTACCCCTGAACTTAAAATAAAAGTTAAATAAAATAAAATAAAACTGAAGGAATTTAATAGGAGTTATTTTTCCAGATGATAGAAGAGACCAAACATAAAAAATGTGGTAACCCAGTGTCTTAGCCTATTTTATGTTGCTATAAAAGAATACTTGAGATGGGAGAATTTGTAAAGAAAAGAAGTGTATGTTTGTTCTGCAGGCTGAGAAGTTCAAGGGCATAGCCTTGTCTTCTGAGGGCTTTCATGCTGATCACTACATGGCAGAGAAGATCAAAGGGGAAGGGGACACATGTAAGAAGGGGAAACCTGGGGGGTGTCCTGGCTTTTTAACTTACTCTCTCGGGAACTAATCCATTCTCATGAGAGGTAATCCAGTCTCTTGAGAGCAGGAATTCACCCACTATGGCAAGAAAAGTACCCAGCCATTCATGAGGAATCCACTATGAATCACGGAGAATATGATCAATCAAAGGTAGTGATAATTCCACCATAATGAGGAGAGTAGCTTAGGAAGATGAAGGCAGCTTCCTCACCCCATCCCTTGGAGAGGACAAGACAGCAGAGAATCCTCAGACCATAATCCAAACACATTCCACTAAGCCCCACCTCTCAACATCACCACACTGGGGATCAAATTTCAAAATGAGCTTTGGTGGGGAAAAACAAACCACGTCCAAACCACAGCTCCTAGAGATTAGCAACAGCAGGAAGTTGCCGCCAACTCTAGGCCAGGGACCTCAAGAGAAGTGGTGGGGTTACCAGAACCCAGAAACACCTGGAAAAAGCTAGAACCATGGCAGATCTGCCAGGGAAGGGCTGAAGCCACAGAAGTTAAACACTCTCTGCCCTGGAAATCACTGGAAAAGAGAATGGAGAAATGTCCTGTTTCTCCTTTTTCCCTTGCTATCCAATTTCCTGCCAGTACCTTCCATTGGCCAAACCCAATAGAAAGGTAGCAACTGTAGAATCCTAGGAAATTCGGCTGCACAGGGGAAGCCCCATTGTAATATAGAGCAGAGAAGAGGAAGGGCAGGAAACCATTCTGAGGGTGAAGAAGTCCAGAAGAACCAGCAGCACCATAATCACTTCCATACTATGTTTGATTGATCATAGACTATGTGTTAACACTATGGTAAGACAGTTGCTATCAAGACCAATAACAGAATTCTTCCAGGCAATTGACCTAGCTATATAAGCACTCTGAGTCCTATTTTGCAGCTAGAACAATGACGCTAAGCAAAGTGAAGTGGCTTGCCACAGGTGGTACTTTTAGGTGGCTGGGCCAACATCTGACCTAAGGTCAGTTGGATTCCAAAGTCGATGACTTTAACCCATTATTAAAAATCACAGGTATTTTTCCAATGGAGCTAATTTTATCTGTTGGTAAATATATTAACACATTAGTTTTCTAGTAAAATAAGTACCAATATATTTATACAGGAGAATGACCAATTTCTAATACGTTTTTTTTTTTCATTTTTTATTAAGGTATAATTTGCAGACACTAAATTCAATCTTTTTTTTTTGAGACAGAGTCGCATTCTGTTACCCAGGCTGGAGTGCAGTGGTGCGATCTCGGCTCACTGCAACCTCCGCCTCCCGGATTCAAATGTAGTCCCCGAGTAGCTGGGACTACAGGCGTGCGCCATCATGCCTGGCTAATTTTTGTATTTTTAGTAGAGACAGGGTTTCTCCATGTTAACCAGGCTGGTCTTGAACTCCTGACCTCAAGTGGTTCGCCAGCTTGGGCCTCCCAAAGTGCTGGGATTACAGGTTTGAGCCACCACTCTCAGGCTGTCTTAGAAGCCTGTCTTTAGAAGTATTTTTGTGTACAAGTTTTAAAATTTCTCTGTGGCTCAGTTTCCTCATCTGGAAATGAGGATAATAGTACTCACGCGATAGGCTTGATGTGAAGATTAAATAAATTATTGTAAGTAAAGGGCTTAGAATAGTACTGAGCATAAAGGCATTATATCAGCATTACTATGATTATTATGATTACTGCTATTATTACTAATACCACTAGTATTGTTGTTGTTCTTATTGAATAAATGATCAGGGCACCATCAATGGATGTGGGAAATGGCAGTGGGGAGTGTGTAGAAAGCACAGTTTGGGGTTTTGGACCGTGAACTCAGTACATGGGCTACCTTAGAGAAATTGTTTCATTAATACAAATTTTTATTTTCTTATTGACTATTATGGATATCTGTTATCATCTTTCTTCCCAGCATTGTTGCCCTCTTCTGGCAACCTCTTGTTCTGCTAACTACGTTTTCATTGTACAACCACTTCTCAAGTATTTCCAAAGGGTTGGCCCCGCCCTGGGCACCAGTGGAAGGCCTACACTCCAGCTCTGACCAATCAGAGCCCTGCTGTACCTTTGATATGGTGATGGGTTCAGGCACGGACATATGACTCAGGCCTGTCCAGTGAGGATCTTCCCAGGAATTTTACTAGAGCTACCCGGAATAAGGTAAGTTATTTTGCTGGTTTCCCTAACTGCTGGCTGGAAGGTTGTAGCAGCTATCTTCACCACCATGAGGGAAGACCCTTTCTGTGAATAAAATCAATGCCAAGGAAAATCGACTTAAAATGAGGGAGTGAGAAATTTTTTGCAGCACTAGAGTGCAACGGAAGTCAGACAACCTCTATTCATGTGTTCTAACTACATGAATCAATAAATTATTTTTGTTGTTATTTTGCTAAAACCAGTTTGAGTTACATTTCTTCACTTTCAACCACAGGCGACCTGACTTACAAATCTGTGAATTACGGATAATAATCCCAAACTGTGAAGTTTGGAATAATATTTGTGCAAAGTCTAAAACATTTTATATATCTTAATAAATGGTAACCGTTTGAAATAATGAAGAAAATTCTTGGAAATACTCAGGTCAGGGACTGAAAGCATTTTAGTCATTCTGAAACCACTCAATGGGTGAGGAGTTGGAAATCACACCTTAGCTTCCCCCAGTGACCAGCTAAAATGTTGTTAGGATTTTGAAGGCCTGTTCAATACAGGTGTTGTTAGGATTTTACAGGCCTGTTCTACATGCTTTTCTCCTCATCATGACATTCAAAAATCCTTCATGCAAACTGAGGCAGTTTGGTGTGACAGGAAGCATGTTTGACACCATAGAAAATGGTACAATAGGTAGCACTGCAACTTACCATATGGCTTTGGGTTGTCACTGATGTTCTCTGAATCTCAGCTTTCTCAAGTGTGGCAGCACATGGCAATAACTCTTCTGCCTTACTTCTGAGTTGCGCTTTGATTAAAAGAGAAAAGAGATGTGAGAGTATTTTGACAAGAGTAAGACATCATCATATGTGAATGATTTTCATCTATTTCTACTTAGAAAGGTATCTAATCTTTGGAATATAAATATCCTGGGTGCAAGGATTATATGTATATTTTTTACCATTTTTTTTATTTTACTTTATGTTCTGGGATACATGTGCAGAATGTACAGCTTTGTTACATTGGTATACATGTGCCATGGTGGTTTGCTGCGCCTATTAACCCATCATCTAGGTTTTAAGCCCCAAAACCATAAAGACCCTAGAGGAAAACCTAGACAATACCATTCAGGACATAGGCATGGGCAAAGGCTTCATGACTAAAACACCAAAAGCAATTGCAACAAAACCCAAAACTGACAAATGGGATCTAATCAAACTAAAGAGCTCTGCACAGCAAAAGAAACTATCATCGGAGTGAACAGGCCACCTACAGAATGGGAAAAAATTTTTGCAATCTACCCATCTGACAAAGGTCTGACATCCAGAATCTATAAGGAACTTAAACAAACTTACAAGAAACAAACCAACCAACCTATCAAAAAGTGGGCAAAGGATATGAGCAGACACTTCTCAAAAGAAGACATTTATGTGGCCAAGGATTATATTCTTTAACAAATTCAAAGATTTTTTTTTGTAACACTTCGTGGTAGATTTTTTTCTAAAAAGACCACAAATTCTTCCCTGCCCTGTTCCCGTGCCCTTTCAATGGAGCACTTTGCATCCCCTTCCATCAAGAGATGGCAATTGTACTCTTTTCTGGTCTGGCTTTGTGACTTGACTTGGTCATTAGAATGTATCAGAAGCAATGTAATTCCAGTTCTGAGCCTAGGCCTCAAGAAGCCTTACAGTTTCCTTCCCATTTTGGGACTCTTCCAGTCAGCATTTAAAACACTAAGCTAGTCTGCCAAAGGGTGAGAGACCATTAGACATAAACCATATCAACTGAGCCCATCCTAGGCCAGCCGGCTCCCAGCTAAGCTGACCCAGTAGCTGTCCACAGATGCACAAGTGAGCCCAGCTGAGACTCAAAGAGATGCTCCAGTGAGCTCAGCCTAACTTGCCATTCCACAGTATTGTGAATTAAATAAAAGACAGTTTTTTCAAGTCAGTAAGTTTTGAGAAGCCTTGTTCCATAGTAAAAGCTAATACATACCAAGTAGTGTCAGTAGGTGGTCATATCTACCACAATGTGTCTCTTTACAAGGACAGTGATTTGAGTGCCAGCTTCGTCATTTATTATCTTGTGACCTTGAGTAAGTGAGTCCTTATGCTCCTCTCCATCTTTAAATTAGGACTAATCATCCAACGTTCCTCACATGGTTCTGATGATTGAATAAGACAAAATCAATGCTGAAATGGATAGAATGGGCCATGTTAGAGTGATGACCTTCAAGCTTCTTTGCAAACTTAAGGGTTTATATGGACTGTATAAATGTAGGTTATTAGTATTATTACGATACATAGAGTAGACACATAATCAATATTGATGACACTATTGGAATAAAATTGCCAAGACCTGAAAGTAAAAAGAGATAACCCTCCCAGGGCTCACTCACAGTGTTCAGACTTGTATTCTATGAGACATTCAGGAAGGAACCGTCATAAAGTAATAAAACTGGCCCTGCTGCACGTGGGCACACAAACTCACATGGTTCCTGAATCCTATTGTGTTCTGAGAATATCTAACAGGCAAAGGGAGAAAGAAGAAAGCCTGGAGGCATTTTCTGGCTCTCTGCTGCCACACATCTTGAGATCATAAGGAGCAAGGATTAAGAATTTCCCAGGGTGACTCTGAATTCAGGATGTGAGAAATCCAGTACCATTTTGTAAACAGGCAAGCCCCAGAGGAACCACTGCCCAGTCATTACCAGTGCAACTTCTTTGCAGGAATCATAATCTGTCCCATTCCAAGGTTTAATGTGGCCCTAACGAGTCTATGAGCTGTGTGGGTGTGCTGTCCTGGGAAAATAAAAGGACTCAAAGCCCTGGGACCACTTGGTGCCTGAGCCTTCCCAAGCCGGTTCTTCTTAATGAATTTTCTCAACCCAAGTAGATGTGGATGCTGTCTTAATTTGGGTTGCTATAACAAAGCACCATAGACTGGGTGGCTTAAAAACAACAGAAATGTATTTATCACAGGTCTGGAGGCTGGAAATCTAAGATCAGGGTGCCAGCATGGTCACTTATGGTGAGACCTCCTTCCAGATTGTAGATGGCCAACTTCTCGTTGTATTCTCACATGGTAGAAAAGGAGTGAGAGAGTTATCAGGGGCCCCTTTTATGTGAGCACTAATCCCATTCATGAGAGTTCCATCATCATGATCCAATTACCTCCCACAGGTGCTATCTCCTAATGCTATGGCATTGGAAGTTAGGAGTTCAACATACAAATTTCAGATGGGCAAAACTTTCAGTCTATAACATCTGGGAATTCAGAAAAGACCATCTGGATCTTAGGACACCCAATCTTTCTTGATGTAATCACTCATTCATTCATTCTCAATGTCAAGATGGTTGTGGATTATTATGTGAATGTGGATAGTGGATAGCAGCTTGGGGTCTGGAACCAAACTTCTCAAGTCAGAATTTCACCCATGCCACTCAGCAGTGTGGCTTTGGGTAGATTTGAGCCTGTTATCTCATCTATACAATGGGAATAATAAGTATAATCCTGCTAGTCACAATAATAACAAAAACAACCCCTTGGGTGGTGGTGAGAATTGGAGTGATATTGAAAACCACTTAGAATCATGCAAGTGTATAAGGACTCAATAAATATTAACCATTCTTATGCTTATTATAGATAAGCTTGGACAGGTGTAAAATGACTCTGTCCTCATAGATTTCAAATTCTCTAGGAAAAGAGTGTGATGACCAAACAAATAACTGAATAAGTAATTACAGATTTCTAGGAGTGCAGTGAAGGAAATAAACAAATATGATCAAATAGGACTTGGAGGGGAGGAGCTTATCTGGAGCAGATGGTCAGGGATGGTCTTGGATGGCTGAAAGTCCAGGATGAGGGTGCCAGCATGGTTGGATTCTGATGAGGGCTGCCTTCCAGGTTGCAGATGGCTGACTTCTTGTATCCTCACTTGGATACACTTGGAAGGGAAGTGAGAGAGTTCTCAGAGGACTCTTTCTTATGGGCACTAATGCCATTCATTAGTGGGATTAGGAGAGATATGGAGAAAGAGAGTTCAGGATGGAGGGAAGAATGAATGCAAAAGCCCTGAAGCACTATCAGCTTGACATTGTCAAAAAACAGAAAAGAAAACCATTAAGTGGAATTTACGGAGAGAAGGGCAGACTAGCAGGGACTGAATGCCAAGAAGTAGGCAGAGTACTGTTCAAGTAGGCTGTATCAAAGAATATAAGAACAAAAATATTATAAATAAAATGAGAATAGTTTTTGTAATGCATAGGTTGGACATATTCTATCTCTTTTACAAGCACTTTAATTCATTTATTTACATTTTACTGGGTTTAAAAGAGGTTAAATAACTTTTGCAAAGTCACACAGCTCTCTGCTCTTTGCCCTAACTCTGAAAATTCTCTGGCCCTCATTCAGTTCAGTACCTCCTCTCTCAATAATTTCCTTAGGTCTGCCTGGCTTTTATGTTGCATTTTTGGGTCTGCACTTCCTGTTGTCTCTAGCACTTCTTCTAGATGGTTTTATATTTGAATACTGAAAACCACACACCACAATCAGGAAGAGCTAGTCTTGGAAATACTAACTCCCCCAGTTCCTGTTCTTCTGAAGTTGGTTCCTAGCAACTTACACCTGCTGGTGTTTTGGGGGGCAAAAGGAAGACATATTTAACCCATTAATGAAGCCCTCAGGTATAAAGAAAACTTTCCAGTATTCAGAGTTTTGCGTAATGAGGACATACGGACAGTGATATCACTGTCGTTCGAGCAAAGGACTAACGGCTATTCATAATAAAGAGTGGATGTGTGTGTGAGTACGCGTACGTGTATGCATGATGGCAATTAGCAGTCTGCCAAAAATTCAAACACTCTCTGTCAACTTTTTGAGCCTCAATTACTCATTCGTGGGTAGGAATTAAAAGTTCTTCCCAAGATTATGACAACAGATACTTACAGCACCCTTAGTACATGCCAGGCGCTGGTCCACATTATACTCACATACCTTTACATACAATTCTACTTCTTGACAAACCCAATGAGGCAGGTACCGTCACTATTCCCATTTCATAAATGATGACCCTGAAGAAGAAGAGAGTCAAGTCAACTTAACCAAAGTCATAAAGTGAGAAAGTGGCAAAACTAGAATTCAAACCCAGACTGTCCTGAACCAGAGCCTCTGTTTGTAATATATAGAAATGAAGTTTGGTGCATATTATGTGCTTAATATATTTTACAATCTTTCTTCCCACTTCTAAGGGGAATTCGAGTTAGCCACCCAGAATGATGTCTGTGGCCCAGCTACAATGACTACAGCTTATTTTTGTTCCCCCTGGCCCACAACTGTGGTTCACTCAATGGGCAGCCTTTAAACACTAGGCACATAAAAAAAGAAAAGAAATACCACAAACAGGCTGACGGCGCTTGGCATCTCTCTCTTCAAATGGATGTGGTTGAAAGCTGATGAGATGTTAGAAATTCCTCTAGATCATGGCTGGGTTGTGTGGAAAGAACAAAAGGAATATTGATGTATCCCAAGGTGTTATCCTAACAGGATGGACCGTCATGACATTCACAAATTCTGAACTGGGTTCACAGCTTATGTTCTGACCTTCCTACCCCACTGGAATAAAATCAGCTTCCTTTTTGCTCCTGCCTCTAAGACTGTTCTTAAGTTTTGAGGAGGCTCATCACCTTCTGAGACCCAAACAGAAACGGAACAACACAGTTGTGTTTTTGTTTCAACTACTCTATCTTGCTCTGGGAGACTGGTTTAATAATTTATAACTTTCTTTCTTTCTGGCTGAGTCCTGTTCACCAGTACAAAGTCATTCTTTGATTCATGAATTTTTTTTTTGGCTCAAACATATTCAGTATCTAAACCCTGCCTGTTAGTATGAGCACAGCTTCAGTCAAAGGAAGAAAGAAAAAATCTCCAGAGGAAGATTCCCAGGAACCTGCTTTGTCTTTCCCATCTCAAAGCTAGATATCATCAACATGCTTACTCAGTCCAACAAAATGCTTCAAAGTGGGTTCAGAGTTCTAGTTAAACACAAAAGGTTCTGATTGTCTCGGATTGAAGTTCTTTAAAAGCATAAAAAGAGATGCAATGCTTCAAAGGAACTAGAAACTACGAACATTTTTAAATTTACTTTTTCCTCCATCTTTTCCAGACAGGATTCCCAATAGCTTCCAACAGGACATGCAACACCACAAGGTAGTAGAAATGAAAAGGTAGAGCGAAAGTTACTAGGAAAACAAGACAGAGGGTGTGCAATAGAACTTGCTATGAGGTTAAAAAGCAGTTTGTCATGACTTGTATTCCAGAAACTGGTGCAGCAAATATTTGGCTTTCAGCTTCCTGAGGAAAGTTTGCCTGTTTTCTCATTACTTGCAATACCCATGATATAAAAACAAGCTACTTTTTCAAGAGAAATACAAATGTTCTTGTCACAAAGATCAGATTGAAATTTCTCTTTCAGATCCTTATAAAGAAAATATATATGATCTCAAGAGCAATGTCCTTAACAATGCTTTTTCTTTTTCTTTTTTCTTTTTTTTTTTTGATACAAAGTCTCACTCTGTCACCGAGGCTGGAGTGCAATGGCATGATCTTGGCTCACTGCAGCCTCTACACCCTAGGTTCAAGTGATACTCCTGCATCGACCTCCCGAGTAGCTGGGATTACAGACATGTGCCACCATGCCAGGTTAATTTTTGTACTTTTAGTAGACACAGGGTTTCACCATGTTAGCCAGGCTGGTCTCGAACTCCTGACCTCAGGTGATCC
Source organism: Homo sapiens (assembly GCF_000001405.40). NCBI lineage: Eukaryota > Metazoa > Chordata > Mammalia > Primates > Hominidae > Homo > Homo sapiens. The sequence goes on from NC_000016.10 coordinate 26,272,159, forward strand.
ACCCACCTTGGCCTTCCAAAGTGCTGGGATTACAGGTGTGAGCCACCATGCCCGACCATCAACGATTTAAATTTTTTTAAATGTTTTACATTTTTTTAAAATAATGATTGTCAATACAGCCTGAAGTTATCCTACCAAGGCACAATTTTGGAAAAGGCAATTTTGCAAGAATCTATATAATGTCATCTAGTGACTTGGCTTTGTCCAGAGATACATTTTGAAATTTCCAAAATCGTCAATGATATGTTTTAAGTAACAGCCTGTTGTTGGAGTTTTTCTTAATTGGTGTTCTGATAAATATTGAGTTGGATTTAAGAGTTTATTCAATGAAATTTCAAAAAACAGTGTAGCTTCTTTGGTTACTGTTGAAATCACACTTCTATGATTTAACAAATCAGTGTCCTGGGTGGGTGAGTAGCAGATGATAGCATCTTTGTCTAGGTAGAGGGGTGCACAGAGACCTAACAAAAATACATTCCTGAATATAAGACCACCCTTCTTCTTTCTGTGTTAAACCCAGTGATTACCTAGGGAATAGGGCAGGATTATATTCACCTCAGAGCTGAGAAATGAGTGATCGGGTCCCCAAATTCTACTCTGTATACAAAGAATACAATAGTGGTGACCGGAGTCATCATTAAGGCAGATGCTACCTAGACACTAGATTCAGTCAGAATAGAGTTTAAAGCCTTCAAAAAGCAGCTCTCTCTGATAAGCTCTTAGCAAAAGATTCAATCAATATAACAATCTGGTTACCAGTTTGTTAAATGTTATTGATATCTTTGAGAAAAGACACAGTTGGATACAAAGATAAATTGAAATTATAAAAAGAATCACCCAAAGAAAAATTTTAAACTGCTGAATAGAGAAGATACAGGACTCTGTATGAAGGTTTGTCTTTTCTTTGAGTTAGTGGGTGAGCTCACTGCTGAAGAGGGAAGGGATGATATGATACTGGGGCTTGGATGGTGTAGAGATAATATAAAGGTGAAATATATTTCCTAAAGAAATGAAATAGAATTGAATTGTAGTGGTTATTCTCTGCAAGATTTTGTGATGTTCATAATCAGAAAAACTGAATACTCAGTGTGACCCAAGTTCAAGGACTTGTTAGGATGTATGGTGATGCCAAAGGTATGATAAACATACGAGGCCAGAAAGGATAGTTTGGTAATGTCTCAGCAAGCCATGACATTAGAAAGGGAGGCACATAATGATAGAGGAGATAAAAAGGGTTAGGACAATGGTGAGAGATCTAGCTACTGAATATCCAGTGACAATGAATGCAGTGGTTGGAAAGAGGTTTTAGAGAAAATAGTTGTAGGTAGAGATTGAGAAGCTAAAGCTTAAGCTTGAGAAATTCAAATGAGTTAATGATGAAAAATTACTGTAAATTAAAACTATTCTATACTGCAATTTATTGCTCATTTGATGACATGCAGAATGAAGAAAATGATGATGATGGTAGTGATAATGATGATAATGGTGGTGATAGTGATGATGGTAGCAGAGGTAACAATGGTGATAGTGGTGGCGATGATGATGATGATGGTGGTGGTGATGGTGGTGGTGATGGTGGTGGTGATGGTGGTGGTGATGGTGGTGGTGATGATGGTGATGGTGATGGTGATGGTGATAATGATGGTGAAGATGGTTATGATGGTGGTGGTGATGATGATGGTGATGATAGTGATGGTGGTAGTGATGATGATGATGATGATGGTGATGATGGGGGTGATGGTGATAATAGTGGTGGTGGTCGTGGTGAAAATGGTCGTGAAGATGGGAGTAGTGGTTGTGATGTTTCTGGTATGATTATGCTCTTCCTAGTGACAAGGAAGAAGATGTTTCCTCATCTGTTTCCTTGCTCCCATGTTTTTACATGTTTTCTCCTCCTCCTGAACTGTTATTGCTTATCCTTGACTTATTGTATGTCTGGAGAATGTATTTCCACCCATCTTCTTCTCTCCATTCTCAGTGTCACTTCCTAGCCTAATGCACCATAATTTCTCACCTGAACTGCTGCAACAACTTCCAAACTGATCTCTCTTCTTCCAATCTCGACTTTTCTTTCAACCTCAACCACCAACCTAAGTCCATTCTCTGCATGGTAGACAAATGATCTTTCAAAAGTATAGATTATATCTTGTTACTATCTGGCCTAAAATCCATGATCTAAGAAAAGCAACAAACAAAAAAACAAAAGCATAAAAACAAACTTTTTAGCGTAGCCTACGAAACTCTCCATGATGTGGCCCCTGCCCAGCTCTGAGACCTCATTTTATGCCACTCTGCCTTTTGACCACAGAGCTCCAGCCACACTGTTACCTCTTCAGATCTCTGAAAAACCTATGCTTTTGTTAGCCAGGGGACCTTTCAAAATAGCAAGTTTGACTTTTCTTTTCACTGCTGTAACCCCAGAGCCTGGCAGACCACATGGCCACTACTGGTACCAGAGCCTGGTAGACCATATGATCACTATATACGTGTGTTGAAGAAATAAAAAAGAGACAAAATGAATACTTCTCTTTTTTTTATACCACCAGTATGTTTCACAGGCATCTCTATCTATGACTTTCTGACAGTAGATTATAATTTCATGTTTCATATTTTTTTTTCTGCTAGAATATATGAGCTTCTTCAGGGCTGGGATCAAACCTGATTTAAGTCCACTTCCACAGAACTGAGCAAATGTCAAATAGTATATATTCTATAAATACAGTAAAAATTAAGAAATGCTACTGTAGGTGTGGGATCACCAACTGTGAGATCAGGGTGTCACATGAAGAATCAGGTATGTCATTATTAAAGATGATAGCAAGCAACAAGCAGCTTGAAGCAGAAGCAATGTAATAATGAAAATGAACTTTTATCATTGGGTGGATGGATCCACTTCTTTTTACTCCCAGATGGCCCACTGTATCCTTCGTCTTATCTGAAAATATCTTGTGTATACGCCAGTTTGTTTGAAACTTTTCTTTCCATGTTTTCTCTCTGAAGTCAAGGGACAGGAGAGAAATGACATTTTCTTTGCCAAGATCAATTTGAAGTCCTCAGCAGGAGCTCACATTAATCACCTTCTTAGAGGCTTTCTTTTTCTGCTGCTCAGAAAGACTATTGTTAAAGGCAAAGGGGCCAGGAACTTCATTGATTCTTTCCCCACTCTATATGAATAGGTCCTCTTTATCTATCTAAAGAGGTATATTGTCAAATATTTCTGTATTCTACCTCTAGTACTTTGAACTGCATGCGGCTCTCTTGACCTAGGACAACAAAGGTATGCAAATCTTGTCTTCTCAGAGCTCAGGGAATAGAAAAAGTCAAGAGTACATGTTCATTCCCCCATATGGGCCAATTAGCTTTTCTGTATTCAGTGAACCAAAGCAGCCCCCATGACTGAGCATCTACTATGAGAAAAGCCTTGTGATAATTGCAGAGAAGGAGGAGATAAATGGTGTGGTCTTTTCCCTGGAGGATGTAACAATATATTGAGGAGACAGAGAGATGAATAAACCATCATAGTAAAGTGTTAAAGTCTCTAATAGAAGATGTACAAGGGAATTTGAAATGATAAAAGACAGAGATTAGTGGTGCTGGAGAAGGTTTCCCAAGGAGAATGCCACTTGTGTCAGGTCAAGAAGGATGAGAGGGGGTTTTCCAAATAACTAGAATAGGAAGAATCTGCCAAAAAAAGGAACATATTCTATGCTGTAAGTGTGGAAAAGGACTGACCATCAAGAACTCATCTTTTCCTTGGATAAGATCAGTTACATTGATGTTGTTCACAGACCCCTGGGGCAGCCAGGAAAGCTGATAGGGGAGGGAAAGGACACTAAATGTAATTCTTGCCCCTCAACCAACCTGCTGAGGTCCTGCCCTTTAGGGATTGATATGGTACCAGCACCAAAGGGTGATAGCAGGAGTAAAATTTTATTGTTCAAAACTGATGTACCACCTTCTACCACACTTATCTCTTCTATCCACATTTATCTACCCCAATTATTTACCACTGGCTACTGCAGAGAAAAGAAGTGGGAACAGTGACCAAATTTGAAGCAAATGATCTCTTTTGCTGAAAGCCAGCCTGTAGTATCCTACTTATTGCTCTGCTACACCCTCAACCCTATTCCTAATTCAGTAAAAGAATGTTAAGCCACAGAGAAGCTAGATAAATTATCTCTTATCTCTAAAATTGCACACCAAAAAACATGGGCGGTGGGGAAGATTTTGGCATTTGAAGGTATGTGTGATATCAGCCTATTATTTAGATTTTTAAAGGCTACTACCGGAATAATTTCAAACACGTGGTTTAGCTACACAATCTGATTGCCACTAATCCAAATTAAGATGTGGCATGTGCAGTGGTTCACACTTGTAATACCAGCACTTTGAGATGCAAAAGTGGATGAATCACGGGAGCCCAAGAGTTTGAGATCAGCCTGGATGACACAGCAAAACCCTATCTCTACAACAGATACAAAAATTAGCCTGACATGGTGGCATGTGCCTGTAGTCCCAGCTACTGAGGAGGATGAGGTGGGAGGATCATTTGAGCGAGAGAGGTCAAGGCTGCAGGGATCCATGATCACACCATTTCACTCCAGCCTGGGCAACAGAGCAAGACCCTGTCTCAAACCCTGCCCCTACTCAAAAACAAAACAAAACAAAACAAAAAAAACCAACAATAACCAAATTAAGATGTGCTGTTAGTGAAAAATACGCAATAAATTTTGAAGATTTGCTACAGAAAATACATAATATCTCAATTTTCATATTGATTTCATGTTGGAATGATAAGATTTGAGCTGTATAGTGTTAAAATATTATTAACGTTATTTTTCCTTGTGTCTTTTAACTTTCTTAAATGTGCCTGTTAGAAAATCTAAAATTGCGTGTGGAGCTTGTATTATATTTCTACCAGAGAGCATTATCTGTGAGATTAAAGATATGTTGCTTTAGGTTGCTAAATTTGTGCTAATTTGTTACAGCAGCAATAAAAACTGATGTGATGTTGATAAACCTCCATCAAAATATGGGGTCTGTGATCCAGTCACTTAAACACAAGAAAAGTTTTGTGACTGCCTAGACCAACAGAACAACACTGCATGCCCTGCTGCCTCTGTCCAAGAGCCTTGGAACACAGCCATCTTGTGAGGAAGCCTCCAGCCAATATCCAGTATCAACCACCACATATGTGAGTAAATGAGCTGACACGTGTTTTCAGGCCCTGGCCTTACAGTCTTCCAGGTGAGGACATAGATAAAATGATGCGAAGACAAACCATCCCCACCATGCCATCTGAATTTCTCCATCTTGTTACCTTCCATATCAGCGTATGAAAGGTGGCTTGTTTAATGTCCTAGGATAATTGGTAAACCATCAGTTTAGCATTTAAAAAGTAATCTAGATTATTTCCTCCACAATTTAAATGTCCAGAAAACTGAAACATTAGCTTTTGATAATTATGGGTCCTAGATACAAGAAACACTATATATATGGGATGGCTTGTCTTGGCATCATTTTATCTATGTCCTCACTTGAAAGACTCTAAGGCCAGGGCCTGAAATCACCTGTCAGCTCATTTACTCACATATGTGGTGGTTGATACTGGATATTGGCTGGAGGCTTCCTCACAAGATGGCCATCTTCCAAGGCTCTTGGAGAGAGGCAGTTAGTTGCATATATAGGTAAAATGCTCATTCTTGTCATTGGGTTTCCTCTGAGTTCCACTGATTTCCTGGATAAATCAGGTGTATATAAAATCTCACATTCTTTTCAAGCTCAATTACCCTGCCCCACCATTTATCTTTTGCATAAACATTTCTCTGCTTCTTAATTCAAACTGTCATTGCCTTAGTTCAGGCTCTCAGAACCGCTCAGACTATCACATTCACCTATCATTTTATATGGGCTCTCCAAACCCCTAGAAATCAGGTAGTTTCAGGTAGGAGGTGATTTAGAGCACAGGAGTAAAAGAACGGGGAGAATAAAAGAGGGAAGGAGAGAAAACACTGAGCTTGTCATCACTGCAGACAACAAGGGCTTGATCCTGTTTTTTTTTAAGGAGGCTAAAAATAGGACTCCAATCCCTTCTAGCTTGTAGGATTTCTGCTGAGAAATCTGCTGTTACTCTGATACATTTTCCCTTACAGGTTACCTAATGCTTTTGCCTCACAGCTCTTAAGATTCTTTCCTTTGTCTTAACTTTAGATAAGCTGATGACTATGTGCCTAGGCAATGATCTTTTTGCAATGAATTTCCCAGGTGTTCTTTGGGTTTCTTGTATTCGGATATCTAGATCTCTAGCAAGGCCAGGGAAGTTTTTCTCAATTATTCCCTCAGATATGCTTTCCAGACTTTTATATTTCTCTTCTTCCTCGCGGGAACAGCAATTATTCTTAGGTTTGGATGCCTAACATAGTCCCAAACTTCTTGGAGGCTTTCTTCATTTTTTTTTTGAATTCTTTTTTTCTCTGTCTTTGATGGATTGAGTTAATTCAAAAGCCTTGTCTTCAAGCTCTGAAGTTTTTTCTTCTGCTTGTTTGATTCTATTGCTGAGACTTTCCAGTGCATTTTGCATTTCTATAAGGGTGTCCTCGATTTCCAGAAGTTGTGACTGTTTTTTACTTATGCTATCCATTTCACTGAAGAATATTCCTTTCATATCCTGTGTCATGTTTTTGATTTCTTTAAGTTGGAGTTCACCTTTCTCTGGTATCTCCTTGATTGGCTTAATCATCAACCTTCTGAATTCTTTTTCTGGCAATTTAGAGATTTTTGTCTTGGTTTGGATCCATTGCTTGTGGGCTGGTGTGATCCTTTGGGGGTGTTAAAGAACCTTGTTCTGTCATATTACCAGAATTGTTTTTCTGTTTCCTACTCATTTGGGTAGACTATGTCAGAGGAAAGATCTTGTACTCAAAGGCTGCTGTTCAGATTCTTTTGTCCCAAAGGGTGTTCCCTTGATGTGGTGTTCTCCCCCTTCCGCTAGGAATGAGGCTTCCTGAGAGCTGAACTGCAGTGATTGTTTTTGCTCTTCTGGGCCTAGCCACCCAGTGGAGCTACCTGGCTCTGGGCTGGTACTGGGGAGTGTCTGCAAAGAGTTCTGTGATGTGATCCATCTTCAGGTCTCTCAGCCATGGAAACCAGGACCTGCTCTGGTGGAGGTAGCAGGGGAGTGAAGTGGACTCTGTGAGGGTCTTTGGTTGTATTTTTGTTCGGTGCACTGGTTTTGTGTTGATCGGACTTTCAAGAGTACATCCGCTGTGGTACTATTGGTAGGAAGCAAACTCGCCCTAGGGTTACCTGGTTACATATTCAGGTTTCTCAGGTGGTAGGCAGGGCCATAGAACTCCCAAGAAATTATATCTTTTGTCTTGCGCACCCAGGGTGGGTAGAGAAAGGGTAGGCCCAGAGCTAGGTGTGTCTGAGCTCAGACTCTCCTTGGGCGGGGCTTGCTGCGGCTGCTGCGGGGGATAGGGGTGTGATTCCCCAGCCAATGGAGTTATGTTTCCAGGAGGATTATGGCTGCCTCTGCTGATTCATAAAGGTGGCCAGGGAAGTGGGGGAAAGCTGGCAGTCACAGGCCTCACCATGCTCCCATGCAACACACAGTCCTAAAGGCCAGTATCACTCCCACTGTGCCCCCCAACAGTACCAAGTCTATTTCCAGGCAGCTGGTGGCCAGGGCTGAGAACTTGTTCCAGACCACCAGCCTCCCCACTGAGAAAGCAATCAGACCTTACAGTTTTTTTAGCATCTCAGGGAAACTGTGGAAGCTACACAGTTCCTTCAGAGCATCTGTGGATTCTCTCAGCTTTCCTGGTATGTTGCCGTGGTAGTTCCTTGAGCAAAAGTTCACAGTGTGAGTCTCCACAAGCTGCTCCGTCTGTCCGAGCAGGAGCTGCAAGCTAGTCCTGCCTCCTATCTGCCATCTTCAGAACATGTCACAGGTATCAGTTTCCATTGGAGTTCTTCAACTAGGAAGATGTAAGTTTGAGGCTGCTGATGTCCACTCTTGTACCTCTGGCAGACAGCTTGAATGAAAATTAAAACAACTTGGAAAAAGTTGTGCCAAAATACATAAGGAGACAGATTCCTGATTCTATCATTGGGACACCTAGATCTAGCCATGCCTGAATCCCAATATTCTTGACTTTTCCATGTGCCAATATAATTTATGCTTAAACCAACTTGAATTATAATTTGCCAGGTGCCATTTAAAGGGATGTGACAAATACACATCATAATCTTTTCCCTCCTTCCTTTCCATACTTACCTCTCACCATTCCCCACCATGCATTTCAGTACTTTATTTGTATCAAAATCTTTGCCTGCTTTGAAACACATCAGTCACTTTTAAGCCTCTGTTCCTATGCATACACATTTTTATTTCGTTATACAATTCTGTCTTTCCTAGAAGAAATAAAACAGAGAGGAAAATTATGTCTTTTTAACTATATAATCCAATAGTCTAATATATCACTTATTTAACAATATGATCAATGTATCCTCCAGGCACTGTGCTAGGTGACAGATATCCATGTTGACCAAGACAGACTTTCTCTGCCCTTGTGGGAAGTATATTCAAGCAAGGAATATACTCACATGTTTCTGACTATTTATTCTTTTATTGTAGAGGTGTTTTCCTCTTGGAAATCAAGAAATGAAAACATGGATAAATTTCAAAAAACAAGTAACTGAATGGAATTGAGTAAAAAAACTTTAGAATAAGCTGCCGTCATTTTAAATTTATTTTACAGGGAAAATTTATTTTATATGTACAAGGAAGTTGGGATATATAGTTTGGACCCTCTGCCACTACCCCCAGACCATGGTCTCTTTACCAGTCTGTGTTATATTTTTATCTTTCTGCAAAAAGTGGTGAGAAACTACTATGACAAGTCATATCAGCATCCTGTGATCTAAATCACCACTTCTTTTAAGAATAACAAGTTCTTTTGCATGTTTATTTTATTTATGTTTGACAATCATTGTAGTCAATATCTGAGAATTAGATGAACTATGTAAAAAAAAATCAAATTCCTCTAATGGTTAGAAATAAAATTATCCCTTGTTATAGGTAAAATCCTGATGGAATCAGCTATTGATTGTCTGGCATATACCTTGGAACAGTTGATCCAATTGTAGACATTTTCTGTAAGGCTCAATGATTCTCTCATGTCAGATGCCTCCCAAATCCTGCACTCTTTAAAACCCAGACACGGAAGCCTGACTGCAAGCTTTTGGCTGAAAGACTAACATGGTATTTAAAAAGTAAAAGACTTTGGTCTCCTTTGTCCCACAAAGTTCAAATTTCCCCTACAGCAATAAACACCTTATCTGAGATGTATGCAGTATGGGCTAAAGTCTTCAACCATGAAATTATATGACTCTACCTTGACCTCTGGTTTTCTCCAGTGAATCTCACTGATAGAATACAAACAGCAGCTCTGGGCTGTTTCTCTGATCCATTCCGTGAATTCTGTAAATCTTGAGGAATGCAGACTTCCATACAAAGGTGTTCAGGTAGCAGCGACATCTTTATCTGTCCTCACTTACCCTGGGCAATACTGAGCGGGCCCAGGGACTCATGCTACATGATGTATGTATCTGACCGTTTTCCTGTCCATGCCTCCAGCAGGCAAGGAAGAGACTGGGCTCCCTCCGGATGTGAAAACCAAGGCCTTGTTACAGTGATGAGTAATGCTGATAAAATGCTATGTTGAGGCAGAAAACCAATCCCCCCAATTTGGTCTGACCGCTTACTGTAATTAGGAATGGTTTTCAGCTAACCTCTGGAATATGTGATATAATGTCACAGTACTCAAAGTGTGGACACTATAGACCAGCAGTATCAGAATCACCTGGAGTTTGTTACAGATGCAGAATTCCAAGCCTCATCCCGGATCTAATGAATCAGAGGCTTTGTCTGAACCAACTCCCAGGTGCTTCTTTTGCACATGAATGTTTCAGAAGTACTACTGTAGTGGAGCTCTGCTATTCCCATCTCAAACCCTCTCATCCTATTCTGATAAAAATACCCTGAATGCATTTTGTTTCTTTGGAGGAGTACCTAATTCTCTTAACCTTCAGACCCATGGGTGAGGAAATCAGTACGTCCCATTCTCTGACCACAGCCATTAGTTCAGGGATGGGCATGGGATTAATTGGAGGCAGAGGCCTTCAGGCCCATGACAATTACTTGAACCTTTGTGGGTGAGATGCTATCTTCACTTTTGCACTTGAACTTGGGAGGATGTGAGCTTGGTTAGCTGCCAAAGGCCATCTTGTAGAGCTTGATGATGAATCTACAATTAGAAATCAGAGGCAAGAAATGGGTAATAATGAACCTTTCTGGTCTTATTTTTAGCCCCTGGATCATGTACTGCTTGAAACCCTCCTCCATATTGCTAGTACAATGCAATCAATTTGTTTTAAGCTCTAAGCTTTGTGTTAGCTTGTGATGTTGTTTGACTATAAGTCAGTTTGAGTTGGTGTGTTAGGGATCTCCAAGGGGGTGTGTGTGTGTGTCTGTGTGTGTGCGCATGTCTGTGTGTGTGTGTGGAGACAGAGAGAGAAATTTACATTAAAAATTGGCTTACATGATTGTGGGGGCTAGCAAGTCTGAAATCTGTAGGGCAAGCTGGTAGGCTGGAGATTCACATAAAAGCTGAGGTCTTGAGTCCAAAGGCTGGAAACTCGGGCAGGATTTCTGTGGTGCAGTCTGAAGCCAGAATTCTTTCTCCATTGAGAAACCTCAGTCTTTGCTGTTAAGGCCTTCAACTGACTGGATGAGGCCCACCCATATTATGAAGAGTCATCTGCTTTCCTTAAAGTCACCTTATTGTAGATATTAACCACGTCTAAAACGTACCTTTACACCTCAAGGTTCTGTCCCAATTAGCTACAATATACTGATCTAATATCACTCTATGGAAATGTCTCATATACTTGAAATATATATTTAATAAGATAATGCCATCAACCAACACAGCTCTAAAGAAAGCCCTGGACTCAAGTGATCCTATCACCTCAGCCTCCCAAGTAGCTGACATTATATGCGTGAGCCCCAATGCCCAGCTCAGAATTTATTTATCTGGTAACTGAAGGCTTATGCCCCTTGAGTAACATCTCCCCATTTCCTCCACTCTCCAGCCCCTGGAAACCACCATTCTATTCTCTGTTTCTATTAGAGTGACATTTTTAGAGTTTACATGTAAATGAGATCATGCAGTAAAAAAAAGAGTAAAAAATTAAAAAAAAATAAAATAAAAAATACCTTTACAGCAAGAGCTAGACTAGTATTTGACGGAACAACTGGTCTTTCCAGGTTGGTACATCTTTCCAGATTGATACTTACAATTAACCACCACAATTGGGGATTTTGAACCTTGAAATGAGATGGTTGAAGGTGGGGCTAAAAATCCTTAGGGTTTAGAGGTGATGCTTCTACTCAGCCTAACATACATAACTGAATCCTAGCTTTCCGCTTTCTTTAAAAGGGTTGACTTGTTTAAGAAAATCAGCAAAATTATTTGCCCCCATTTTTGTTCTATGAAATCTAAGGAGCTAGAGTTGGGAAAGACTTTAAGATTTAATCAGGTTTTCAAATATCAATGATTTGCTTACTACTGTAATAATGATTTCTTCTCCCCATAGTTATGGTTCACAACACACAACACTCATGCCTACGTATGTGATATTTTTCTTTAAATATATATTATTCTTTGATAATGGAATTTATTTACAAAAGTAATCTTTATATTACTGCTATAAATGCAAATCCCACATCACTTGCCTTAAATTCATGAGTACTCACATAAATAAATGTGGAAGCAAAATGTTTCACAAGTCTTGCAAGATACTATTATCTGCAAAAATAATATCTGCATCTAACAATTTATTTCCCTTTTTTTTTTTAAAAAAAGGGAGTATAGTATAAAAATACAAAGCAAGTATCAAGGATTAAAGACAGATGAGACATTCTTCTTGAAATAAAAGGGTATAATTAAAAGGAAATTGAAAAGGAATAACCTTTTTTTGCTTGATTTTATGTTATTGAATGACATGACTGTGTAACATCTGCCATTAACAACTGTGGCGTGTGCCCCCATCCTTTAAGAAACACTAATTCCGGCCAGGCGCCGTGGCTCTCACCTGTAATCCCAGCACTTCGGGAGGCCGAAGTGGGCAGATCATGAGGTCAGGAGAGCGAGACCATCCTGGCTAACACGGCGAAACCCCGTCTCTACTAAAAGTACAAAAAAATTAGCTGGGCGTGGTGGCGGGGCCTGTAGTCCCAGCTACTCGGGAGACTGAGGCAGGAAAATCACTTGAACTCTGGAGGCGGAGGTTGCAGTGAGCCGAGATCGCGCCACTGCACTCCAGCCTGAGCGACAGAGAGAGACTCCATCTCAAAAAAAAAAAAAAAAAAGAAAAAAGAAACACTAACTCCAGTCTCACACTGATTGCATGATTTCCAGCTACTATGCTACTATAACCGTAAGGCAGTGCCCTACATTACTTGGACTCTTCCTGTGATGAGAAACTCATTACCTACTAACACAAATTCCATCAGTGGATACAGATATAAACTAGAAACCTCTGCTCTTTGCTGAGCTGAACAACCCCTTGCAGCTTCTACTGACTGAGATCACAGTGCTACCTCTTGGGGACACACAGACTGTGACCTTACCCTTACCCAAATCCCACATGCCAGCCTTCCAAAGACCTGAAGATGGCTCCTCCAGTTTCTGCTCATATAACTTCCATGTAAAATAATCATATTAGTTAAGCCTCAAACCAGACATCAAGAGCCAAAACATAGCAGGGACGTTGATACTTTGGAGAGTGGAACATTTAAATTCAGGACAGACATGTCCACCTGATCAATCTCACTCACCTCCCTCTCTCATTCTGTTCCAGCCACTGGGATTGTCTCCTGCTTTTTTTTTTTTTTAACATGTCAGTAAGTTCTTGCTTGGAGCTCTTTCCACTTTCTGTTCCTACTGCCTAGAAAGATACTTCCCAGTTCTTTTGAACAGCCCTCGTCTTATAAGTTGTCTCATTTTAAATGTCATTTCCTTGCAGAGATCTTTGAATAACCAAACTAAAGATTTTTTTGATCTCATAAAAACTTTATAGTCTCTGACCCTTTTTTATTTGCTTCACAACACATCACCCTCTCAAATTAACTTGTTGGTTTACTTGGTTTTTTAAATAAAAGTGTAAACCACAAGATAGCAGGGAATTCATTGCTTCATCTCCAATACTGAAAACAGTGCTGAGAACCCAGTTTGCATTTAGTAAGCATTTGTTAAATGAATGGATGGGGTCAAGATACAGTACTGATATTTTCAAGTTTTTGCAATGTATTTCCTCAGTCATTTATCTATGCATTTATATGCTCATTAAGTCAAAGTGTTTGTTTAATTAAGAGTAATATGTGTCTTCTTGAGTACTGTAAACCATCTTGCCACTCCCCTAATTTTACTCCAGTTTGCCTATTTCACTTTTCAAGTGCTTTGGGCAAAACTGAGTCTTCTATGTGTGTTCTGACCCCATTACAGTAGAGTACAACTTTCTTTATTCTGGGTAGTTTACTTCCATTAATAGAGTCTACCACCACATCAGATTTTTTGGCAGCCTTATCATTCTTGCAGTACTTATAAGCTTAATGTCCAAAAATAAAGGGGGCTGAGTTTCTTAAATATATTTTTCTGCTAAGCCGCATGTCTTGGGAAGCTGGCTTTTTAATATAAATCCAGGGCCTTGCATTCATCCTTGTTAAATTTCATCATATCCTCCGACAGGTATTTGTGTCATCTTTGCATCTCCCAATCTGTGGCTCTATTTGGGTTCAGGCAGACTGTGTAAGAGGTGATTTGCAGAGTAGCTTCATTGCAAGCAAAGGGTGAGTGAAAATTGAATGTACTGAGATCCTATTTCTCCACTGTATCCAGTGTGGGCCTAAACCAAGGCAAGGAAAAATGACACACCTTGGAAATATAAAAATATAACGATCCCAATGATAATAGTAAACATTCACTGTTTTGGCTATCTGTGACTGGGTAATGAATCACACCAAAATATAGTTGCTTAAAACAACAATTTTGTTATTTCTCACATTCTGTGATTTGACTCTTTTTTATGTAATATTCATGGAGGGACCAGGAAAGCCAGAAGTGTTGAAATGACCTCATTCACGCAATGAGTAGTTGGTGTTGGATGCTGTCTGGGAGTTCAGATGGGGCTTAGGATGGAGGCCTCCCTTCCTCATGTGGATCTCTGCACGTGGCTGCTGGGCTTCCCCACACCATGGAGACTGTGTGCCACTGTCAGTGTTCCCAGAGATATAGGTGCAAGTATAACCCTGTTAATCCCCAGCCTTGGAAGTTGCACATCTCTCTCTCACTACATTTTATTACTTATAAAAGTTACAAGGCTAGCTCAGATTTTGCAGATGAAGAAACTGAGGCTCAATGATAAGAAGTTGCACACTTGATCTGTTAGACCTTTCACTGGAGAGAGACTGAGCTTTGAGATTCCAGAAGCCAGGAGGCACCGTATCAGGGTTCTGTATGTGTGTATGTGTGTTAAATATTATTATTCAAAAGTAATACAAGTATATCCCAAATTTACAAGCGTTTATTTTTAGAAACTACAAATAAAAATAAATAAATAAAGTAAAAAATAAATACTTTTTACTAGTCTCATAGTTTGAGGTCTTAAATTTTTGTCTTTAATCCATCTTGAGTTGATTTTTGTATTATGGTAAGAGATGAGGGTCCAGTGTTACTCTTCTGCATATGGAAATCCAATTTTTCCAACACTGTTTGTTGAAAAGTGTGTCCTTTCCCCAATGTATGTTCCTGTTAACTTTGTCAAAGATCAATAGGCTGTAAATATGTGGCTTTATTTTTGGTTCTCAATTCTCTTCCATTGATTCACATGTCTACTTTTATACCAATGCCCTGCTGTTTTGGTAACTATTGTCTTGTAATATAATTGGAAATGAGGTAATGTGATGCCCCCAGCTTTGTTCTTTTTGCTTAAGATTGCTTTGGCTATTTGGGTTCTTTTTTGGTTCCATATGAATTTTAGGATTTTTTTGTTTCTTTAAAAAAATAAAAATCTAATTTTGCTTGGATCTTCTCTTTTTTGTCTTGGTTAGTCTAGCAAGTAGTTTATGAATTTTGTTTATTTTTTCAAAAAGCCAGCTATTATATTGTGATGTTTTCTTTTTTTTTTAGTCCTATTTTGATAGGGATTGCACTGAATCTATAGATTGCTTTAGGCAATCTGTACAGTCATTTTAAAGATATTATTTTTTCCAATTCATGAGCATGGGGGTGTTTTTCCATTTAGTTATGTCATCTATAATTTTTTATTAGTGTTTTTTAGTTTTCCTTTTAGATATTTTTTACTTCCTTGGTTAAATTTATTCCTAGGTATGTTATTTTTTATAGTTATTTTAAATGGGATAGCCTTCTAGATTTTTTTCTTAGCTAGTTGATTATTGGTGTATAAAACACTGCTGATTGTTATATGTTGATTTTGTATCCTGCAACTTTACTGAATTTATTTGTCAGATTTAAGAGGATTTTTTTTTGTGTGTGTGAAGCCTTTAGTTTTTTCTAGACATAAGATCAGATCATCAACAAAGAGGGACAATTTGACTTCCTTTTTTCCAATTTAGATGCCTTTTATTTCTTTCTCTTGACTGATTGCTCTAGCTAGGACTTCCAATACTATGTTGAATAGTAGTGGTAAGAGTGGGCATTATTGTCTTTTACCAGTTTTTAGGAAAAAAGGCTTTCAGTTTTTCCTTGTTTGGTATGATCTTAGCTGTGGGTCTGTCATAGAAGGCCTTTGTTATGTTAAGGTATGTTTATAATGTTAAGTTTGTTGAGAGTTTTTATCATGATGTGATGTTGAATTTTATCAAATTTTGTGTGTGTGTCTACTGAGATGATCATATGGTTTTTGTCCTTCATTCTGTCGATGTGATTTATTATGTTTACCAACTTGTGTAAGTTGAACCATCCTTGCATCCTTGAGATAAATTTTACTTGACCATGTTGTGTGCATCTGTGTGTGTGTATACATATATATATGATGTTGGATTCAGTTTGCCAGTATTTTCTTGAGAATTTTTGTGTCTATGTTCATCAGGGATATTGGCCTGTACTACTCTTTTCTTGTTGTGTCCTTGTCTGGTTTTGGTATCAGGGTAATGCTGGCATTGTAAAATTAGGATCATTCCCTCCTCTTTAATGTTTTGGGGTAGTTTAAGGAGAAATGGTGTTAGTACTTTTCGGAAAGGTTGGTAGAATTCAGCAGTAAATCCACCCAGTCCTGGACTATCCCTTGTTAGGAGATTTTTTTCTTTTTTAATTTACTGACTCAATGCCACCACTTGTTATTGTCTGTTCAGGTTTTCTGTTTCTTTCTGATTCTATCTTGGTAAGTTGTATATGTTTGGAAATTTGTCAGTTTCCTCTCAGTTTTCTACTGTGTGCGCATGTAATTGTTCACTATAGTCTTTGATGATCTTTTGTATTTCTGCGGTATTAGTTGTAATGTCTCCTGCATTTCTAATTTTGCTTGGATCTTCTCTATTTTTCTTGTCTAGTCTAGTAAGTAGTTTATGAATTTTGTTTATTTTTTCAAAAAAACCAGTTTTTATATTGTGATCTTTTGTGCTTTTTTTTTTAAGTCTCTATTTCATTTAATTATGCTCTGGTTTTAATTATTTATTTAGTTCTACTAATTTGGGGTTTGGGTGTTCTTGCTTTACTAATTCGTAGAGGAGCGTCACTATATTGTTCATATAAAATCCTTTCTTTTTTTTAAATGTAGGTGTTGATTACAATAAACCTCCCTCTAGGCACTACATTTGCTGGATCCCACAGGTTTTGATATATTGTGTTTCGATTTTTGTTTGTCTCAAGACATTTTTGATTTACTCTAATTTCTTTCTTGACCCAGTGGTTATTCAGGAGCATGTTGTTTAATTTCCATGTATTTGTGTAGTTTCCGAAGTTCCTCTTGTCATTGAGTTCTAGTTTTATTTCACTGTGATCTGAGAAACTGCTTAATAAGATTTCAATTTTTAAAAATTTTTTGAGGCTTGTGTTGTTTCCTAACATATGGTCTATCCTGGAGAATGTTCTGTGCGCTGATGAGAAAAATGAGTATTCTGGAGCTGTTAGATGAAATGTTCTGTAAATGTCTGTTAGGTCTATTTGTTATAATGTGCAGCTTAAACCCAATGTTTCTTTGTTAATTTTCTGTCTAGATCATCTGCCCAGTGCTGAGAGTGGGGAGTTGAAGTTCCAACTATTACTGTATTGGAGACTCTGTCTCCCTTTAGATCTAAAAATATTTGCTTTATATATCTGGGTCTTTTTCCCCTCAAGTTTTTACTTACTCGGAGATAGCCAAAAATAGAAATAGTTTTTTCTCCTAAATCTGCAAGTCCTTGTTTCAAAGTATTTCCTCTAAATTCTGTTTGAATATTGAACATTTCCTTCTTTAGACCATCTTACCCCAGCTCTCCCCACTCCCACTTTATTATAGGCAGTAAAAAAAAGCCAGTCAATACTTTCAACATTCTTCTGGAAATCTCTTTAGCCAGATCCACAAATTTATGGAGTGCATTTTCCTATTTCATACTTTACTATAGGTAGGTGTTGCCAAATGTCACATGTTTGCATAGGACAGGCTGCCTTTTCTCCAAATTCCAATAAAAATTTTCTCACTGCCTTTCAAGCCTCTAGTTACAGTCTCCTCACTGCCCTTCAGCTGCTACTGCTTTTCCATAACAAGGCCAATGCCACATTGGAACTCCTCATGGCCAGTTGGCTCCCTCACAGCATGGAGGCTTGGTTCCAAGGAGCAGTGTTCCAAGAGGTGAAGATGGAACCTTTAGATCTTTTAAGACATGGTCTTGCAGTTACACATCTCCCTCCTATCACATTGTATTGGTCATAAGAGGTCATAGGGCAAACCCAGATCTGAGGCAAGGGAGCACAGACTCCACCTCTCCATGAGGGAGTGGCAAGATCACGGTACACAAAAGTCCGTAAGATATGGGACATTGCTCTGGCCATCCTTGGAAACACAGTCTGCCTCATTTATGCAACACATGCTATGTCCTAGGCTCTGTTCTAAGCACATTCTATGTAATTATTAAACCATATGATTCTTAAACTCCTGTGAGATCAATTCATGTTGTCTTCATCTTACGGATAAGAACAAGGAGGCACAGATAAAATTACTAATATAATTAAGGTTACAAGTTAGTCAGTTGCAGGACTGGGGTTTGAGTTTGGGGCAAATCTGGCTTCTGAGCCTTTGTGCTTAACCTCTAGCCCTTTCTGCCTATCTTGTGAGGGCAACATGTATCACTAAGTGGTCAGATCTCCCAGAGTGAAGAAATTATCCTAAGGAGAACACACCTCTTATACTGTGTTCATTTATTCCTTTACTTATTCAAATGTTTATTGAAATCCTGCTAAGTACCAGGCACTGTTTTGGACATTGGAAGTATAATAATGAATAAGTCAGAAATTATTCCAGCTTTTAAGCAGCTTATAATACATATTAGGAAAACAGCTATTATGAATTCTTTGAATAATGGCTATTATAGTTTTCCTATACACGTCCAAAAAGCAATAAAATGCACTACTATGAGAGCTTTACATAATAGGATGATTTGGGATTTGGCCCAGGGTCTAAGACGTTTAAACATTTAACGTTTAAAATAATGATTTAAAAGACTGTACAAATGCCCTGCCTTTTGTCCCTCAGCAAGTGTCTCCCTCTTCAAACCTTCAAGTGTTACTTCTCCAGTCATAGAAGAAATCCAGTTGCTTGTCCAGGCTGAGCTTCCTTGAAAGTTGGCAGAGAGCATTGTGCCTACTCCCTTGGCCAAGGGCAGGGAGTCTGCTGGTTCTTGGTAGAAAATGGGAGGCCCTGGCCGGGCGCGGTGGCTCATGCCTGTAATCCCAGCACTTTGGGAGGCCGAGCTGGGCGGATCACGAGGTCAGGAGATCTATTCTGTCCTGGCTAACACGGTGAAACCCCGTCTCTACTGAAAATACAAAAAAATTAGCCGGGCGTGGTGGCAGGTGCCTGTGGTCCCAGCTACTCAGGAGGCTGAGGCAGGAGAATGGCTTGAACCCGGGAGGCGGAGCTTGCAGTGAGCCGAGATCGCGCCACTGCACTCCAGCCTGGGCGACAGAGTGAGACTCTGTCTCAAAAAAAAAAAAAAAAAAAAAAAGAAAAGAAAATGAGAGGCCCTGTCTTCACACATTTCTCATGATGTTAAGTCCCCATATCCTCCTGATTGTCCTTAGTACAAATTGCTTTTGACTGTGCTGATAGATAGATAGATTGAATAAAGCTTGAGGATCCACAGAATTCTTCCTGGGTAAAGTGACATTTTAAAAAAAGGTGAGAAACTGTGAATCTGATGGGCATCCATGCAAAAGTGCCATGCCAATTGTCTCTCTTGGGTGCCGATTTTAGTAAATGTGGGCGAAGTAGAGGTGATTATCACATAAGCTCTGTTGTCAGGAGTCTGACTTGAATTCTCTCCCTGAACACACTTGGAGTGTGACAATAAATGAATTACTCAATCTCTCTGAATGTCGTTTCCTCTTCTGTAAAATAGGAAAGAGGTGAAACCATTGAGAACTATTGTGAAGATCAAATAGGATGACATTGAACACAGTGCTTGGCACAAAGACAGAGCTCAGTGTTGGTAGCGTCTTATTAGATTACTAGTAATCTTGTTTAAGTCAAGAGAGAAGAAGGTTTGCAAGGAAAGAAGCAAGCCTTTATTTATCTACTCAGATAGGCATTGCACAGAAGGTATTAACTCAGCAGACCTGAGTTGCCCAAACTCTGCACATCCCAGAGGTCATCAGGAGCCAGTCCTTTAAGTCCTTGGAATATCCTAAGAGCGTCTTTGCCTCAGAAGAATGTCTTTGTATACCTGAGATCTTGAGCCATGTCAGATCATTTATGCTAACAATGTGATTTACAGTAAATGGTCATTATTATATGCCTGGACTTTGGGCCATACTGTATCAATTCAACATCATGTTGGGGGTTGTGGAATAGATGCTGAGTAACTAAGGCCAGTCATATGGGTGGCCCATGCCTCCATGACTTATCTTTAGTAAAAACCCCAGACAACAAGGCTCAGGTGAGCTCCCCTGGTTGGCAACTTCACAGGTATTGTCACATATTATTTCTGGGAGAATTAATGACTCCACTGAGAGAGGACAGCTGCAAGCTCAGGTCTGGTTTTTCCTAGACTCTGACCTATGTGTATTTTTTTTTTTTTTTTTTTTTTTTGCTGATTTTGATGTGTATCCTTTGACTGTAATAGAGTAGAACTGTGAATATAATACCTTTCTGAGTCCTGTGAGTCCTTCTAGTGAGTCCTCAAATCTAGGGTGGTCTTAGGCTTCCCCAACACAGGTACTGTGCTGGGTCCTGCCTTCATGACATCTTACTTAATTTAATCTTCATCACCACTAAGCAATGAGACTGATATACACAGAGGTAATATTCTAAGGTGAGGCTGTGAGGCAGGCTTACCCATTTAGTAAGTGTTCAGCCAGGGTCTGAACCCAGGACTGCCAGATTTCAGAGAATTGGGTGTTACTTGGGCTGGTAGTTTCCATGGACCAAGTACACATATGGGACAAGGGCACTGTGTCCAGGCACTAATAACACCAATTTCTCTGGTCTGATTGTGGTTTCTCTTGGCTAGTAGAAAACATGAGGTATGAGACAGAGGCAGAGAGAAGTGGACAGAGTATGAGAAATGACAGCCTTCTACCCCTCAGTCATCACCTGCTGAACTATCTATAAATTCTTTCCAGGAACTAGAGAAGGTGCACATCAGGAAGCAAGTGTCCCTCATAGACCAGGGTAGCCAGAAATAAAAAAGGAAAACAGACTGAGTCTTAAAGAATCTCTTGCTGGTTTTTTTCTATATTTTCTATTAAAAACATTTTTTTGAGGAACAAAACATATCTGTATGCACTGATAGAGAAACATCTCCAATACAGACTATCAGGAGGTAACAACAAGGTGTAGAAAGATGTATAGTGTATAGTTTTTGTGTAAAACAAAAGAAATGCACATACACCTCCATACATATACTTAATATCTTTTATATTTGTAATATATATGTATATATATGACATAACAGTATCTGTTACCTACGTATCTATGTGTATTAGTCTGTTCCCATGCTGCTAATAAAGACATACCCGAGACTGGGTAATTATAAAGGAAAGAGGTTTAATTGACTCACAGTTCCACATGGCTGAGGAGGCCTCACAATCATGGTGGAAGACAAGGAGGAGGGAAGTCACATCTTACATGGCAGCAGGCGAGAGAGAGAGCCTATGTAAGGGAACTCCCCCTTATAAAAACATCAGATCTCATGA
Organism: Homo sapiens; assembly: GCF_000001405.40. Classification (NCBI taxonomy): domain Eukaryota; kingdom Metazoa; phylum Chordata; class Mammalia; order Primates; family Hominidae; genus Homo; species Homo sapiens. The sequence goes on from NC_000016.10 coordinate 26,293,635, forward strand.
GACTATTCACTCTCAGGAAAAAAGCACAGGAAAGACTCACCCCTCATGATTCAATTACCTCCCATTTTGTCCCTCCCATGACACCTGGGAATTATGGGAGTTACAGTTCAAGATGAGATTTGGGTGGGGACACAGCCAAACCATATCACTATGTATCCATCCCTCTCTACCTATTTTTACATATATATGATATGTACATATATGTATGATATACACACATATACATATATATGATTTTTACATATCATATATATGTAAAAATATATATGATATATATAATATATAACTTTTCTGTCCTTATATTCCAAATATATATCCAAAGATATATATTATGTATAATATTTATATAATATATACGTTTCTTGTCCTTATTGTTCAATTATACTTTTTCTTGTCCAATTACACAAATGTTAAATCATTTCATATTGCCCCATATGTCTCTTATGCTCTTTTTTGTTTTCAATTTTTTTGTCTCTTTTTGTTACAATCTGTAATTATTTTCATAAAGTTCTCTGTTTCTATTCAATGATTTTTCCCTCTGTTGATTCTCATCTGTTATTAAATTTATCCATTGAATACTTAAACTTTGTTGTTTTATTTCTCATTGCTGAAGTTTTGATTTGATACTCTTTTATAGATTCCAATTCTCTGGTAAAATTCTTCACCCTCTTGTCTATTAAATTGAACGTGTTGATCAGAGTTATTTCTAAGTCTGTGTCTCATCTTCAATATTGGCATCATCTGCGAGTCTGTTTCTACTAGAGTCCTTCTCTCTTTGCATGTCTGTATCTATATGTTTGCCTGTATATGGAAGGAAACACAGAAATAAGGAGAAGTGGTGTCCTCTGAAAAAGGGACTTGAGATATCAGAGATTATGTTAATTTTCTTTTTTCTTTTTGAGGTGGAGTCTTGCTCTGTTGCCCAGGCTGGACTGCAATGGCATAATCTCAGCTCACCGCAACCTCTACCTCCTGGGTTCAAGCGATTATCCTGCCTTAGCCTCCCAAGTAGCTGGGATTATAGGCACACGCCTCCATGCCCAGCTAATTTTTGTATTTTTAGCAGAGACAGCATTTCACCATGTTTCCCAGGCTGGTCTTGATCTCCTGACCCAGGTGACCCACCCACCTCGGCCTCCCAAAGTGCTGGGATTACAGGCGTGTGCCACTGTTCCTGGCCAAGGAGTTATATTAGTTTTCTATTCCTGCTGTAACAAATTGCCACACAATTGTTTAAAATAATCCACAGTATCTTATAGTCTGGAAGCCCTGAAATGGGTCAGCAGGGCCACATTCTTACTGGAGGCCTGAGGGGACAACCCAGTTCCCTGCCTTTCCTGGCTTCTAGAGGCTCCCACGTTGCTTCTCTGCAACCCCTATTTCCGTCCTGATATCTCCTCTGACTCTGACCCTCCCGCCTCCCTCTTAAAAGGACTCTTGGGATGACACTGGACCTACCTGGATGATCCAGGATAATTTCTCCATCTCAAGGTCCTTAGTTTAACTACATTGGAAAAGCCCTTTTCGCCCCTTAAGGTAGCATCTTCACAGGTTGTGAGCTTTAGGATGGGGACATCTCAGGGGACTATTATTCCACCTCCCACGAGGGTAGAATGAAACTTCACTGTCACTGGATAGAGCCGTGCATTTAAAATGTGTATCATGTGTGGTATTACCTAATCAAAATTTAAAGTTGTATTTATGTTTGATAGGACAATTCCTGCAATGATTTTAAAAGCCAAAGAGTGTGTGTGTGTGTGTGTGTGTGTGTGTGTGTGTGTGTTAAATTAAGCCTCCTTTCCATGCCTGGGGTGTTCCTTCTCTGAAGCAGACATTTTACTCATTTTTTTGCGTATCAGTCTGCATTTTCTGAAGAAGAAAAAAGGGGAATGGGAAAGGACATGGTCCCCAGTTGAAGGAGGGGTAGGGTGGGCTGCTGTGATGTCGTCTGCCTGGATTGAGACCTCCTTCTGTTTCTCTTTGGGCATCTAAATCTTTCACAAATCCAGCAAATGTATATATTTCCTGACTGTAGGCCAAACATCATGTTAGATCCTGGGGTACCAATCAGGCTATGCCCCCAGGCGGCCTTGGCTCTGGCGGGAGGCAGGCAGTAAGAATGCACTGACGACATGTCAGAGAACGTGTGGCCTTAACAGCCACAATTCCAATCCTGTGTCTCAGCCCGGCTGAGCCTCGGGCCTCCTCCCTGTGCAGCTGAGTGCTGGGGTCGGGGGAGAGGAGAGATCTGCTCAGCTGCTAGCCCCAGGAAAATGCTGTACATCTTCCAGGATGGCCTTTCTGCTGTGTATTTATGCCTAGGCTCATGTTCCAAGAAAATCCCATGATCAACCAAAGCATGATTTCCCTGGGAACCAGAGGGACGTGAGGCCGTCAGCCCCTCTGATATAGGGACTTCCCTGGGCTGTTTTCTCAGCAACTCACAGCTACAGGGCAGAAAAATATAGATGATGCATAGTGCTCTGGCTTTCTCTCTCCTCCTCTGGGGATCCTGGGGCTTGGGTGATTCATTTTAGTGCCTCTAATCAGGCCCTGAGCTCAGGGCCTCGGAGGGAAGGAGGATTCCTTCAGAGGGGTGAAGTTTGGCTGTCATTGATGGTTACCCTTGGGTTGGTACCATGCGCTGGGACGTTCAGAGACTGATTTTCCTTCTTATATCTGACAGTACATTTTGGATCTTTAAAAGCCCCAACTATTCCAGACACCCATGCAAGTCATAAGCCACAAAGGTCAGTAAATTTCAGACCAAAAATAAAAAAGCAAGGGAGAGAGAAATGCACAGTGACAGAATGAGATGCAGACACCAGAGATACACAGGCCCCCAAGGAACGGCCAAAGAGCTGCCTCTGAGACGGAAATGCCAGAAGTACAGAGGAGACACACACCTGAAAAGACTGAATATTATCGGGAAAAAGACACACCCAGACACACCAAGGCTCAGCGGCACTGCTGTCCTCAGGTGCTCCGAGATGAACAGGCAACCTGAGAGCTTCTTAGGACAGGCCGGATCCCTCAGGGTCGACTCCCATTCCCACTATTTTTATTTCCAGCCTGCAGAATCACCTCTTCTTCATAGTAGGAAAGAACTCTGCAGACTGGGAAACCCCTGCAACCTGCCACTGCAATAAATTAGATCTGCCACTTGCAGACCCTAGTAGGCAAGTGGTATTAACTAGACTTCAATAGCTATACAAGAAAGATACATGCACACAGTACACAGAAGGCTGTGCAGTCATAGGATCCATTTTTTATGGGAAGTGTTCCCTTCTCCCAGACATTTAGCAAAGAAGTGATTCTAGAACAGCAATCACAAAGGTGGAGATGAGCGAAGCAAAATCCTAATTTATCCAACCCTTTTATTGAATAGCTGAGCAAATGTAGTACACGAAACTAGGGGAACCATTAAATGTCACAAATTCAATACGGAAGCCAGGTAGAAACCAGACATCTTTGGCCATGGCTTAGGGTCTTGGATCAGTAGGATTTTGCCTCTCCATTGGAATGGCATCTTACTCTGCTGTGGCAAACAAAGCTGGATCCCAGAATTCAAGCATCAGTCTCAAGTGACTTGGGAACTATAAACGGCTCTTTTAAAGGTGATCATAATTATTTCCCTCTTTGATAGAGCACAAAGGGGGTGCCCTGTCTAACACTCCCACAAGATCTTGGCACAAAAGGGATGAATATGCAACTTTGGTTTCTCGCTGGCATTTAAAAGCCCTCATTTAGGAGTAGGATTTATTAAATATTATAATCAGTTCAGTGTCGCCTGCTGAAACATTTACTTTAATGGGCTTGTTAAATTTAGATTATGTTAAAAAGAAAAAAATTTAGATTATGTTAAAAGGAAAAAGAGAGAGTGAGAGAAAGAAAGACATTCCCCTGTCTCTGAACTCTTGGGCTGCCAAATCCTCATTGGATACATACTGAAGAAATAGCTCCCAGCCATGATAATTACCCGGATTGCGGGAGGAAGGGGGTGACATTTCAAGATGATGTGAGAGGACGTTTTGTTTGGTAAAGACACCCTCCTGATCAAAACCTCTTTATTTTGGAAAGAGCAACATAAACCTTTCTTTTTTCCTTTCTGCTTCCCATCCTTCCTTTCTTAAATGGTATTTTAACTTAATTTTAATCACATGAGTAACACGTGATATTTATGTTAGTTTGTATTGTGTTGCTATAACAGAATACCTGAGGCTGGCTCATTTACAAAGAAAAGAGGTTTATTTGCCTCATGATTCTGGAGGCTGGAGAGTTCAAGATGGTGCAGCTAGACCTGGTGAGAACCTCATGCTTCTTCCACTCTTGGCGGAAAGTGGACAAGAAAGGGGAGTGAGCATGTGCAAAGAGAACAAATGGTCACAGTGGAAGCAAGAGAGAGAAACTGAGGAAGCCAGAGTCCTTTTAACAGTCTGCTGTCTTGGGGACTAATCTATTTCTGAAAGAGGGATAACTCACTCACCCCCAAGAGAGTGCATTAATCTAGTCATGAGGGATCTACCCTCATGACCCAAATGCCTCCCACTAGGCCCTGTTTCCCAAGACTACCACATTGGAGGTCAGCTTTCAACTTGAGTTTTCATGGAGACAAACCATATCCAAACCAAAGCAATATTAATAGCTGACATTTTTTGATGCCTTGCTATGTGCTAGACACTGTTCTAAGCATTTACCTGCATTGATATTTTAAATCCTCTGATTGCATTATTAAGTGGTATTATAATTATTGCTATATTACAGGTGAGAAAAGTGGAGCATAGCGAGGTTAGGCAGTGGGTCGAAGGTCACATAGCTGGTAAATGACAAAGCCAGTATTCAAACTCAGGTGCCTGACACTGAAGATTATGCATCTATCTAACTGCTATGCTATACTGCACAGATATTCATTCACCCATAGAACTAAAGTTTTTCCGTATAAAGCCAAAATTTTCTTTAATCAACCTAATCCCTGTCTTCTCCTTATACCCCATATTAGCCATTACCATCAGCTTGGGAAGTGTTCCCCATGTCTATGAAAATAAATAAAATCACTGTGTGTATTAAAGCAATGATGTCATTCTGTATCATTCTTGTAACTATTTCTTCAGTCAAAAATATTTCATTTTATACCTGTATAATATTCTATTCTATTTAGCTACTCTCTTCTTGACAGATATTGAATTTAATTTTTAAAAAAGTAAATAATGTTCAGTGTATATGTAAGTTTGTCTTTAGGGAAGATAGAAAAAAATGGAATTACTTAGGTCATTTTTTGTTTTTGAACAGATATTGCCAACTTAATGTTCTTAATGGCAGTACCTGAACGTTACTATTACTTCAATCTCTCTTTTTCATAATTAAACTGAAAAACAAACAAACAACCAACCAATAAAAAAAAAAAAAACACTTGGCCAGCCAGGCGCAGTGGCTCACACCTGTAATCTCAGCACTTTGGGAGGCCGAGGCATGCAGATCACAAGGTCAGGAGTTCAAAACCAGCCTGGCCAATATGGTGAAACCCCATCTTTACTAAAAATACAAAAATTAGCCGGGGGTGGTGCTGGCACCTGTAGTCCCAGCTACTTGGGAGGCTGAGGCAGGAGAATTGCTTGAACGGGAGGCGGAGGTTGCAGTGAGCCGAAATCGCGCCACTGCACTTCAGCCTGGGTGACAGAGAGAGACTCCGTCTCAGAAAACAAACAAACAAACAAAAACCTTGCTAACCTTATGGGTAAAAAATACAAGTGCTTCTCTCTACCCTTCTGTGAGAGTTAACCACCTTGGCTACTGCCTTTCAATGTGCAGTTCTACACAGCTGGGCCTACTAACGGTCAAGTTCAGGTTTTCCTTGGTTCTAAGGCAAGTTTGGCAAAAAAAAAAAGGTTATTTATATCTCTTCTCTACTTTGAGTCCTGGCAATTTGGAGCCAAGTTGTAGCTGTTCAACATTCTAGGCTATGAGACCCCTCACCCACCAAGATAAAAACTATGTTCAATTTAGAAGCAAAATCAAAATCTCCCACTCTTTGGTGTATTCATTAATGTTACTATCCAGCCCTGAACTTGACAAACACTTAATGAGAACTTTCTATGCGCAGACACAGTGCCACGTGCTGGGGAAACAAGGATGAGAAAGATAAATGCTCTCCCATCCTCATAGAGCTTCATGTGTCTGTGATTGTCCAGTTCATAGAATCGAATGTCCACTTGGGTCTTCTCTAGTTTATAAAAACTGTTCCCCACTCACCTTCCATGAACTTCACCTTGAATCCAAGACCACGTTTTTGGGGACCTGGTGCTTTACAAAGCACCCAGTCCACATCTATGAGGGTTGCCTACTACCTCCAACCTCCATTCTTCTTGTGGGACTTCTACAGGATCTATATGAATATTTTAGAAATACTCAGTTTAGATTTAGATTTGCTATTATTGTGTCAGGTCTGTTGAAATAGTTTAGTATAGACTGGTCCTAAACCTTGAAATGAAATACCCTTTCTTTCTACTAGAAGACAACTTTTCATGAGTCTCTTGCATTTCTGCCTAACTTGAGAGCAGATGAACTGACCTCAAAAAACAGAGATGGTGTGGTGTAATAAAAAACATATTTGGCCTTCATCCTTGGTTCCTGATGCAGAGCTTCTAAAACCCTTGGAATTTCCTGAGTCATAGGAGCATCTTTTGTTCTTCATAACAAGCCCCTTTCAACCTGAGTTTATGCTACTGAAGTGACTCTTGGTGGGCACCTGCGTAGCTTCAGGATGGGGACTGGTTGCCAGAAAACCATATGATTAGAGGGTTGGAACTTCCAGCTCTACTTCTGACCTCTAGGGAGGGGAGAGGGTTGGAGATTGAGTTCAATCCCCCAATGGCCAATGATTTAATCAATTATTCCTGCATAATGGAACCTCCATAAAAACCTCTAAGCAATAGAGTTTGGAGAGCTTCTGGGTTGAACACATCAAGATGTTGGAGGGTGGTGTGTCCAGAGAGGGCATGGAGCTCATACCTTGTCTCATGCTTCTCTTCCATTCGGCTGTTCCCAAATTGTATCCTTTTTAATAAACTGGTAATAGCAAGCAAAGTGCTTTCCTGAGTTCTGTGAGTCATTTCAGTAAATTATTGAATTTGACATGGGAAGAAAGGTCATGGGGCTTGTAACTGGCATTGGAAGTGGTAAATAATCTTGTGGGATGGAGCTCTTAACTTGTTGGGTTTGGGCTAACTTCAGATAGTGTCAGAAATGAATTGAATCATTGGGTGCCCAGTTGGGGTCAGAGAATTAGAGAAATGGAGAATTGCTTAAAAGGTATCCCAGGAAAAAAAGAACCTGAGGGATAGTCTCCCTCTGGAGCAATGGGTAGGTAGGCTTACCACTTGTTATAAAAGATATGGATTCCTTAAACTCAGGGTTCTTCTCCAGTAATGCAACCTTCTGCATATGCAAATGTCATTTCATCCTCTCTGCATTATCCTGTAAAAATTGAGTCTCATGGGACCATGATACATGCTGAAGGGTTGTTCCTGATTATTGCTATGCTTAATACACTTTATTTCTGGCTCAGGAGCCTCTGTCTTCTACCAGCATCAATGAAACTGTGGCAGTTTGGCTTGCTAGCTTGCAAACAGGGAAATGTCTGAGACATTTCACAGTTACTGACACATGTATTTACCCATTAAATAAAATACTTATTGAGTATCTGCTATATGACAACTACTAGGGGTTCACAGATGAATCAGATAGTCAGGTCCCTGCTCTCATGGAGTTTCCATGCACAGTGAAGGAGGCATGCAAAATAGAAGCATTTATGGATTGTGAAATGTGCTAGGAAGGGAATAAATAAGTGCAGTGGTAGAGACCAACAGGTATACTAGGGTAGGTTGGTGAGATAAGGCCTGTCTGTACAGATGACCACATTGGTGAGAATTGAGAGGTATATTTGTCATTCAAGTGCTCCAGGAAACACAAGGATGGAGGCACTGAGGTGGGATGGAGCCCAGTGTCTTCCACAAGCTGACTGGTGACACAAGTGACCCCATAGTAGATGAAAGCAAGTGAGTCATATGAGGTGATCAGAGAAGTAGCAGGAAACACCCGTCCTTGAACTCACAGTATGAAGGTTGTATTTCATTCAAAGTGAAAATGGAAATCATAGAAAAGTTCAAGCCACAGAGAGTAGGGAGGAGCAGCAACTCATTTACATCTCGTAACAATTTCTCTGGCCACCTAGTAAAGAAAGGAACAAGAGTGCTTCTCCTAGGACCTCCTGTCTGGACCACCCAGTGCCTTCTCTGAGCCCAGCCTCAACTTCCCCTCTTCCCCTCCCCCGGCCCTGTGAGTGCGTTTCTGACCCACCTCTGCTGGCTCTCCCATTCTCCCTTCTCACTGCCCCTAGGTTGCTGAGCAACCCAGAATGCCTCTCACCTCAGTGCGCAGGGAACAATGGTTTTTCAGCTCAGGGCTTGAGAAGGGCAAAGAGGGAATCCAAAAGCAGAAATATGGGCAACCCTTCAGAATGGGCCATTGTTCAGCTGGGAGCAGAAAGGGATTTGCAACAGACAAAAAGAGAAGGTACACCTTTTGTCAGGAAGGGATTGTAAAACCATCCATGAGAACACATGCCCAAAGCATTAAAATTGACATCACAAATACGGTTGATAGAACAAGACAGCGGGACATATTGCAAACAGAATGTGACAGACAATGTCTATGAAGAAAACAATGGTCAACAAAACGGTGCCATACACACATTATAAGGAGATATTATGCAGCTAAGTGAGAAGGACAAGTTGCAAAGTCCTGTGTGTAATATGATCCATTTAAAGCAAACATTAACGACTTGAAAAGCAAGTCTATGTTTATGTGTTTGCATATATATATAAAATCATGAAGAACAGTGTGAAAAGTTACCTTTTCAGACCTTGTTGGAAAGGTGATCCTCAACCTTGACTAAATATTAGAGTAATTCTAATAATTTCTAATAAAAATTAGAAAATTTCCTTCATAGCTACCACAAAGGTTAATACTACGAAACTAAATATTTTCAATAAAATTCTTGTTTTTAAATAGCTTTAGATTATAGGAAAGATTTTTGCAAGATTAGCATACATTATCATGTATGTCCTTCATACCTATGGTATATTTGTCGAAACTAAGGAACGAACATTGATATATTATCGTTAACCAACTCCAGGCTTTAATTTGTATTTTACCAGTTTCTTCCACTACTGTCCTTTTTTCTGTTCGAGAATCCAATTAACGGTACAACACTGCTTTTAGCTATCACGACTTCTTAGTCTCTTCTGGTCTGTGACAGTTTCTCAGCCTTCTCTTAATTTCCTCACCTTGAAAGTTTTGAGGAGTACTGGCCAGGTATTTTGTCAAATGTTCCTCAAGTTGAATTTGTCTGATGTTGATTCATAATTAGACTGACATTATGGGTTTTGGGAAGTACCAAGGGCAGGTCATTTGTCCTTCTTAGCACATTCTATCAGGGATTTGCTACCAACAGTCACTGGTGACATTAACCTTGATCACTTGGCTAAGGTGGTGTCTACCAGGTTTCTCACCTGCAAAGTTACTATTTTTCCTTTCCCTTTCCATAGCCTATTGTTTGGAAGTGAGCCACTAAGTCCAGTCCCCATTTAGGGGGAGGAGTTTAACTACAACTCCTAGGTAGGGGAAGACATACATTTATTACTTGGAATTGTTCTGTGAGGAATATTTGGCTCTTTTTTCTCATTTATTTATTATCAGCAAAAACTTGTGTATGTTTATTTTATACTTTAGGTTTTATTCCAATGCTACTTTATTTATTTTGTTTCTCAAATTGTTCCAGTCTTTGGCACTGCAGTTTCTTTCCAGTTGGCTCTGGGGTTCCCTTCGTATCCCCTTGCCTTTTTTTTTCTTTATTACCACTCTCTTACTTTCTGGCACTATAAAATACTCTAGTCTCATATTTTGTATTTCCTTCCCCAGCTTTAGACTCAGACATATCTCTGAGAATGGTATTTAGAAACCAAGGTCTGGGAAGAGGCATTCTCATTGCTATAGGGGTGTCACAGCTTCTGAGACTTCTCTGTGGATAGAGGTAGGAAATATATGTGTATACAATCCAGGTGTACACACATGTCTAGAATTATTGTTGAATCTCAACCTCTCTGTCTTTGTAAACACACACACACACACACGGAGCACTAATGAAGGATATTTCGTTGCTTCATTAGTAAGAACATAAACTCACACATTCATACGTATATATATACAAATACATATATGTGTATATGTATATATATGTATGTGTATATAAATAAACTCATACACGCACATATATACACACACATACACATATAAACACACACACACAGAGGGAAGGGGAAATAGATATTTGTTGTTGCTCTCATGGTTTAAATTAAACATAAGTTCATACTGATGTCTTCAACTCTAAACCAATACTCAAGGATTCATTCCCCTTTCCTTCTTGCTTGTTTGTAATTTCGTCTCTGATAGTAAAAAATTTGGCTGTTGTTATCCTCCATTTATTTACTTACTTGCTTAACCCTCTATTAGATGTAAAATACTTTGAGAATTACCAACTGTAGGTACCCCTATGACAAACAAATTTATAAAATAAAGTTCAATGTTTCTATAAAGTTCTTTTTGTCCTTGACCTTACAGTTTCCAGTCAAAATGCCATTTTCCAAAGTCACCGAGATCAAATTCTGTTTATATCACTTCTGGGGAACTTTAAAAAAAAACACTGATGCCTATAGCCTAACCCAGATCACTGAAATATCCTTGAAGGTGAGTCCCTAGCCTGAACAGTTTTAATAATTTTGAAATATACAAGGTAAATGTTTTTATCCCAAAAAATGCATGCAAGATGATAAATTTATCAATTAGATTGATGAAATCATTCCACAATGTAAATATATTGCACAATTTAAACACAATGTAAACATTGTACCACACAAATACATAATTTACACAAGTATTATTTGTCAATTAAAACTAAGTACATTAAATTAAAATAAAATAAACATTTTAATTATCCCCAGGAGGAGCAATAGCTTCAAACCCATTGAGAATCATTGAGAATCATCACTTCAGAAATTAGAAACAAAGAGTTTCAAGTATTGTTTTATGTATTTCATTGTTTCATTAATTAATAAGAACATAATTCATTTGTAATTTAAAACAAAATAAGAAAGTAAAACTTTTTTTTTTGATAGGATGAGAATAGCAGTCACAGAAACCAACCCCTCTTCCTGGTTTTTCCTCTTAAGGGCTGTGTGACATCAGAAAAGCAATTTAAACACTCTGAGTCTCTGCCTCTTTGTCTGTAGATTCGCTCTAATGCCACTCATTTATCTTCCTTACATGGCTTTTCCTCACATCCCAAGCCAGCTGAGACAATGTCTGTGAACACATTTCGATGATCTTGAAGAACTATTCAAATGGAAAGAATTGTTGTTACTAAGTTATGTCACCTAATGAGTTGTTCTTCAGACCCTTGAGAGCTAAGGAAGACTCTGTGACTTGCATAATTGCTGTAGCCATTACCCACATCAACTGGCCTGACATGGAGGACAATGGCCAACCGGGAGGAGAGGAATGGAGCAGATATGGAGAAAAGAGAAGCACCATGAATGATAGCACACAAAAGACATAAGAAAGAGAGGAGGTCGTCTTCTGATTTGCCTTGGTTCCTGAATAGCTTTCTAGGTCTACTTATAACCTGTGAATCTCTCCGCTATCCAGTAGAGCTACTGTATATTTTGTATTATTTCCAGGGATCTCTAATTTAATAGTGCACTGGGTTTCTCTAATATGGTAGAAAGTGATAACAAATTTGCATGTTAATCCTCACGTATGCCGATTCAGCCATGATTAATCCAGATGAAATATTGCAAACATAAGCAGACCTGAAGCTGAGGATTTATCTACTTTGGCACCATTAGAATTGTAGGCTGAGTAGCCCTGTGTTTGGAGGCTTTTGTGTAGATAGGCTGCTTAACATTACCCTTGGCCATTCTGGTCTACCAGGTGACAGCAGCAGTCCCTCCTCCAGTGTGACAGCCAAAAAAGTGTCTCCAGATATTGCTAAATGTCCCCTAAAGGAAAAAGAGTCTCCGTTTGAGAACCACTGCTCTAGTGAGAATAAAAATTTTTGTTCTTATTAAATAACTAATATAATGTTATATGCTGGTTTTATCCTTTCAAAAATTGTGATGAATTTTTCAAAAACTACAAAAAACTTATACTTGTAGACACTGAATGACCACAAAGAGGTCTGATGATGATATAAGGTGAGGAGACACAGCTCCAGGGAGACCGTTTTGAATTTTTCATATATATTAATAATGGATAAAGGAAATTGTCTCTTATTATGTGAGACAGCTACCATTGTAGTCATATTTTTATCTGCCTCCCTATCCCATACTAAGTGGAGAAAAATATCTAAAGGGAGTACATTTTTCTGTGAATATACCAGTTTTATGTATATTCTTTCTAAGTTTTAGGTTAGTTTCCTTATTCTTATGGGGAGATACCTGAATCATCTTCAAAGCACTATCTACTTCAATGAAGTCACGTTTGATTCTAGGTGAAAAAGACATTCAAGTCTGCAAACTTGGCTTGTTCAAAATCCAAATTGGCTCACATACTAGAAAAGCAATAGGGAATATATTCAGGTACAGCTTGATCCAGGGCTAAGCAATGTAACCAGGACTGGGTTTGTCTCTGTCTTTTACTTTTGCTATCATGTTGGTTTAATTCTCAGACTCAGTAATCCAGCCTCTTTGTCAGAAGACAAGATGAATACAGCAGCCCCTCTTCCCATGCTATCAGGTTCATTCCCAATGAGAAAAGAGGACTCAGCTGTCTCCCAGCAGCAAAAGACCCTCTGTTTCTCTGGTTTGCTTTCATTTGTCATTGAATTTGGGTCACCAGCTTATGCACATGCCATTATTGAACGAGGGTTCAAGACAATGGCTTATGTGCCAGTTCCTCTAACTGGTTCAGAAAGGAGAAGAGGAGAAAAATCCTCAAATGAAAACAAGAGCTGGTACTGGAAGAAGGTGGAATCATTTTTGGAAGGTCAAACAACAGAAGCCTGCTTCTCTAACCTAGAATATATTTATAAAAAAAGTTCTTAGAGACTTAATAATGGGATGGCCACATTTTATAAATGAAGACATCAGGTCTCAAGGATCTTGAGAGAAGCAACAACTATAGTTTGTAGCAGAGACCAAACACTAACCAAAATTTAGCTACCAAGTTTTAGATGACGGAATCCAAATTTCCAATATTCAATGAGTGATGACATTTATACTGGACTCAAAGAAAAGTGAAAACATTTTCTTACACATTCCTAGGATCATTTTGTTTTATACCTGTTGTTTATTTTTAAATCTTACTTGATCAAAAAGCAACCTGTGGTGCTTGCAAGAAAAACAGATTCTCAAGTTACTCTCCCATCGATTAAAACTTACAATGCCAGGGGTATGGTGAAGAAATCTGTTATTCTGTTATTTAGCTAGTTTGTGGAACAATGCATATGTCAGCAGTTCACGGCCTCAGGTGAATATTAAAATTACCTGGGGAGCTGACGATGACTGGTCTCTCAACTCAGATCAATTAAATCAGAACCACCTGGAAACAGGACTTGGATTTTTTTTTTTTCCCTCTCCTTTTTTAAATTCTCAGGTGATTCCAATATGCAGCCAAGTTTGAGAACAAGCATCTTGTGTCATAGAGCAGTGGTTCTGGAGAACTCGATATAATAAATACAGGAGCTTAGTTCCTACCCTACTTCAGTAAGTCTGAGCTCCCCTTTTGGTTATGAGCATTATGGGTGATTCTTATACATTTCAAAGTTTGAGGAACACTTCTCAGAGCCTTACTAATCAGTGTGGTCCCCAACTGGCAGTGTTGACATCATATGGGAACTTCCTAGAAATGCAGCACCTCAGGCTCCACCTCAGATCTACTGAGTCAGAATCTGCATTTTAAGAATATTCCCCAAATGGTTTGCAAACATTTTAGGGTTTGAGAATCTCTGCTATAGCCCTATCTTTGACTCCCAACAACAACTTAAGCCCATATGAGGAGATGTTTAAGAATATCAAGGGAAAGCGTTAGCACAAATACCTAATGCATGCAGGGCTTAAAACCTAGATGATGGGTTAATAGGTGCAGAAAACCACCGTGGCACATGTGTACCTATGTAACAAACCTGCACATTCTGCACATGTATCCCAGAACTTAAAGTAAAATTAAAAAAAAAAAAAATATATATATATATATATATATATATATATATATATATATATATATATATAAATTTCCAAGCCTCACTCCAAGATATTCTGATTAATTGGGTGGCACCTTGGGCCTTTTATCAGGAATTCTTTAAAAAAGGTTCCCAGGTGATTCCAATATGCAAAGTAGGACTAAGAACCACCATTATAGGAAAAAGTATGCTACTCAATAGGATCCAGTTATATTTCAGCTGCAATGTTTATTAGCTTTACAACTTTGGATAAGTTATATAACTACATACCATTAGCCTCCTAATCTGTAAAATAGACACATATCTAAAATACCATTTCTAGAAAAGTCTTGCAAATGGAACTCCTGACACATTCTGCCTTGTCTTCCTTACAAGGAAGGACTGTTTTGCATGTTGAAGTTTAAAATAAACACAAAAACGCCTGCAGCCAAACAAAGCTGAGGAAATCAGAAGCTAAAATTAATTTTCATTAAGTAAAACAATGGCCAAGAGATTTTCACTTTCTATTCCTGATTCCTGCTTTCTTCGTCATCTAATAAGCCCAGATTTCTAGAAGGAGAGCTGAGTTAGGCTGTTTCCTTCCCTAGATCCTGCAGCTGTTGAAATATCATTTTTTTCCTCCCTAGGTAAATCAAATGGTGCTTTATGCAACAGTGAATTTGGTTGCCAGTTTAGAGGGAGGTGTTGTTCTTCCATGAACCCTTTCTGAGTCTTTTTTCTCATTAGGTGCACATAGCAATGAGGCTGACTAGAGCAAGCCTAATGGGCAAGGAAAGCTTTTGGCTTTCAAGCTAGATTGTCAATAGGCATGTTTGATATGGCTGCATTTCTGACCTAATCAGCTGCCAGCAGTCTCTCCACCGAGTTCCCTCGGGGCATCAGAGCAAACTGTATTCCACAATCTAACAGCTTAAATCAGCTCCAATCTCAAGGAGCAGGGGCCCGAAGAAAACAAAATGTTGGATGAAGCTTGTATATGCAGAGAAGAACCTTTTTGATGAGGGCAAGTGTGTTTGCACAATATCTACCCCTTGCCTGAAACCAAACCCAGAGCCTCCGTTGGCGGAATGATGTTTGTGAGAACAGGTGCATCTACATTCAAATTAAATCCACAGGTCACTCGGCATTCAGTTATTTTTACTGGAGAACACCCAGTGAAGAACTTTGTCCAAAGCATTGTAAGAACAGAACATTAGCTTCTCTATGTGTGCTTTGGTCAGGCTTCAGCCCTAGTTAAATATCACCTTCTATCTTGAAGATGCTCTGGCTGTGGCTGCATTTGATTTAGGCACAGAAGGGTGCATGCCAAGTATTTTTGAATTAGTAAGGATGCTTTCAGGTGTAATTTACCATAAACATAAACAAGTTAAATTAAATATGGACAGAATGTACAGGCTCATAAAAAAGGGAAGTCTACAGTCATTAGGTTTAAGGCATAGTTTTTTTTTTTTAATCAGGATAATTCTTCAACTGCTGTCACCCTCTTAGCTTGCCCTACTGACTTTGTCCTCATGGTAGGAACATAGTTGAGACAGGGCTAGCTTTCATATCTGAGTGAGCCCTATAAGAGCCTGAGAGAGCTTCTCTTTCCCCAACCTTTAAAAAACAAAAATTCCTGAGCTTCACTCTGATTGGTATAACTTAGTTTGCCTGCCTAACTCTAAGTCAGTCATGTTCAAGGAGAATGACCTTATGCTAATTAACCTGACGGTAGAGTCAATGCCACCCAAACCACACAGCTGCTTCTCAATGAGATAAGTGGATATTGAGGAGAATAGCAGAATTTCTTACATAGTTACTTATTTTTCTCAAGGAATTAATAGTAGTTATTATTTTTAATTGGAGAGAACTTGGGGATGTGCAAGCTAGATTCTGAAACCAGTTCCATGCTGGCTTTGAGAATCTCTTCTCAAAGCGAGACATGTGGAAATACAGCTGACACATTCCGATCTGAGAATTATCTTATGGTGACACAAAGCGAGATTTTGAGGGGTAAGAGGCTTGGAAGAGGTTTGAGGGGTGGCCACTGGAAGCCTTCTGAGAGGGTTGAAGTGTGTGGGATACAGGAAGGTGGTAAGTGTGTGTAGGTGGGAAAGTAGAAGAAGAGACACCCCGAGTTTCTTTATTGATGGAGCATATTAGCTCCTGGCTCACAATCTTTCTTCCTGTCTTCCCTTTTCATCATTCTGGGTGGCTTACAAGCTCATGCACGTGACTGGTCATTTACTGGAGCAACCACCTTATTTTACCCCCACCTCTGCCGCCCCCTCCAGGTGTTCCCACCCTGAACTTTACTCACTGGTGACTTTACCCCTTCTCCACTTCTAAGATATATTTCAAACAATTCGTTCTTACATTATCACTTAATATTCCTTCCCAATCATTCCAGGGCCCTCAGTGCAATAATTCTTTCATCTTTATAATCCTCCAGCCCATTGGTTGTATCACCTTTTCATTATTCATTAATCTGCTCTTACCTTCTCTTGCCCCCTTCATCAGCTTAGATTTCATGACCCATTTTTATAATGACTACCTTTAAAACATCTTAAATCCCAGGCCTCGCTTTTCTTTTATCTTGTTCAGATGGCTAGCTAAACATTAGTGAAGAAAAATCAAACAAGCAGACCAACTAGTTTCACTTAAAATTCGTGACCACAGACCTCACGTGCATACTCAATACTGCTCTGACATCTGACAGTGCTTCTCCAGGCAGATTACCTCCTATCCTCCAGATGGAAATTTTAAAATTTCTCTACTCTCTTCAAACCTTGCATTCCTGCTCTCCATAATTCTTACTCTCAAGTGATGATGTAAATTCATGTATTTTGAGAAAATAGAAGTCATTATGAGAAGTCCTTTATTACCTCACCACAAATCTACCCATAACTGTTCCCTCTTTTGTAGATTTTCCTTTTGTTGAGATGAGGGATATAGAGAAATGGGAGGAATGGGAGTTAATATTTAACAGATATAGACTTTCAGTTTGGGATAATGACGAATTTCTGGAGATGGATAGTACTATTGGTGATACAGCAATGTGAATGTACTTGAGACCACTGAACTCTACACTTTAAAATGATACATTTTCTCTTATGTATATTTTACCACAATAAAAATAGGTCTTAATTACAAAGGAAGAAGTAGTAAATTTAGAGTTGAGAACCCATCAAAAACAAACAAACAAACAAACAAACAAACAGCAGGTGCAGGAAATATCCTCCCTCCATTTTTAGGCCAATCTTTTACAGTCTGGATTTATTGCCTATTGTTTTATCAAAGACTTTACTCCTTTAGTTAGTCTCCAATGTGGTGGTTCTCTGTTCCATTCTCTTACCCTCTCTGCATGCTGGGAGGCTGACCTCTATGGAATACATCAAAGTTTGTTAGGTTTGGCCAGCTGGAGGCACAACCAGGAGACCACAGGGCATGAGGTGTGGTCATGAAGATTGCAGTCTCCATATTTCACATTCTGAGTGTCCTGACCACACATCTGACAATAGCAGTTTTCCTCTATAGCCACAGCTTTTAGTGAACAGCCCTTGCTTTTTTGGCTTCGGGTTTCACTGTTTCCTTGGTCTTCTCTCTTTCAGACCTGCGTGTGCCTTTCCTTCATGGCTACCCTTGTGCTTCATCTGCCCTCACCTTGCTAAGTCATCCTTACACTTACCCTTTGTGTGTGCCGAGTGCTTCTCACCAGAACTCTGAATGATATTTTACCCTGTTCTTCATCATTTTCTTTCTTTCTTTTTGTTTTTGATGGAGTCTCACTCTTTCACCCAGGCTGGAGTGCAGTGGCGTGATCTCGGCTCCCTGCAACCTCCACCTCCTGGGTTCAAGAGATTCTCCTGTCTCAGCCTCCCAAGTAGCTGGGATTACAGGCACCTGCCACCGTGCCCGGCTAATTTTTGTATTTTTAATAGAGATGGGGTTTCACCATCTTGGCCAGGCTGGTCTCAAACTCCTGACCTTGTGATCCACCTGCCTCAGCATCCCAAAGTGCTGGGATTACAGGCTTTTTCATCATCATTTTCTTCAGATCCACAGAATCATTCCCAGACTCATGTGTACATGTCCTAATAATTTCCATGAAACAAGTAAAATATTTAACTGTCAACTGACATGATACTCCACTAAAAGCAATCAAAAAAGATGAATAAAATACAAAACAAACACCTCATTTATTTGAGGGTAGAAAAGAGCCATGGAGGCAGCCAAGACCCAATGAGCCAAGGTCCTGGAGAGTTGGGAACCTTTAGAGAGAAGCTAAATTTTCTACACTTACTCATCTCTGGAGGTATTTGAAGTATTACAATAGCACAAAGGAAGAGGTCAAGAACTGGAGCAGAAAGTGACAGCTAAATAGACCTCTTGCAGTCTCTTGGGTTGAGATTAATGAAAAGTGGGGTTCAAAGTTACCAAAGTGATTAGCATTTGAGGGACCAAGATGTCAGTGAGAAAGAAGGCTCAGAGAAATAGGCATGGAACTATAGGCCATGCTTCCCCCAGAGGCATTTGCCAACCTATAAACGTCACAGGGGCAATATCAGGAAATGATATGTACATTTTAAGAGGCCGAGAATCTAAGCACATATTTTGACAAGTTCACAGTGCTGCAAAACCAAAATTGAAGTTCAGGGTCCTGCAAGCTACTCAGGAATCTCTCATAGAAACTCTTGAAGGGCTGTATCCTAGGGTTAAAAGTAAACTAGAAATAGGACCTGTCTGAAACTCAGTCTTAAATTAGCTTAACCCCTGACTGAATTAACATGATCAACCACAATCTAACTGCCTTCCAGTGGCTGAAATATATACTCTGGAGAAAAATACCATCATCTAGAGACTCAACATCTTTTCTTTTCTTTCTTTCTTTTTTTTTTTTTTGAGACCGAGTCTTGCTCTGTTACCAAGCTGGAGTGCAGTGGCACCATCTCGGCTCACTGCAACCTCTGCCTCTCTGGTTCAAGCGATTCTCCTGCCTCAGCCTCCCGAGTAGCTGGGACTACAGGCACCCGCCACCACACCCAGCTAATTTTTGTATTTTTAGTAGAGACGAGGTTTCACCATGTTAGCCAGGATGGTCTCAATCTCTTGACCTCATGATCTGCCCACCTCGGCTTCCCAAAATGCTGGGATTACAGGCGTCAGCCACTGCACTTGGCCTCAACATCTTTTCAAATGCAATGTCCAGCATTCAGTTAGAAATTACTAAGCATATGAAGAAATGAAACGAAGAAGAACTCTAGTAGAAACAGGCTCACACATGATGCAGATATTGAAGATGGAACAGAACTTGAAAATAACTCTAACATAACTCTGATTAACATATTTAATTAAACAGATGAGAGGGTGAATAATTTTGCCAGAGAATTGAAATCTATTAAAAAGTATCAAATCAAAAACTGAAAAATGAGAAATAAAACAACAAAGTTTAAGAATTCAGATGAATTTAATAACAGATTAGAACCAACTGAGGGAAAAGTCATTGAACTGAAAAAGAGATCTTTATTTAAAAAATAAATATATGTAATATTTATTTTTTAAATAAAGATACACCAATATATACACACATATATATGTGTATGTATCTATACATGTACATATATATGTACTGAGAGAGAGAGAGAGGGGAGAGAGAAGACAGAGAGACAAAGAGAGAGCAGAATAACTATTTAAAAAGATAGTAAAGATTTTTCCAAAATAAATAAAAGCCATATATTTAAAAAATGCTAAAAACTCCAAGTGGAATAAAAACAAATAACTACTCATGTAAGCTCATTGTAGAAAACTGCTAAAAAAATACAAAGATAAAATTACAAAATCGGCTGTAATGAGAGGTGTGTGAGGGGGTGAGTAGATTACATTCAAAGAAGTAACAATAAAATTGATGCTCCAATTCTCCATTGAAATAATGGAATTTAGAAGATAATGTAATGATTTCTTCAAAGTGTCAAAAGAAAACGATTTTAATCCTTATGAAAATATCCTTCAGAATTGAAAGGGAAATAAAGACTTTATCAAAGAAAGAAATGGAAAGCTTGTCTCTAGAGCAGATCGCACCAATGACTGTGGGTATACAAGGTAAGGCTTCTGAGTCGCTGCTAATATTCTGTTATAACCCTGAGTAGCAGTCACACAGATGTGTTCATTTTATGTAAAATGTTTCATCTGTACACCTATGATTTATGTTCTCTTCTGCATATGTTATGCACTTTAACAAATTGTCTAATTATAAATCCACAATCCCTTTCCTGTAACATCTTATTTATTTACTCCACTTCATAGCAAAACTTCTTGAAAACATTTGTCTAGTGTTGATAAATCAACTTCTTCATGTCTCATTTTTAAAATTGTATTGAACTTCAGGTTTTTCTTTTGTAATTTTTTAATTGACATGTTTGTAAATATTTGGGGGTATAATTTAATTTTTGATACATATATGTTGTGTAATTATCAAATCAAAGTATTTAGCATGACCATCACCCCATATATTTATCACTTCTTTGTGGTGAAGATATTCAAGCCTCTCGTATAGCTGTTTTGTAATACACAACAACTTACTATTATCTATTCTCATTCTACAGTGTAATAGGACATCAAAACTTATTCCTCCTATCTGACTGTGACTTTGTACCTGTTGATCAGCCTCTTCCCATCCTCCTCCTCTCTCCTCCCCAGTCTCTGGTACTCACCATCCTATTCTCTGCTTCTATGATACCAACTCTTTTTTTCTTAGATTCTACATATGAGTAAAATCATGCCTGTCACCATATACAAAAATCAACCCTCAAATGGATTAAAGACTTAAATGTAAAATCTAAAACTATAAAACTACTAGAAGAAAACATACAAAAAACTCCTTACAATATTGGGCTGAGCATGGATTTTAAAAATAAAACCTTGAAAGCACAGGTAACAGAAATAAAAACAGACAAATAAGACTACATCAAATTGAAAATATTTTGCACAGCAAAGAAAACAATTCACAGAGTGAAGAGACACCCCAAGGACTGGCAGAAAATATTTGCAAATGTACATCTGACAAAAAGTTAATATCCAGAATTATAGGGGACTGAAATAACCCAACAGCAAAAAAACAAAAAACAACCTTCCCAATAACCAAATTTAAAAATGGAAAGAAGACCTTAAAAGGTACTTCTCAAAAGAAGACATTCACATGGCCAATAAGTTCATGAAAAAATGTTCAACATTCTTTCATATTATAATTGAGGAAATGCAAATTGACCTAGTTTCCTTTTCTACAACTTCATTGACACTGTTCAATGTCATCATTGCCCTCCCCTATGATGTTGCAAAATGCGGAGGATACATGGGTCCCCATCTTTGCATTTCAGAATAATTTAACACAGCTTACCTTCTGCTCAAGACATTTTCTTCTCTGAGCTGCTGTGATACCATATTCTTCTGTTTTTATTTCCAATCTCCCTGGCTGCCTCTTTTCATATTTCTTTATGCACTCACACTTCTCTGTTTGACCTCTACATGTGGGAGCGCCATGGAACCCTATCCAGATGCTTGTGTCATTTCTGATCCAAATTCTATTCTACATTTATATCTCCAGTTTAGACTTGAAAGTTGAGCTCTAGACATGTACATGTAATTGTGTGTATCAGGGGTCAGCACACTTTTTCTGTAAAAGGCCAGAGAATAAGTACCTTAGCCTTTGCAGGCCACATGGTCTCTGTCACAACTATTCAACTGCGTTGAGTGCATAAAAGCAGCCATCACCAATACATAAATGAAAGAATGTGGCTGTATCCCATAAAACTTTGTTACCAAAACAGATGACAAGCAAGATTTGGTACAAGGGGCTATAGTTCATTGATCCCTGGTCTATATACATTCTTGATATTCACTCTTGATATTCACTCTTGAATCACTAATAGGAGTTTTGATATTAACAGGTTTGAAAGGTTTCTCCCTGTGATACTGAACTTGATGTGTCAACTTGGCTGGGGCACAGTACCCAGATATTGCGTCAAGTTTTAATCTAAATGTTTCCGTGAAGGTGATGTTTAAGTAAGGTTCACATTTAAATCAATTGACTTTGAGTAAAGCAGATTATCCTCTATAATATGGGTGGGCCTCATCTAATCAGTGTTCTAGAAAGAAGACTGACTTTCTTGGACAAGGAGGGAATTTAGCCAGAAGACTACCTTCAGGGTCAAACAATAACTTTCCCCTGGGTCTTCAGTCTGCTGGTTACCTGGCAGAGTTTTGGACTTGCCAGCCTCTTCATTTATGTAAGCCAATTTCTTAAAATAAATTTAAAATATCTCTCTCTCTCTTTCTCTCTCTCACCCCCAATACACACACACACACACACACACACACACACACACACACACAACACTATTGCTTCTGTCTCTCTGGAGAATCTTGAGAATAATACCCTTGCAAATCTCTGTTTTGTAATCTTTCCTCCATCTCCACCATCATCGTGATTCAAGTCACTATTATTTCCACCTATATAGCCTTGATAGCCAATCAATTGGTTTCCCTTTAATCTCTGCTCCACAGAGTAGTCAGAGTAATGTTTGTAAACACAAGATCCTGTTCCTCTTCTGCTTAAAACTTCTCAAAATAAAACCCAAATGTTTTACTAAGATCTGCTAGCATGTGGAGCAGGGAGATAAAGGAAACAGAAGCGTGCTCACCCTCTTAAATGGGACTGCTATTCTTTGGCTCCAACATACACAGCAATGTGGGCCCAGTGTGGCCAGACCTTTTGTTTTCTTTTTAAAATAAAAAGCAGCCATCCAGGTTTCTTTGGTCTTCATAACTTCTCAGACTCCTCATCGGGGTTTTTAAAGCTCTTTTAGATTTCAGTTCTCTCTCCATCTTTCCAAATTCTTCTCTCCCACACCGCGGTCTGCATTTCTCCCTCCAGCCATGGTGATCTAACTGTGATTTTCCTTCTGCATCCGGCTGTTTCTCACCTCCAAGCCTCTGCACCTTCTGTTTCTTGTGCTCAGGCTTCCCTCCACCTCCCACCCTTTTGTTCTCATGGTTGATGCTTCTTCTCCTATGCCATGTATTCCATGAAGACGTCTTTGACTCCACCACTTCAAGTTGAGTTCACTGTCCTTCCCCGGGGCTAATAAAACCGCTACGCCTCCCCATGAGAGCAGGCTTTTATGCTTCCTTTCCATTGTCTCTGCCAGTAGACTGTGGGCTAACTGCTCAAGTACATGAACACTGTCTTGGATTCCTTTGTGTTCAATACAGGAATAGCCATGAAAGAATTCCAGCCCTGCTCCTAGGTTTTGACCGGTTAACCTGATTAATATGTATTGCCACGAGGCCTCTGTCGCTATCCAAGGTGCTGGCCACCTTACCTTGGTGGTTCCAGCCAACCTTCCTTACCAGGGCTAGAGTGTGATCCTCTCTCTGCTCCCAGTGCTGTGATGCTATCTGCTCATTTAACCTCTATATTACTAGGGTCTGCTACACCACAGGCTGCTGATATTAAGCTTATGCGTTAATACAAGGCCTCAGTTGCTTATTTGCACCTCTGGGGTCAGTATCTGCAGCCAGATCGAGTTTCTCTGTCCCAGTTCTGACCTGGAAGGTAAGCCCTCTGACCCATTTCAGCCAAGGCACTCTCTCTTTCTGCTTCTTATGTAAACTACATGCCAATCCTCACACCTGTCTCCACTTGGTTTGAGACATGATCCCAATTCTCACTCCTGAGAATGTCTAAGAAATAGTTACACAATTCTTTTTCTACTGGAGGAGGTCCTTTGCATGGGAGAAAGTTCAGGTTAAAAGCACATAATTTATTAATATATTTCCTCAGACCTAAGTTTATACCCTAGCTTTATTAATGACTAAATATGCAAACTTGGGCAAGCTACTAATGCCTCCGAATCTTAGCTTCCTCATCTCTAACATGGGAATAATAATACATGCCTCATAGTGTTATTAATAAAATGGAAGCTAATGTGTTTAAAATCACTTAGTTCATAAGCTTTTATTGTTTTTTTAAAAGGTATTAATAAATAACAGTACAGCAGTAGTCTCATCCATTGTCCTAGTCTGAGCTGGCCTATCTCTCTCATTGTGGAACATTTCCTACCTTCTCCTACTCTCTCCTGACAGCTGCTTTTGCTGCTAATAAATCCTGCCTGTGATATCACAATGCATTGTAGCAGCTGGCTCAGAGTCAAGACATCAACACATGAATCAGACAGGATGAGAGGAGGATAAGGCTAAAGACAGAGGCTCCAGCTACCTTGGTGACAAGGAATGGAGGAGAAAAGGAACAGGAAATTTTAATAAGATTAGGAGGGCTTGCTTTTCTGCCAAGTGAGGTGGGTTTAAACTTCTTCCTGTGTTCACTACCTAGTTTGTCTGAGTTAGGCAATTGCTTGAGGGAGAGGTAGCTAATCAGGAATTTGGCAACCAAGAGGAAAAACTGCAAAATAAATCGACCATCTGATGTTCAGGAAGAAGAAGGAAGGAAAGAAGGAGGGAGGGAGAGTGAACAAAAGGAGGGAAGGAGAAAAAGAAGCACCATTCCCCTTCCTGACATGCCTGCCTTGGACACATTTCCAGCATGGTAGAAATAGGCTTCCCAAGACTCACACAATTAAGAATTAGTTTTCTAAAATTTGATGTCCATAAGAGTAAGTTCAATTCCACGGTGGCACCCAAGTCCATTCAAAATATTCCTTCTGAACTTTCCCTCTCCATCTCTGGGCACCCCATCTCCATGTGTACATAGAAAGATGTAGTAACAGGCCAGGCATGGTGGCTCACACCTGTAATCCCAGCACTTTGGGAGGCTGAGATGCGCAGATCACTTGAGGTCAGGAGATCAAGGTCAGCCTGGTCAACATGGTGAAACCCTGTCTCTACTAAAACTACAAAAATTAGCCTGGTGTCCTGGCGCACACCTGTAATCCTAGCTACTCAGGAAACTGAGGCAGGAGAATCTCTTAAACCTGGAGGCAGAAGTTGCAGTGAGCTGAGATTATGCCACAGCACTCCAGCCTGGGTGACAGAGAGAGACTCTGTCTTAAAAAAAAAAAAAATAAAAAAAGATGTAGTAACAAAGTTTAAGTGTTTACTCAGTGTCAGGTTCTATATCTGCATTCTTTCATTTAGTCTTCTCAGCAACCCTGGAGAATGTCCCATTATTATCCTTATTTTCTTTACAATAAAACTGAGGCTTAGCAATATTACATTATTTTCTACAGTCACAGATTTAGCGTGATGTTGAGCCCCACAGCCTGATAACAGAGAGTATAATGATGATTATTGCGTCAATAAATTTTTTTTTTGAGATGGAGACTCACTCTGTCACCCCGGCTGCAGTGCAGTGGTGTGATCTCAGCTCACTGCAACCCCTGCCTCCCAGGTTCTAGTGAGTCTCCTGCCTCAGCCTCCCGAGCAGCTGGGACTACAGGTGCGTACCACTGTGCCCAGCTATTGTGTGTGTGTGTGTGTGTGTGTATTTTTAGTAGAGACAGGGTTTCAACATGTTAGCCAGGATGGTCTCGATCTCTTGACCTCGTGAACCGCCCACCTCAGCCTCCCAAAGTGTTGGGATTACAGGCGTGAGCCACCGCGCCCGGCCCAGTAAATTTTTTTTAAAAGAACAATACTTTATATGTGAATGTATGTATATGTTGCTTAGTATGTATCAGCCTCTGCCCAAGACACCAGGGATACAGTGGTGAACAGAGGTAGAGAGGTAGAGAGCACAGAGGTAGAGAGGTCATACAGCTCTTCAAGATGGAACAAGTAGCAAGCAGTAGAATGGGGATCCCAACCCTAGTCTTCAACTTTCAATTTTATTTTTCTATTACACTCAGCTGTTCTCCAATTCCCACGTCTTCATATTCAAAGACGCTATTAACCTACCCCATCACCACCACCTGGGGCCTGCAAAGCAAAGCAAACGGAGTTAGCATCTTTGTAAATACGAATTGTCTGAGTCGGAACTCATCGGACCCAGGGAAATGCCATTCCCTGTTTTTCAAAGAGAGTAGAAATGCTATTGATCTCCCAGAGAAAACATGAGGCTCAGAATATAAGCACTGAAGAGCTGGTTCTCGCGCCATGTGATCCGGCCAGGATGATTTCCCTTCATAGATCCTCATCGGTAGATTGAGAAGGATGGACGAGCTGGTTCCCAGGTTCCCTTAGCCTTTGTGGGAAGAAATGTGTTTGCAGTAGTTCCCTAAAACTATTAGTTCAAAACTCTTCAAGACAGGGAGTTTAATGAAAAGTTAGGGGGACAAAAGTTTGACTAACGGAAGCACAGTCTTTTAAATTCCTCTTACTCTGCCAATCTTTTGCTGATCAATATGCTGGATCACACTCTAAGGCGTAATTGGCTGCAAGATTCTCCTAAGGGCTTTAAAATTCAGAGCCCACTGGGAGGCTGAAGCTGGAGGATCACTTAAGGCCAAGAGTTTGAGACCAGCCTAGGCAACAAAGCAAGATTCTGTTTCTACTAATAAGATAAAATTAGCCTGGCAAGGTGGCACACACCTGTAACCCTAACTACTCAGGATGCTGAGGTGGGAGGAGCACTTGAGGCCAAGAGTTTGAGACCACTCTGGGCAGCATAACAAGATGCTTCTCTACTAAAAAATAAGGAATTAGCCGTGCATGGTGGTGCATGCCTGTAGTCCTAGCTACTCAGGAGGCTGAGGCAGGAGGATCACTTGAGCCCAGGATTTCCAGGCTGCAGTGAGCTATGATCATACCATGCACTCCAGCCTGGGCGACAGAGTTAGACCCTGTCTCTAAAATATAAAATAAAATAAGAAAATAAAATAAAATAAAAAAAAATAAAGACATCCAAGCTTTATCAGGAGAGAATACACATAGGTAATTGTGTTGGTGAATTTCTGGGGCTTCATTCAATAGAAATTCTTCTACGACAACAGTCATCCTTAGCTTTCTCTTCTCCAGAGTCTAGGTGCAGGGTAGGAGTTAAAAGCTTGAATTCACACATCAGTCAGGAAAGATCTGCGTAAAACTGTCATCCCTTAATTTCTCTTAGCCTGTTTCTAAGGGGATATTTCTATGAGGATAATTATAGTACTTCCCTCTTTGGGTATAGTCAAACCAGTTTATGTAAGTATAGCTTAGCCCATAGCAGAAAGGTAATGAGATGTTCAACTGATCAATAATGAAGTCTACAGGGTAATAGATGTCCCTGAGCTCCTCAGAATATTGTCATACTGACTTAGATAGTTCATTACCACATTCCAGTATTAACATGCTGTCTTAATTGCAGAGAGGCCCTGTTACTAATAACAATATTTAGCAATTTTTTTTCTTTTTTGAGATGGAGTCTTGCTCTGTTCCCCAGCCTGGAGTACGGTGGTGCCATCTCGGCTCACTGCAACCTCTGCCTCCCGGGTTCAAGCAACTCTCCTGTCTCAGTACCCTGAGTAGCTGGGATTACAGGTGTGCACCATCATGCCTGACTATTTTTAGTAGAAACGGGGTCTCACCATCTTGGCCAGGCTGGTCTCCAACTCCTGACTCCAAGTGATCCATCCACCTCGGCCTCCCAAAGTGCTTGGGTAACAGAGGTGAACCACCATGCCCGACCTATTTAGCACTTTCTAACTGGACAGAGAAAGAGAGAGAGAGAGAGAGAGAGAGAGAAATGGAGGTGGGAGAAGGAGGATTTTGCAGTGTGCTTGGCTGGAAAGCCAGCTAGGCAGTAAGAATGAAATGAGCCATCAGTTTCCACAAGAACTGTTGGTAATGACTCCTTCTTCCCTCCCTTCTGGCTGGCTGTCCATTTTGTTGAGGGCTGGGTTGTTTATATGAGAAAAATTCTGGTCCTGTGTTAGAAGGCATGCTTGCTGCTAAAGACAGGTGCTGATAGAACAGTGCAGAGGGCATGATGCTTATGAATGGAGTCACAAAATATCCCACTCCACTAACCCTGCCCCACACACCAGCATCAGCTGCTTGATTGCTTATAAGCTCACAGTTCTAGCAGAGATCAGAAACTTGGAGGAGATGTCAGTGGCTCTGAGAACCAACTCACATTACTTATTTATTTCCCCCCAACCATTGTTGAAGAGTATTTAGCAAGTATATTTCCTGAAGGTGGTTCTTTTTGTAAGAAACCCCAACGGTGATTTAATTAAGCCTACATAAATGCTAAGTGGGATTCAAACAGAATGGGATTTGCTGATTTGTCTGTGTTGAAATAAATTCCTTGTTCTGTTCTAATTGAATAGATTGAACACAGACTGTATTTGTTCTTATCCTGCAGCCGCTTTCACAGGAGCGATAAATTGGAAATGTTATCTGGCTTGATATGCCAGTTTTTCTGAGAAAATCACTCTGCCAGTGGTGACAGAATGGAAGAGCTGAAAACATCTTCTTTTTTCAAAGTCATATGTCACGAACCAAGGAGACTCCAAAAAATAAATTATGGAAGATTATGACCACTGCTGCCAAGGATACAGTGAAATAGGTACATCTTGTATGCCCAGTAATGTTGAAAATTAATATAACCTTATTTAAAAAGCAATTTGGAGATGTTGAAAGAAAGCCTGAAGATTACCACCATGCTTCATGATTCTATCCAGGTGTCCCACATATGAGAGCCAATTCCAAAGAAATAACTACAACTTGGAAAAAACTATATGCATAAAGATGTTCATTATGGTGTTAGCTATAGCAGCAAAACAAAAAAAAAAAACACAGAAAATGTTTGCAAGAATTCCCAAATAGAAAATTATTAAGTCAGCTATGACATTTTCCCAGTAGGATATTCTGCAGCACTTAATATGAAAGTCACTAAGTTTACATGGAAAAATACCTGAAGCATAATCTTAAGTTAAAATAAATCTAAATATACTTATATGCTATAGTTGCACTTTTTAAAAAATATGACAGACAGCATGAAATATCCAGAATAGGCAAATTCATAGAGACCAAAAGACAGGCATAGTGGTTGCCACAGGCTGGAGGAAGAAAAGAATGTGGAGTGACTGCTAATGCATAAAATGGGTTTCCTTTTGGGGTGATAAAAATGTTCCAGAACAAGATATGGGTGATGGTTGCACAACATTGTAATAATATAATAATGTAATAATGCCACTACGTTGTACACATTAAAGTGGTTAAAATGGTACATTTTATGTTATGTGTATTTACCACATTTAAAAAAATAAAATGACAAAGGATGAAAAATGAAAGTACCTAAAAATTGGACAGCATTTGTTTTAGGAGGATGGGATTATGGGTGGATTTTCTAAGTTTTTGAAATTTTCTGTAATCTTGGTATTAGAGAAAGGCAGAATCAGACAGTATTAGAATGCAGCCAAGAAGCCTCGGGGCTGTGATTTCCCTAAACCCCATGCCTTTCTCCAACTACTGTAGACCTGGATATCCAAACCTGGAAACTGAGGCAAAGCCACTGCAAAGGACTGGACTTATGAGAGAAACAGCAGGGAGCGGGGGAAGAGGGGTAGTTAATGAGTACAAAAATACAGCTAGACAGAATGAATAAGGTTTAGTATCTGATAGTACAACAGGGTAATTACAGTCAATAATAATTTATTGTACATTTTAAAAATATAACTGAAAGAGTATAGTTTGTAACACAAAGAAATGATAAATGTTTGAGGTGATGGATACCAAATTGACCCTGATGTGTTTATTACACATTGTATGCCTGTATCAAAATATTCCATGTGTCCATACATACATATACCTACTATGTACCCATAGAAATTAAAAATTTATAAAGTATAACAAAAGAAAGAGGGGGGGAATAAACTAAGAAATTCAGTGTATAGAAAATTTTCAGTGCTTCAGAATTGCCTGCATTCCTCTTCACAATCGTTATTCACTTTCTCCTCCTCACAGTGTACCATCATAATCCATTATAATACAGTACCATGGTGTAGTTTTGTCTGTTTTTGAACTTTATATAAATGGAACCATATAAAGGGTCTTCTTTGTGTTTAGCTTCTTCCACGAAAAACTATAGAGTTATCTATATTATCACACATATCAATAGTTCATTTCTATTATATCATAATACATTCATAATACCATATGAATGAACCAGAGAAATGACCTGCTTTATGTTTTTAAAGAGTTTGTGGCATCTGGTTTTAACTCCAATATGTAAAGAGCTTGGAAGCCATCTTTCCTTCCACCACAACAAGAAAACAGCTGAACTGAAAATCAATGACTTTTCTTAGATCCATTAAAGAATTGAGATTGCAGGACACACTACCACCCTGAAAACTGGAGAGAGGAAAAATACAGAGAGGAAGCAGATCAGCTTACCTGAAGCAGAGGCCGCTGGAATCTGTGACAGGTAGGAACATTTAAACCGTACCTTTGATGACTTACTGGAAGCTGAGTGTGGACCAGATTGAGAGCCTGGTTTGAGGGAGGTCTCCACGCTTCTGTGTGTTTTATCTCCAGGAGTCCCACTAGGTTCCCACAATGAAGATCAGAGAAAAACAGTGAAAAAATCCCTCACGTTTGTTCAAGGGAAGAGAAAGTAGCCATTCTGATGTAAGCCCACAGGTTTGTCCATAACAAAGATCTACCCAGGAAGGGAAAATACTTTACTAGTTTCTTCTCCCAAATGAAGAAAAAGAAATACCCAACTCCAGCTCCCTGTAGCCTTCCTGTCCCACTAAACAGAAGATATAAAGCTTAGAGGCATCTTAGAGGTAACAGACTCCCTAAAAGACTAAAGCTTAATCATAGGATTACAGAACACCTCACCTTTTCCCACATCTTACTGCATTATAGAGCTCCTGTATAATAATAGTGGATTACAGCTAAAAGAGCTATAAGATTTAGTTTTATTTAAGAAGGAGTTTCTAGGGAAACCCAGAGACAACCAGGGAGACAAAAACAAGTGTCATTAAAGTAAATGTGAGCCTCTGACTCCTACAGCTGTATAAAATGGTAAACACAACCTAACTCCTAGCCTGATAAACAGAAAACTTCAGTAAATGCATATCCACCTTTGTTGTCATTATCCAAATATGTCATGTTCAGTTTCCAACATAAAACTACAAAACGTGCTCAAAGACAAATAAAAACACAGTCTGAAAAGAAAAAACAAGCATCCAGACCAGACTTAGATATGGAAGAGATTTGGGAATTATCAAGCCAGGTATTTAAAATAACTACATATATGCTAGGGGCTGTAATGGAAAAAGTAGACAACATGTAGGATTAGATGGATAATGTAAGCAAATAGATGAAAAATATAAGAAAGAATTAAAATGAAATGATAGAAATCAAAATAATCACATCACAAAGAAATAAATTGTGATGGCCTCATCAGTTAGTTGAAGAAAGAATCAGTGAGCTGGATGTATTGTCAATAAAAAATTTTCTCAACTGAAATGCAAAAAAAGATAAACAAGCCGGGCACAGTGGCTCACACCTGTAATAAACAGGCCAGGCATGGTGGCTCCACTTTGAGAGGCTGAGACAGGCAGATCACTTGAGGTCAGGAGTTTGAGACCAGCCTGGCCAACATGGTGAAACCCCGTCTCTACTATAAATACAAAAATAAGCTGGGCATTGTGGTGTGTGCCTGTAGTCCCAGCCACTCGGGAGGCTGAGGCAGGAGAATCACTTGAACCTGGGAGGTGGAGGCTTCAGTGAGCCAAGTTCATGCCACTGTACTCCAACCTGGACAGCAGAGTGAGACTCTAAAATCAATGAATCAATCAATCAATCAATCAATCAATCAATAATAGAATATCCAGGAACTGTGAGACAATTTTAAAAGGTATAATGCATACAAAGTTGGAAAACCAGAAGGAAGAAAGTAGCAGAAAAATTGTTTGAAGTAATAGTGATGGGAAATTTTCCAAAATTAATGACAGAAACTAAACCACAGGCATAGTAATCTCAGAGAACAACAACCATCATTATCAAAATATCTATCTAGGCATACCATATTTAAATTGAAGAAAACTAAAGACAAACAGACAGGCTTAAAAGAAGCGAGAGGGAAAAATCAACCACCTTCTCTACAGAGAAACAAGAATAAGAATTGCAACAGATTTGTCATCAGAAACTACGCAAGCAAGGAGAGAGTGGAATAAGATCTTCAGGGTTGAAAAAAATAAAACTCCACCAACATAGACATTTGCATCAAGCAAATTTTTTTCTCAAAAGTAAAGGAGCAGATATTCTCAGACAAGCAAAAACTGAGGAAATTTGTTGTGAGCAGACTTGCTTACAAGAAATGTTAAAAGAAGGCCAGGTGCAGTGGCTCATGCCGGTAATCCCAGAATTTTGGGAGGATGAGGCAGGGAGATCACTTGAGGTCAAGAGTTCCAGATCAGCCTGGCCAACATGGTGAAACCCTGTCTCTACTAAAAATACAAAAATCAGCTGGGCTTGGTGGTGCACACCCATAATTCCAGCTACCTGGGAAGCTGAGGCACACGAATTGCCTGAACCCAGGAGGCAGAGGTTGCAGTGAGCTGAGATCATGCCACTGCAATCCAGCCTGGGCAGCAGAGTGAGACCCTGTCTCAAAAGAAAGGAGGAAGGAAGGAGGGAAGAAGGGAAGGAGGGAAGGAGGAAAGGAGGGAAGAAGGGAAGAAAGGAAGGAAGGAAGGAAGGAAAGAAGGAAGGAAGAAAAGAAGGAAGGAAGGAAGGAAAAAAGTTCTCCAGAGAAAAGAAAAATGATATAGGTCGGAAACTCAGATCTACATAAAGAAAGGAAGAATAATAGAGAAATAATCAGTGAAAGGTAAATGAAATCTTTTATTTTTGTAATTTCTAATTGATCTAAAAAGATAGCTGTTCAAAGTAATAATAGCAACAATATATTGGTTGAGTATAGCAGATGAAATGAACAGGCTGGTATTATAAGAGATAAGAGGGATGAATTGGAAATACTGTGGTATAAGGTACCTTCACTACCTATGAAGTAGAGAGGTATTATTTAAAAGCATAATTAGATTATTTTAAAATGTGTATTACACTCAAAAGCAGCCACTATTTTTATCAATATATAATAATTGTACATTTTTGGGTGGCAGATGTGATATTTTGGTACCTGTAACATTGTACAACATGTACCCTGATACCATGTACCCTAATACAAATCAGGGTAATTATATTATCCATCACCTCAAACATGTATCTTTTCTTTGTGATGGGAACATTATAGCTTTTTCTCTTCTAGCTATTTTGAAATATACAATTATTGTTTACTATAATTTCCCTACTGTACTATTTAACACCAGAACATATTCCTTCTATCTAATTGTATTTTTGTACCTGTTAACTTTTTACCTCCCACACCCCATCCTCCACCACATATAATTGATATGCTAAGAGAAGAGGGAACATGGAGTTATATCAAGTGTTCTATTAAAACCAGCAAAGGCAGAAAAAGAGGGGAGGATAAGAAAGAAAGAGCAAGTGCAATGAAAAGAGAAAGAGCAAGTGCAATGAATAGAAAAAGCTACAAACATGATAGATATTAATCCAGGTATATCAATAATAAACTTAAATGTGAACAGTTTAAATATACTAGTTAAAAGACAGAGACTGTCACATTGGATTATTTTTAAAACAAAGCCAAGATTTATCTATGTGTTCTCTATAAGAACCCCATTTTAAATATAAATACACAGATAGATTAAAAATAAATGCATGGAAAAAGATATACTATTCTAACACATTAACACTAATCAAAAGAAACCTGGAGGATCTATATTAATTTCAATCAAAGCAGACTTTAGAGCAAATAAAATTGTCAGAAGTAAAGAGGAGCATGGCATAATGATAAAGGAACAAATTCTCCAAGAAGAAATAACAATCTTTAAGGTGTATACAACTAACTACAGAGCATCAAATTACATGAGGCAAAAATAGATAGAACTGAAAGGAGAAATAGATAAATCCACTATTAAAACCGGTGACTCCAACACCCATCTATCAGTAATTGACAAATCTATCACACAAACATCAGTGAGGATGCAGCTGAACTGAACAACACCATCAGTAACTGAATCTAATTAATATATGTAGAGTACTCCATCCAGTACAGCAGGATGCATTCTTCTCAAGCTCATATAGAAAATTCACCAAGTAGACTACATTCTGGGTTGTATAATACACCTTAACAAGTTTGAGAGTGTGCTGTCAAATAACAATGGAATTAAATTAGAAATCATTAACAGAAAGACAGCTCAAAAAATCCCCACATACTTGAAGATTAAATAACACACTTCTAAATTATACATGGGTCAGAGAAGAAGTCTCAAGATAAATTTTTAAAAATATTTTAAACTAAACAAAATGGTAATATTAAAATATTAGGACACAGTGAAACAGTGCTTAGAAAGAAATACAGAGCATTGAATATGTATTTTAGAAAAGAAAAAAAAGGATCAAAATCAATAATTTAAGCTTCTACCTTGGGAAACTACATAAAGAAGAACAAAATAAACCTAAAGCAAACAGCAGGAAATAATAATAAAAATTAAAACAGAAAATGGTAAGATTGAAAACTGGATGTTAATAGAGAAAATCAGTTCAACCAAAATCAGTTTTTTTAGAAAAAATCAATGAAATTCATAAACCTCTCATCAAGCTAACCAAGAAAAAATGGAAAAGACACAAATTACTAACATCAGAAATGAAAGAGGGAACACCATGATTGAGCCCATGGGCATTTAAAGGAGAATAAAGAAAATTATGAATACCTCCATGACTCCAAATTTGATAACTTAGATAAAATTGAAGTGGGGTATTTCCCTGACCCCTTCACAGGACATGCAAAGGGGTGCCTTGTTGACTCAGCCTGCAGTACTCAACTCCTTGTGAGAGGGACCATGCAAGCAAACGAGGCAGGAAGTGGAGTGTGTGGTCACTGGAACTAGACGGCTGCTTTGGTGCCAGCAGAGGCAAACTCCACTCACTTGGACCTGCTGGGCTTCCCCCTTTGTGGGAAGGAGCACACAGGTGAGCAGGAGCAGGAGCCAGGGCAAGCAAGCACTTTTGGGAGCTGGCAGGAGTGAACTCCACACAGGGCCCCATAGCAGCATCTGGCAGAGAGGTGCCCATATCCCCAGAAACCCCAGAAAAAGTCTTACAGTGCTCTTTTAGCTCTGTTGACTGCAGATGGCTTAAATGTTACCAGCTCAGTATACTCTCTGCCTTTTCTCATGAGGCAGCTGCCTTCCATCAGTGAGGGCAAAGTGTCAGTGTGACAGCCTTTTGCATCTAGACTTGTGGTAGCTGAGCTCTTGTCTGAAATCTAGGAGAAATGAAGTCACACAAATGAATCGAAGGTTAGTAAATGTGGGGAATTTTATTGCCAATGAAATTGACTCTCAGTGGGAAGGGGAGCTGAAAAGGGGACGTGATGGAAAAGTAATCTTTCTTGAAGTCCGGCTGTCTCCAGCCAGATTCTTCTCTGAAGTTATGTAATCAAGCTGTCCCTCTGAAGTCAAGCTGCTTCTCTCTGATGTACAACCAGAGTCTCCAATGTCCAACTGCTTCTCTCTGCCAGCTGGGTCTGGGGTTTTTATAGGCACAGGATTGGGAGCAGTGTGGGCCATGGGTGGTTTTGGAAAAGGCGATATTCAAGCGGGAAAACAGGGATG
This sequence comes from Homo sapiens, assembly GCF_000001405.40. Taxonomy (NCBI): domain Eukaryota; kingdom Metazoa; phylum Chordata; class Mammalia; order Primates; family Hominidae; genus Homo; species Homo sapiens. Next base: position 26,329,551 of record NC_000016.10, read on the forward strand.
TAAGTTCTCACTTTGGGCTGTGGTTTCAGGTTTTTGGGCTTGAGGGTGGGGCCCTTGCTGGGGACCCTCCCTCTTCTACCTAGAATTTCCCTGCCTTCTGTCCATATCAAAATCAATCAATTCCTTGAAAGACACAAGCTACCAAAGCTCACACAAAGAGGAACAGATAATCTAAAGGGGTCTATATCTATTAAATACAATTTTTTTTGGTTAAAAATCTTCCTAAAAAGAAAAAATCCAGGCACAGATAATTCCATTGCTTAATTCTACCAAACATCTAGGGAAGAAATGATACCAATTTTGTACAATGTGTTCAAGAAGATAGAAGCAGAGGGAAGACTTTCTAACTCATTCTATGAAACCAGCATTATGTTAAGACCAAAACCAGATAAAGACATTATTTTAAAAAATCTATACACCCACGTCATAGATGTAAAACTCCTCAACAATATCTTAGAAAACAGAATACAAAATATATAAAAAAATATAAAATATACATAAATATATATATAAATATATAAAAATAATTATACACCTCAAGTAGGGTTTATTCTAGGCTTGCAAGGCTGGTTCAACATTAAAAATCAATTAATGTAATCAATCATATCAACAGGTTAAAGAATAAAAATTGTATGATTATATTAATAGATGTAGAAAAAGTATTTGACAAAACCTAACATCCATTCAAAATACAAACTCTCAGAAAACTAGGAAAACAGGAACATTTCCAAACTTCCTCAACTTGATAAAATTATCTACAAAAAACTCCAGCTAACTTCATACATAATGGTGAGAAACTTGATACTTTCACCTCAAGATCAGAAATAAGGAAATAATGTCTCCTCTTGCCATTCCTTCTCAACACTATCTCAGAACTTGTAGCTAATGGAATACCATAAGAAAAGAAAATAAGAGGTATACAGATGGGAAGGAAGAAATAAATTATCTTTGTTTGCAGATTATATTATTGCCTATGTAGAAAATCCCAAAGAACTGGACAAAAAAATCCAGAACTAATAAATTATTATGGCAAAATCAAAGAATGTAAGGTCATTATACAAACATCAATTTGCCCCCAATATGGTAGCAATGAACAACTGAAGTTTGAAATTAAAAGTAAGATATAATTTGCATCAGCACCAAAAAAAGATCTCACAAAATGTGTGTAGGATCTATATGAGAAAAACTATAAAACTCTGATGGATGACATCAAAGATCATTTAAATAAAGAGGTGTTCATTTTCCTTGATAGAAAGACTTGATATAGTTAAGATATCAATTCCTCACAACTTTACAATCTGTAGACTCAGCACAATTACTACCAAAATATCACCAAGTTATTTTGTGAATATTGACAATTTGATTCTAAAGTTTATATAGAAAGGCAAAAGAAACAACTATATAACTCAAGACTGAAGAATAAAAAAGTCAGAGAACTAATGCTATCGGATATTAAGACTTACCACAAAATGACAACAATCATGTTAACAAGGTATTGGTGAAAGAATAGATGAATGATAAATGGAAGAGAATAGAGTACCCAGATGTAGACCCACACAAATATAGCCAACTAATCTTTGACAAATGAGCAACAATAAGACAATGGAGAAAGGATAGTCTTTTCAAGAAATGGTACTGAAACTTCTGGACTTTGGTATGCAAAAAAAAGAGAATCTTTTATAAAAATTAGCTCAAAATAGATGTTACACATAAATTGCAAAATTACAAAACTTCTATAAGGTAATGTAGGAGAAACCTGAGGTGACCTTGGGTTTGGTGGTGAGTTTTTAGATTCAACATCAAAAGCACACTCAGTAACAGAAACACAATACAAGTCATGTATCTGTTAAAGAACTTTTATCCAAAATGTACAAAGAACTCTTAAAACTCAACAGTAAGAAAACAAATAACCTGATTAAAAATGAACAAAAGATTTGAAAGACACCTGAAAAACATATACAGAGAGCAAATAAGCACACAAAAAGATGCTCAGTCCCATATGTCATTAGGTAACCACAAATTAAGACAAAAGTGATAGTACTACACACCTGTTAGAATGGCTAAAACCAAAAAAAAAAAAAAAAAAAAAAAAACTCACAACACCAAATGCTGGCAAGGGTGCAGAGAAACAACACTTACTTGCTGCTGGTGGGATGCTAAATGGTGCAGCCATTTTGGAAGACAGCTTGCAGCTTCTTGCAAAGCTAAGCATAGCCTCACTATATGAGTGTAGCAATCACGCTCCTAGCTATTTACCACAAAGAGTTGAAATTTATGCATGCACAAAAACCTGCAATGTGAACGTTTACGGCAGCTTTATTTGTAATGGCCAAAGTCTGGAAACAACCAAGATGCTCTTCAATAGGTGAATGAATAATCTTTAGTATATCCATACAATGGACTATTATTCAATGGCTAAAATGAAATGAGCTATCAACCCACAAAGAGACATGGAGGAACCTTAAATGTATTTCGCTTAGTGAAGAAACCAGTCTGGAAAGCCTACACACCATATGATTCTAATTAGATGACATTTTGGAAAAGACATTACTATAGACAGGGAAACAATCAGTGCTTGCTGGGGGCTTGGTGGAAGGGCACGTGCATGACTCCTGTAGTGACAACTCCTGCTGAAAGCAGGCTCACAGGCAAAAATTACAAAATAAATTATATTAAAGACTACATAAATACTGGGAGAATTTACTACCAAAGGGAGGGAAAAGATGAATAGAGGAAGCATTAGAGATTTTCTGCGTGGTGAAACTATTCTGCATAATACCATAAGGGTGGATGCACGTCATTATTCATTTGTCAAAACCCATAGAACCAGACAACATAAAGAAAGGAACATCATGTAAACGAAGGACTCTAGTTAATAGTAATGTATAAAATTGTAACAAATATGCCACACTAATGCAAGATGTTAATAATAGGAGAAATGGTATGCTAGAGGTAGAGAGTAGGGGTGGGGTGCATATATGGAAGTCTGTATTATCTGCTCAATATTTCTGTACATCTAAAACTGTACTAAAACTGAAGCCCATTTAAAAAATAAAAAATAAAATTAGCTGAGTGCAAATGATGGTTTAAGCACAGCAGTTAAAAAAATTAAAACAACAACAACAACAACAAAAAACAAAGGTGGGGGGCTGGGCACGGTGGCTCATGCTTATAATCCCAGCACTTTGGGAGGCTGGGGTGGGCAGATCACCAGAGGTCAGGAGTTCGAGGCCAGCCTGACCAACATGGAGAAACCTGTCTCTACAAAAAAAAAAAAATACAAAAATACAAAAATTAGCTGGGCGTGGTGGTGCATACCTGTAACCTCAGCTACTTGGGAGGCTGAGGCAGGAAAATCACTTGAACCCAGGAGGCAGAAGTTGCAGTGAGCCCAGAACCCACCATTGCACTCCAGCCTGGGCAACAAGAGCAAAACTCCGTCTCAAAAACACACGAACAAGAAAAAGGAATTCTATTAATTTTTTTGTAAAGCTTGCCACAGCTGCCAAAGTAATCTATACCTTATTCCTGATAAGGGATGCCATTGGTAGGTAGGGGTGAAAATATCTTAGAAATGCAACCTTCCTTCTAATTCATTAATATTTCTTTTCAGAGGTTTTACGGGTGCTTTAGCTGTCTTTTTGTGTCTTTTTTCACCTGGTGACAAAGAGCTGCAATTTTCCTACCTATCAATTTGGCAGTCTGTGTGACATTTGATGGAACAACTTATGGAGTATGGTGGTGCTTATATTTCTATAGTCAGTCTTCCTGGGTTCAGTTTCAGCCCCATGACTTAACAAGCCTATGAGTCTGAGTTTTAACAAATAGCATAGAGGAAATGTTAATATTTACCTCAAAGATTGTTGTAAGGATTAAATAAACTAATCTCTGGTTCCCATTAGATGTGTTCAATAGATGTGAGCTGTTATTTTTATTATTTATATAAGTCTTACCCAATGCTTACATCAAATAGGGGAAAGATGAAAGATTCCAGCTCAAATTATTTCTGGACTATCAAAGTGCATAAAAGCAAAACTAAGATAGGATGCTTAGAAGCTGTGGAAACACAGCCGAGAGGAAAAAAAAAGGAGAGAAATACAGGTCAGGATAGCTTGAAATCTCCTCTGCCCTTGATCTGGGCATCCAATATAGCTCACCCCAAATCCCTTTAATAATCCCCTTCTGTAAACTTGACCCTAACCTTGTGCTCTCCTGGGCAGGAAATAGTGATAAAGTCTGAGGTTTTACCTCTAAGGTTCTCGGTGACCCCTGGCCTGAGCCTCCACCTCTTGAACCTGAAATCACGAAGGGTCAAGACCCTGATTATTTCTTGTGCTCTCTCCCTCTCTCTCGGTGTTTATATTTTGCTCCACATGCCTGGGGCCCATCAAAGGGAGAGGAACATGTTCAGAAAATAAATAGCATTGCTGTCTTATGCTTTGCTTGCTAGAAGCTGTTTATATAATATAATCTGGTTTCTTCACTTTGGGGAACTTAAGGCACAGAAATTGCTTTCCCTCAAGTCTTAATATCATAGGACTCAAAAGAGACCCAAAAGAACTTCATGGGACCATGGTTCCCTCCACAGACATGTTGCCAAATAGTTTCTTTCCCTTCATGTTTGAAAGTTGCTTCTTCAATCAACATGCCAAAAACATCTTCAGAAGCACTGATACTCTGTTGCCTCGGGCTGCGACATGTGGCTTATGCTAAATTCTTTTCTCTCTCTCATCCTTGCTAGGCTGCATTTGTAACCAAGCCGTGGTCCTTTTCATTGCATCTTGCCAGAATGAAGAAGAGCTGATCTCTCCAGTTCCTGTTATTCCCCTTACATTGCCCACATTTATTGCTCAATAAACCACAGAAATCCTTCTGTAACCCTCGTTCTTCTCCTCTCTTCCCCCTTTCACTATTGAATTTAAAACTCATGCATTAGGCATGTGCTTTGTGATATTTGTGTCACCTCTCTAAACTGTAGTGCAAAAAAGAGGAAGAAAAGGCATCTGCTCAAATTGACATTTCCATCTCGGCTCACTCATTTGAGAGTGACAGGCTATAATTTGCCAACAGGTTCACATCCAAATGCATAGGTTAGTGCTGACATCAGGTGATTTTTCCACCATTGCCATCTCCAGCTCATGCATGCTACACAGGAGGCCACGCTTAAGTCAGCAGATATTGCAGGGAAAAGGAAGAGAAAAAAAGGAGAAAGCTCTTGATTTCCCTAAGCCTCTTAATGCACCAAACACAATGATATACTTAGGTCTATTTGGTGGAGCAGGTGGGTGGGTCAGAGCATGCATTGGAATGCTGTGTGGGTTGAGAAAACTGGGTTTTCTCTTATGTGCACTCAATCTGTGCAAACACACTTACCCTTTGACTCTGTGAGTAAACAGACTTTTTAGCCAGGAAAACCAGGATCAATTCCTGGCTCTGAAGACCAAGACCGAGGTGAGAGAGGAAACATAGTTCCCTCCTGCTTCCAGTGGTCTTTCCCTATCCAGTTACGTGCCTCCACCAGCCACAACAAGGTCCACTTGCTATTAGACTGGTGCAATGAATGGCAAAAAACACAATTACTTTTGCACCAACCTAGTAACTTGTACATTGTCTGGCCAAGAAGAGAACGTGTTTATTACTTTCTTTTTCTTTCTGTTTCTTTTCTCCCTATTGCTTCTTTCATCCTCCTCCTTCCTTCTGGATTCAATTTTCTTCTTGCTGGGTTATAGCCTTTAGAGGTTCTCTCAGCAAGCATCTCTTTGGTAGTAAATTCTCCTAGTCTTTTCATGGTCTTTAATAGAATTTTTTGGGGTAATTTTTGCCTGTGTGCTTGCTTTCAGCAGGAGTTGGTATTAACAGCAGTCGTGCACGTGCCTAGGTTTAGGAGGACTCCTATTGTCTGGTTTTATGGTTGTCTCTGCAGAGGTTCCTCACTTCCTGGCTAGCTTTTACATTAATTCCGTGGCTCGAAGTTTCTACCCCGTGTCAGGAGGTACAACTCAGGCTCATCTACTACATACACCTCATGCAGTTCCAGGGTTCTAATATTTTATGAGTCACTACTTTCCATCAGCGATTCAGGCAGACATTCACTTCTGGGCTCTGTCCCAGAGCTGGAAGGGAAGTTTCTCCTCCCTGTTTACAGACTCAGCATGTGTTTCCTGGTGCCTTACTTTACCCAGGAATCTTCATTCCTTCTTGTAGCCTTATAAGGGGCCACAGACTTGAAGACAGTTTCTTTCCAAGAACATTACAACCCCAGCCCCAGAGGGTCAAATTCTGTTCTTTACTGAGCCTGGGAAGCCTCTTATCATCTCTAGATTACCTGAGGGGCACCCTTTTTAACTTTGACCTCAGATTCTATTTTATTGAATTAAAATTGTTTATTTAGTAACTTTACACTTTACAGCATAGAGAAGGTTTTGCATAAAGTTTTGTTTTGCCTTATTGACCAGGAGTCCTGCACTCACTTTTCTGCCCCTGTTTTTTCGACTTTCATGTATCCCTTTGAAGCTTGGGACAACATCCAGGTTTGCAATTGTGCCATCTATGGACTACCTTACCAGTCAAGACTTCAGCTAGTGATGGGCTTTTAAGCCCTTACTGCATTGACGTTATGAAGTCAGAGACCCAAAGACATTTTGAGCAACACTTGTTTGGGGAACCAAGATCTCTGTGCAGGTTCACAAGCGCATGGTTAAGCTCTGACCTTTACCAAGTCTGGTTCTGCTTCCATGGGAAGCTACTCAAAAATGAGAGAAAAGGAAATGAGATGAGGCGGCTGCACATGGAAAAGAACGTCCAGCATTTTGGGGCTGACCATGGATAGCATGCGTTCTATCCCTGCTGTAGTACATTGTTTCCTGCTCAATCCAATGCCTCTCTTTCTTTAAAGACAAGAAATGTGTTTATGTCATCATTGTCTTTGGCAACCAAAAGAGTGAGTCAGTCTTCACAGTCCAGAGTGGAAAGAAAGCAATAATCAGATATCAGAACTAGGGAATAATATCTTAGCAGCCAACCTAAGGAAAAAAAATGTTTGATTAGAGACACCTTAATGACCAGGGAATATATGGTTACCATCTTTGCCTCATACCAACTTGCTTGGTCCACTTGAATGTTTAGCAAATATTGCTTTGAAAAAACTTCCTGGTTCAGGTGACATTATAAGATAAGCACCACATAAATCCAGGATGGACAAGGAAAGAGGCTTCTGAAAAGAGGATGGGACTTGGCAAATAGAATATAGCTCCTGTCTCTGAGAGGTACCCCATCTGGTAGCAGAGGGTCAAACAAAACAGTTTCAAAGCCTGTTTTCCCTACAGCAGCCTGTAGCATCCAAGATTTTTGGAAGAGAAAGGACATTTCTTCTGGACGTTAGCTTTCTTGTCTTTCCCCCAGGCATCTCTTAGAGTAGGGAGGGAGCTCTTCTATTTGTTGACTGCTTAATCTCTGCCAGGCAGGAGTTCTATCTATTTTTAACACATTTGACAGAGTGATCTTTTAAAAGTAAAATTAGATCATTCTATTCTCCTTTAAAAACTATTCAAGGGGTATTTTCTTTGCATTCAGAGAGATCCAATTTTTTATCCTCACGTACGTGATGTGATCACTGTTTTCTCACCTGTTTTGTAACTTATAGCAGCTCCCTCTGCTCAATACAGTTCAGCCTCTTTCTGTTTCTTGATGTCTTCCAGCTCATTTCACCCCAGGGCCTTGGTGCCTGCTGTTCCATTGGTCTGGGGCCCTTTCGTTCTTATATTATCATCTGGTTGGCTCCTTGGAGTCATTGAATCTCAACTCAACTCAAATTTTGTTTACTCGGAGAAGGTGGCCCTGAAGCCCTATCAGGTTAGCCCTTCTTGTCACTAACAACATCAGCCTGTTTTATTTTCTTCATGGCCATCTCCATTATCTGAAATTATGGTCTTCATTTATTTATTTCCCATCTCTCTTCTCTACTGTAATGTAAGCACCACCAGAACAGGGGGTTCTGATGATCTGATTCACCACAGCATCTCCCGTGCCTAGAGCTGTTCTGGTCCTTAGTAAGCCTAGTGGCTGAAAATATGGCCTTTGTAGCCAGTTGACCTGGGTTCACATCCTGGCTAAGCTACGTGACCTTTCTCCTGTTGCCGAACCTCTCCAAGCCCTCACTTATAAAATGGTAATAGTAATCATAATTCTTATCTCATACAATTGTTCTAAGGATTGAAGGAGTGAATGCATTTTTTTTTTTTGAGACAGAGTCTCGCTCTGTAGCCCAGGCTGGAGTGCGCTGGTGCCATCTCAGCTCACTGCAACCTCCACCTCCTGGATCCTGGTTCAAGCAATTCTCCTGCCTCAGCTCCCAAGTAGCTGGGATTATAGGGACACGCCACCATGCCTACCTAATTTTTGTATTTTTAGTAGAGACGGGGTTTCACCATGTTGGCCAGGCTGATCTTGAACTCCTGACTTCGTGATCCGCCCACCTCGGCCTCCCAAAGTGCTGGGATAACAGGTGTGAGCCACTGCACTCAGCCAAAGATGTATTTATTAAGACTCACTTGGACATGCAAAGATGTGTAGGCACCTAGACACTCATCTCTAGGTGAAAATTTCATGATCTTCATACCATGTTTACACACATATATGCTCACATATGGTATACAAACATACACTCTCGTACTTACCCACTTGGTCACATAAACACATACTTCATATATGGATGCATACACTTACTCGTGCTTACTTTCTTATTCACACACAGATATGCTTTACACCTACATAGAGGCTCACATACTGTCAGAGACAGACTTGTGTGACTCCTTGACTTACATTCGTACACATGAAACACCTTCAGCTTAGGCCAGAGGAGTAGTCACGAGCTTTTGCCGCCTCTCATTTCTAAATTCTGGAGACAGGATGAGACCAAAAGGATGTCTTTAAGGGACAGATAGAGGGAATGGATGTGATAATCCATTTTTGAATAGCACCTGGTGCATAGTAAGCACCCAAGAAATATGAGTTATTATCAACGATTATTAATCTGTTGAATGAATGAATGAATCTGGTGTTTTCCCATACGGATTTCATTGACTTCTCATAGCAAACGTGATTCCATCCATGTTATGAGTGATGTTAAGAAAATTGACTGGGTTTTCACAGCAAGAATGACCTGGGTAAGGATTTCATTCCACATCTACCAGACTGTGAATCTCGGTCCCTCTCTTATGATTCCAAGCCCTCTCCCCTCCCCTCTGGTGTCACCCATTTCTGTACTGTGCCTTGGCCCTGTGCTGGGTCAATTTTTCTAAAACCTCTTGCCCTGGTGTCTTCCTAGCTGGTGTCAGCTTGAGGCTTGATCTTGAATTAATTCCCCTTTTGCTGCTGTGTGTGCTGCGGACTCCTCCACTCAGGTCTGCTCATTTCAGCCTCTGTCTCAGCAGTTCCTGATGACCCCCAGCAAGGAACAACAAAAGGGATTTTCGAGGAAGAATACCACATTGATTCTTCCACTGCGTCTTGCTATGGAAATGGAAAGAGTGGTAGTGATTCCCCTGGTCTCATCACCCTGATTGGGTCTACCTTCACTGAATTGTTCTTCCCAGCAAGGTGGCAGAAATGGCCCTAGTGTTTTTTTATAGAGCTGCCTTTTATCTCCACTTAGTGTCAACTTCTGCATTCAAGGTAGAGTGGGAAAAAAACATAAAAGTAAACATTCCTCTGGGAAGAAAAAGGCCCAAGACTTCAAGTCAACATGGTAAACAATGGCATAATTTTTCATCTAACCGGGTTCTAGAATTCGTGAACTTCAATCAGACCCATGTTGCAGCATTTGCTTTGATATGTGCCGTGGAATAATACTTCACACTTCCCTAGGGAATTCAGGGAGGGTGATTATCACATCCATTCCCTCTATCTGTCCCTTAAAGACATCCTTTTGGTCTCATCCTCTCTCCAGAATTTAGAAATGAGAGGCGGCAAAAGCTCTTGACTACTCCTCTGGCCTAAGCTGAAGGTGTTTCATGTGTACGAATGTAAGTCAAGGAGTCACACAAGTCTGTCTCTGACAGTATGTGAGCCTCTATGTAGGTGTAAAGCATATCTGTGTGTGAATAAGAAAGTAAGCACGAGTAAGTGTATGCATCCATATATGAAGTATGTGTTTATGTGACCAAGTGGGTAATTACGAGAGTGTATGTTTGTATACCATATGTGAGCATATATGTGTGTAAACGTGGTATGAAGATCATGAAATTTTCACCTAGAGATGAGTGTCTAGGTGCCTACACATCTTTGCATGTCCAAGTGAGTCTTAATAAATACATCTTTGGCTGAGTGCAGTGGCTCACACCTGTTATCCCAGCACTTTGGGAGGCCGAGGTGGGCGGATCACGAAGTCAGGAGTTCAAGATCAGCCTGGCCAACATGGTGAAACCCCATCTCTACTAAAAATACAAAAATTAGCTAGGCATGGTGGCGTGTTCCTGTAATCCCAGCTACTTGGGAGGCTGAGGCAGGAGAATTGCTTGAACCAGGATCCAGGAGGTGGAGGTTGCAGTGAGCTGAGATGGCACCACCGCACTCCAGCCTGGGCTACAGAGCGAGACTCTGTCTCAAAAAAAAAAAAAAAAAAAAGAAGAAGAAAAATAGAAAAATCATTATATGAGCATGTTTCCCAGTATATGAATATATCTGGGCATGTGTAAGTACTTGCGTATATACACCTTTGAGGTCTGTGCAAGTGTGTGCATGAGTGAAGAGCTAAATGAATGCATTTGTGAAAGTGCATGCTTCTGTGCAGGTGTGAGAATATATGTCTATTTCCCTATAGGCTGTGACTACATGGGTAAACAGAGGTTCGGGTCTGCTGAGGATGGAAGAACAGGCCACACCGTTCTGACTATTTTTCCATGTCACCCTCCTGGGCTGTGGAAACAGAACAGGGCTTTAGAATTAATCTTTTCCAGTAAACTCGACTCTGAAAATAGTTCCGCTGTAAAATTTACCTTGCCTTCTAGAAAGGCCCATCACATCTGTGCTCTTTTCCCATAGGTCCGAGGAAGTTCCTGAGATAACTTTGTGAGTGGTCCACTATTTCTGCATTTCACAGCATTGCTATACTCCAAACTTTGTTCTACTCATTGTTCAACTCAATGCCTTGAACCTGGCATATAATAGATGCTGAATACATGAGTTATAATTGAAAACAATGTTGATTATTCTTTTACAACTAAACTCTAGCCATTTACAGATTTTAAATAAAGTGATCCATAACATTGAATTCTTCCTGAATGTATTATCGAAATGTGAATTATGGATTATGGCATTCATCATTTGCTTCATTCATTATTCACTCAACAAACACTCACTGAGCACCCACTATACTCCAAGCTTGGACTTGGACACTGGAGATGCAACAGTGAACAGATGCATTCCCGTAAGGAAACCAATCAATAGGAAATTATCATACAGAACAACCCGTCCTGAGTGGTCAAAGTAAGAACCATAAGTTGAATCCTCAACGTCGTTTTAGGACAAGAACAAGAAACCCAAGAAACTCTTCATCTTTGCATTTGGGCTAATAAGTTCTTCAGATTCTTCTAAACACGCTCCCCCATCCTGGCTCAGTGGTGCCCATAAGACTCCCTGGGTTTCCTTTCTTTTCTGTTTTCTTGGCTCTTCCCAGCTCTCAGACTGAGCATCTATCATCAGGACATCAGGGAAAGTTCAGCTGATGAGTGGCAGACACTGATGCTGTCCCTTTAGTGGTAGAGGCTTGTTTACCTGCTTTCTGTGGCCAGGTAGGGGGTAAATTAGTGCCCTGTGTTCTTCTCCTGTCAGGCATGGGTGAATGGCTAAGCTCCTTCCTTTTCTGAGGCTGCTGGTCAGGCCCCACTGAGCAGCCACTTGGCACTGCTGAAACCAAAGAGAGAAATAATGAGCCACCATCAGGTTCTCTAGATTCTGAGGTATGTCTGAATATGCTCTGGTGAGGGGTGAGTGAACAGTGACCCAGGGGAAGGGCAGAAGGATCTGAAGCTGTGAGTGCAGGCACAGGGTTCCTGTGGGAAATAGACACCTAGGACCCCAGGTGGAGGTGAATAAAAAGGAGCTCCTAAAGACAAGATGCTCAGAGACCCTGGGGAAGAGGAGCAGGTCAGGAGCCCCGCAGCTCAAAGTTGTATAAGGACACACCCAAAGCGCTTTGAGGTGGCAGACAGACAGCTGGAAGCAGATCTTGGAATAGATGTAACAGAAATAAAAAATGGAAATAAGTCATGCTCAAAAAACTGAGACCATGATGCTGGCTCACAGAGCAGGAGGCAGCATCTGTAGGAAAGGGATCTTGGGAGCATCCTTGTGTCTTTCCTCTGTTCATCCATGTCCCACAGACCACAGGTTGGCAGTGGGAAATGAATCAGGCCCAAGAGTGCCTCATGTCCTTTGCAATTCTAGCAAGAAAATGAAATTGTCAGAGTTACACTCCGAATCCTGAGGACCTGACCCCTGGCTGTAGCATCCTCTGCATTCCTGTTGCTTCACAATCTCATCACTGACTTCGACCCCAGCTTTCACAGCCTTCCTCTCTCCTTCAAGCCACATCTTCACCAAGGTGGCACCAACCAACCATCCAATAGACACCAAATTAGAGACTCAGTGAGTCCAGGAGATTCAGGGTGCATCTTGTGTGAAAGAGCGTGACTGGCATTTCCACAGGGAACAGGTCTATATTTTTTACAAGATTATCAAAGAGTTGTGGGATCCCCACCTCGCCTAAAAAAAGAAACATTCATGGCCTGGTGCAGTGGCTCATGCCTGTAATCCCAGCACTTTGGGAGGCTGAGGCGGGCAGATCACGAGGTCATCAAATCAAGACCATCCTGGCTAACACAGTGAAACTCCGTCTCTACTTAAAATACAAAAAAATTAGCTGGGCAAGGTGGCTCATGCCTGTAGTCCCAACTGCTCAGGAGGCTGAGGCAGGAGAATCGCTTGAACCTGGGAGGTGGAGGTTGAAGTGAGCTGAGATCACGCCACTGCACTGCAGCCTGGGTGACACAGCGAGACTCCGTCTGAAAAAAAAAGAACCATTCACTGCCCTAGACTGTCAGTCCCTACCTGCCTCCCTTCTTTAGTGAAGATTCGCCTCCACCTGAATCTCATCATGAACTTTCCTATCATCGTCCGCATTGGTCCCACCCCTGAAGCAGTAGTCTCTGGTTTCCCTGACCATAACCTTTGGTCCAAATAGCTTTCTCACTTCTCCATGCTAAAGCAGATAATAAAGAATTATCTGCTTTATCAGCTGGTTGAAGACTTCTAGGCCCCTCCCTCCCCTCTGTCTTCCAGCCTTTCTACCTTCTGACCTGGCTTCCGACTGCATTCGGTCTAGGTTCCAAGGTCAATTACTCAGCCACCCTCTTACCAGCATCTTCAGATTCCCAGGCTCCTTGTCTCTTTTGTAGACCTACAAATACATCGGAGAATGCAGAATAGTGTTCTGCCACCCCCTAAAATTCAGAGGGTAAAATCTCACCCAGGCACCCACGGCATCTCAGTAATTGTGTTATTTAAACTTGGCCATCTCTTTTCTTCATTTATCTTGGCAAATCCTCCAAAATTTATCCACTCTTCCTCAAATCCCTCTATAATGAACTTCCAGCTCACATCCTTCTCAAGGAATGGCCTTGCCTTTTTCAAGAAAAGAGAGACCTGGAGGGATAAACTACCTCAACTTCCTGCTGGCTCTGCCTATGGTAGCCCTCTGTTGACAGGTGAGAAACGAGGATTAGAGAAGGATAGCGCCCTCTCCAACCACTTACAGCTAGCTAATGGCTGCAATGGAGAATGTCTCTACTCCTTTAGGTCATCTGGAAATGCTTTGTTCTCTCTATTTATTATAATTATTCTTACTGTTACGATTATGATAATTAGATAGGCTTTATTCTCCATTAAAACAACAGATACATGCTGAATGACTACTGTTATGGTTTGGCTGTGTCCCCACCCAAATCTCATCTTGAATTGTAATCCCCATAATCCCCACATGTCTTGGGAGAGATCTGGTTGGAGGTAATTGAATCATGGGGGCGGTTTCCCCTATGCTGTTCTTGTGATAGTGAGTGAGTTCTCATGAGATCTGATGGTTTTATAAGTGTCTGGTATTTCCCCTGCTGGCATTCACTCTCTCTCCTGCCGACCTGTGAAAAGGTGCATTCCACCATGATTGTAAATTTCCTGAGGCCTCCCCAGCTATGTGGAACTTTGAGTCAATTAAACGTCTTTTCTTTACAAATTACCCAGTCTCGGGTATTTCTTCATAACAGCGTGAGAATGAACTAATGCAACTACTATGAGCCATTTCTTACAATGTGAACAGTCTGTCATGCTGGCCAGCCCAAGCAGATCTGCGGGTCCGAGGATAATTGTAAAAGTGTGCAAATCCACAAGCAGTAAGTGTTCACAGGCATGCATGCTCCATGAATCTACATCTGCTCTCACAATGCTTACATGCACACACACACACACACACACACACACACACACACAGGGACACGTGTCTACAGAACACAGACCTTCTGCAGATGCAGATTCATGCGCAGGTGTGCAGGTAACTGCAGCTGCTGATTGCTTGTGTCTGGTTTTATCTGCCACCTGTCCTTGAAATACTTCCCACTGATGACCACTGCATTCCACCTGTGAGTGGAAAGGCACAATGAACTCTGCTTAACAGGTTCATGAATTTACCAGGCACTTACTTAAGATGGTTACACCACATTATAGCAAATGGCTTCTGGGGGCTCAGGAAGGGCTGTATTTACTTTCCGAGAATTACCATTAGTCCTGGATGGGAAGGTGCTAAGAGGCCGCATTAGCATGGCTTTGGTCAGTTTCACTCCCCTGAGCAGTTGCAGAATTCATGTGGGGTTTATTGATGGGCCAGTTATTCTTTAATGGGTTTCCAATTTGACTCCTGGGATAATGAGATGGGTCTTTAGGGACCATCTGTCTCTCTCCCACGGTTGTGGGCAGCTCTGAGGAGCCTGACTCCTTAACTAGCAGGTGATGGAGTGGAGATGGGGCTGAGTGTAGCACAACCTATTTGTCTCTCCCGGAGCTGAAATGCTCCCCAGAAACTCCTTTCTCCTCTCTGAGACCCCTCCTCAGTTGACATATTTGAAAGTCAAGCAAGGCTCTGCCTCAGGTAGTCAGGGGATTTGTGTCCCAGCTCTGCTGGACAAGCTTAGGCAAGTAACCAAACCTTTCTGAGTCCCAGTTTTCTCTCCAGTAAAATAAAGACATGCACCTGATAATACGTGGCATGAACTGAGGATCTACTCTGTGCTCAGCACTGTGCGAGTTTTCAGCCTAGGAAGGGACCCAAATCAGGCAACATCTCTATCCTTATGAACAATGACAAAAACAAAAACATACTGAATCACCTTAATGGATGCATGATTCAGGCTGATATAGGTGCTGGGAAGACAAGAAGCAGGACCGTGAGCAAGAGCCATGTCCTTGTCTAGGACTCCGAGAGAGTGACAGTGGAGCTGAGAGCTGAGGGGTGAGCAGGCATAAATACGTTGGAGGAGGGTGGTGAGAGTGTACCAGGCAGAGGGAACAGCTTGCGTAAAGGCCTGGAGACTGGAGGGAACATGGTGTGTTGCAGAAGCTGAAAGAGAGCCAGGAGGACTGGCATGCAGAGAAGGAAGGGATGGAAAGGTAGGCAGAATGCGGATCCTCCAGTAATTTATACTAGGACACCTTGTTAAGGATTTGGTCTTCATCTCAAGAAAAATAGACAGCTGTCAAAAGTTGTAAGCAGAGGGAAGACTCCATCCTATTGGCATTTCAAAAAGATCGCTCTGGGCCAGGCATGGTGGCTCATTCCTCTAATCTCAGCACTTCAGGGGGCCAAGGAGGGAGGATGACTTGAGCCCAGGAATTGAAGACCAGCCTGGACAACACAGTGAGACCCCTACTCTACAAAATTTTAAAAATTATGTGGGCATCATGGTGCACACCTGTGGTCTCAGCTACTTAGAAGGCTAAGGTGAGAGGATCACTTGAGCCCATGAGTTGGAGGATGCAGTGAGCTAGGATGGCACCACTGTACTCCAGCCAGCCCAGGCGACAGAGCAAGACCCATCTCAAAAAAAAAAAAAAAAAAGGAGACTATTCTGGCTGCAGTATGGACACTATATTGGAGAGGAACCAGAGAGGATGTTGACAGACTGGTTACAAGGCAATTTGTGCAAAAAATGATGGAAGCCTGTCCATAGCAGGGGCAGAGAACACCGTGAGAAGTGATATTAAGCAATTCATTGAACTGAATTTGAGCAGAGAGGAGAGAAAGCTGTCAATGATGACTCCTATATTTCCAGCTAATTCCTCACAAGGCCACTTAAAGATTAAGTGAACTCATGTGTGACTAGTGCCTGGCACACCGCAGGTGCCCAGTAAATGCCAGTTCTTGTCCCCCTGTGTCCTTCAGTTCTTTGCCACTTGATTCCCACTGACTCCTTCACAGCCATGCAAAGCTGGGACTCTAATCCCTGTTCCCTTCTCCTAGAGTGTTCTAACCTTATCATTTTTCTAATTCAGTGCTGATGTGCCAACAGGCAGCCTTGGCTTGGCAGAGCTGCCAGGGAGAAGCCAGGCACAGCTTGCGGCTGGGAACAGTTGCGCTGGGATAGTCCTTGGTGGGTTGATCCTCCTCCTGGCGGGTCTGACTAGGAGAGCTGCTGCTTTGTCACATTGATGGGCCAAGTCCCCTTACTCCTTTGCAGAAAGGAGAGGACATTTGATAAATAGGTGAAGGAGGGACACAAAACAGAATCGGAATGGAGAAAATAATAGAATTTGTGGATGGAAGAAACTGCACCCTTGGGGCTGTGTAATCACGCATGAATCCCCCCACTCTCCTAGGCTCCAGTTTTCTCATCTTTAAAATGGGGTTTATGATAGTTTTTATAATGGAGTTCCATTGTGAGAGTAAATGAGATCCTGTGACGAAAAAATGGTAAATAAAGTATAATGTGGCAAAGAAATAATTAATGTGTAAATGGCCGGTAGGGTGGCTATGAATTCAGTTAAACCTGAGCTCAAACCCAAATTATACCACTTCTGACCTGCATGTTGGAGCGGGGCAGATGAGTTACTATCTTCTCTGCACCTGAGTTTTCTCATCCACAAATAGAGATTATAATATGTAGCCCATAGAACTATGGTCAGCCTTAAAAGGGAAACCCCAGGTCCCCAATCTCGTGAAGTTTATAGTTTTAGATAGAGAAAGAATAAACAAATAAACCTATAAATCAAAGATTAGAGCAGGTGTGGTGGTTCATACCTGTAATTCCAATGCTTTGGGAAGCTGGGGTGAGAGGATTACTTGAGGCCAGGAGTTCAAAAGCAGCCTGAGCAACATAGCAAGACCCTGCCTCTACAAAAAAAATTTTTTTAAATTTTAATTAGTTGGATGTGGTGTCTTATGCCTGTCGTCCCAGCTCCTAGGGAGCTTAAGGTAGTAGGATCGCTTGAGGCCAGGACTTTGAGTCCAGTCTGAGCAAGAGCAAGAGACCCTGTCTCTACAAAAAAATTTTTTTTAAATTTATGGCTGGTGCCTGTTGTCCCAGCTACTGGGAAGCTTAAGGTAAGAGGATGACCTGAGGCCAGGAGTTTGAGTCCAGCCTGAGCAACATCGCAAGATTCTGTCCTACAAAAAAATAAAAATAAAAAAGATTAGCCAGGTGTGGTGGCATGTTCCTGTAGTCTCAGCCACTTGGGAGCTGAGGTAGGAGGATCGCTGGGGTCAGAGGCTCCAGTGAGCTATGATTGAGCCACCACTGCACTCTAGCCTGGGTGACAGACTGAGACCCTGTCTCTTAAACAAAAAAAAAAAAAAAAAACAAAAGCAAACAAACAACAAAAAGAAATGAGGTGAAAAAAATGAACAAACATAAATCAAAGATTAGTTGACAGGGCGGTTTAATTCTCTGAGGAAACCAAAACAGTGTGAGGTCATAAGAGTGGCTACCTTGGATGGGGTGTTCCTGGGGGCTTCCCTGTGGACATGACCTTTGAGCCCAGACCCGAAGGAAAAGAAAGGCCAATGACTCAAAGATCTGGAAAGATAATTCTCAATCCTGGCTGCTCATTAGAATCACCAGGAAATCACCTCCAGACCAATTGCAACAGTATTCTTTGGGGTAGAACTTGAACATATGTATGTTAATATCCAGGGGGATTTTGACACAAGATGAAGGTGGCCAATACTGAGCAGGTACAAGATGCAAGATCTCAGGAGTCTACTATTGCCTGACATCTAGTAGTATCTTGTGTTTATTTGCTAGAGCTGCCGTAACTCATATGGCAGTTTGGGTGGCTTAAAACAGTGGTCTCCAAATTTTTGGTGCCAGGGACCAGTTTTGAGTAAGACATTTTTTCCATGGATGAGGCTGTTGGGGTGGAAGGTAGTGAATGGTTTTGGGATAAATCAAGCACATTACATTTATTATGCACTTTATTTCTATTGTTATTACATTGTAATATACAATGAAACATACAACTGACCATAATGTAGAATCAGTGGTAGCCCTGAGCTTGTTTTCCTGCATCTAGACTAGATGGTCCCATTTGCGGGTGACGGAAGACAGTGACAGATCATCAGGCACTAGATTCTCATAAGGAGTGTGCAACCTAGATCCCTCGCATGCGCAGTTCACAACCAGGTTCACACTCCTATGAGAATCTAATGCCACCGCTGATCTCACAGGGGGCGGAGCTCAGGCAGTAATTCAAGCAATGGGGAGTGGCTGTAAATACAGATGAAGCTTCGCTCACTTGCCTGCGCCCAGTTCCTAAAAGGCTATGGACAGTACCAGTTCATGGCCGGGGAATTGGAGACCCCTGGCTTAAACAACAGAGATTTATTTTCTCACAGTACTGGAAGCGGAAGTCCAAGATCAAGGAGTTGGCAGGGTTGGTGTTTTTCTGAGGCCTCTCTCTTTGGCTTGCAGATGGCCACCTTCTTGCTGTGTCCTCACAGGCTCATTCCTTAGTCTGTGTTCTGTGCATCCTAATCTCTCTCTCTTTTTTTTTTTTTTTTTTTAAGACGGAGTCTCGCTCTGTTGCCCAGACTGGAGTGCAGTGGCGAGATCTCGGCTCACTGCAAGCTCTGCCTCCTGGGTTCACGCCATTCTCCTGCCTCAGCCTCCTGAGTAGCTGGGACTACAGGCACCCACCACCACGCCCAGCTAATTTTTTTGTATTTTTAGTAGAGACGGGGTTTCACCGTGTTAGCCAGGATGGTCTTGATCTCCTGACCTTGTGATCCGCCCGCCTCGGCCTCCCAAAGGGCTGGGATTACAGGCGTGAGCCACCGCGCCCGGCCCCTAATCTCTTCTTAAAAGAGCAACAGTCATACTGGATCAGGACCCACTCATGTGGCCTCATTTTACCTTAGTTACCTATTCAATGGCTCTCCCTGCAAATGAAGGCACATATTCATATTTAGGACTTAGCATATAAATTTTGGAGGGGACACAATTTGGACCATAACACACCTAATACATGCAAGTTTCTTCCTTGACCCTAAGCTTCTGATTGACTTTTTTATCTACCTCCCTAAATTGACACTGTCTGCCCTCCCTTCTGTGTGGCTCTGAGAATACTTTTCATTATTCCAGCATTAATGGTTTCCAGAAGTTTGAACTACAAAACATCCAAATAAGAGTCTTATTTAGAGCCCTTATCTCCCAGGTAGAGACAGTGCTTCAAAGAGGAAGGAACTTGCCCAATCCTTCATAGATAAAGGCCCGGGAGCAGGTCAATACTCCCAATGTTATTGCTGCCACAATCTTTGTTCTCCTTATACCTGCAGATGCAGAGGGGCAGGAAAAGTCCACTAGGCCAGCTCTGCTACTTATTATGTGGCTTTTGGAAAGTTAGGCCACCACATTGAATGTTATCTATAAAAAGGAGGCTATAAAATGATGATTGTGAGATGCATGCCATAACGAGAAGGCTTCTCACAATGACTGTCCTATAGTTATGTGCTCCATAAATGGTGACCGTCATCATCCATGTGATCCTCAGTGCTGTGCCTTCTGATGGGTGTGAGGCCATCCTGGGAGGAAGGAAGGAGCATCTGACTTCTCAGGGTTTCCAAGTCTGGTGTGACAGTGCCTCCTTTGATTCCAGCTCTGGGTAAGAGGAGGTTATGCCCAGGCAAGGATGAGCAGAGTGAAGAGGACCTGACATCAGGTAACTGTATAGCCACTATCTTCACAAGGACAGTGGTCCTCACACTTTCTTACAAATGCATTTCTCTCCTCTGCCTCTGGGCTATTGTCAGAGCTGAATTCCAGGCCAATGGCCATGGGACATTGTCACATGGGATTTAAACAGGAACCTGTGAGAGTTTCCCTGACATCTTGTCCGCCCTGCGCTCTATGAGGGAGGTGGAGGGAGAAAGTCTCTGTAGCCCACTGGGGCTGTGACATCAGGACTCAGCCATGTCTGCAGGGTTTTCCTCCTCTCTGACACTCCAAAGGCTTCATTGGCAGATCAGCAGAGAAAGTAGCTTCCTTTGCTGAAAGGCTTAGGAAGAGACGGTGACCTATTTTTGCGAGCTTTTCTGATGAGGTCTTCATGTGGGAACTTCTGCCAAGCAATGAACTCACAAACGGTGGGTAGGGTTTTCCGGGCATCCAGATGAAGAACAAAGAGACCTGGTGTTTTCCAAAAACACACTCTTGCTTTCAATATGGAAAAAGGAATGAATCCTCACATCAAAAGCAAGAAGGAAGGCAGCCTGTGTGGGGGTCCATTTCTCTAAGTCCCTTGCAACCATTTTGGCTAATGTCCTTCTCTCCCCATTTGTCAGTTATCCAGTCCCTGAGCAAGTTCTGACAAAGACAAGAAGACCAGCAATAGTCTTCCACCAGGAGGTTGGTCTGGAATGAGAGTTGCTTCTAGAGAACAAATACTCAGTCTGATGGATATGACACTATGTCTCAGCATTCCCTTCACTAAGCTTCCAAGCTCAGCGCCAACTGGATTTAGAGCTCAGACTACAAAGCAAATACGTCAACTGTTTCTCAGATGCCTCCAGTCCCCTTTTCCCCACAGGGTTTATATCATACACTTTCCATTCTCAGAGTCAATGAGGCTGCTGCGGGCTGCAAGAGACAGAAGACGCAACAATGTGGCTTGAGCCATCGGTAAATGTACTCTCTTCTTAAAGCAAGGTCCAGAGGTAGGCAGTGTTGAGGAGAATTCCACAGCTCAGACATGCCAAGGACAGGAGCTATTATAGTCTTCAGTCCACCCTTCTTGGAATATTGAGTTTTCCTCCTTATGTGTTTTTTTTTATGGTTATAAAATAGCTGCCACTGCTCCAGCCATTGCCTCTTTACCAGACAGCATCAAAGCAGGAAGCAATAGAGCTCTCTACTCAATCCACTTTTAACTTTAAATATAAATGTTCGATGATGTATAACACATGTACAAAGAGTACACACATCAAAAATGCACATTAGATGACTTTTCACAGAGTAAACTGAGGCATGAAACAAAGCACACAAACCATGATACAGAACATCACCAGAAGCACCCTTGGCCACATTCCAATCTCACTGCCCCCGAGAGAAATCACTAACCTAACTTCAAACACCATAGATACGATGGCTTCCTTTTTTGTTGTTGTTAACTTTTTATAAATGGAATCACACAACTCTTCCTTTTAGGCAACTGTCTTCTTCTGTTTCCTGAGATTTATCCACATAGCTGAGACTATCTATAGTTTGTTCTTTCTCATTGCTATATAGTGATCCTTTCCACATATCTAACAAGATTTATTTATCCAATTGCTGATAATTATTTGAGTTGCTTCTAAGTTTTGTAGATCCTGAATAGTGCTGATGTGACTTCCTGGTGTGTATGTTTTGGTGAATATATAACTTAGGAGTGGAATGGCAGGGTCATAGAATTTACCTCTCTGTTTCCATGAAGGAATGTCTTTCCCAGAAGGCCCCAGCAGACTAGAAACAAGCTTACCCTGGAACAACCCACCAGCCACAGCCACAGATTGCCTTGACCTTGATTGGCTTAGAGATATAATTTATTTCCTGTGGTTGGGAACGTTGCTTTCTTTTTTGTTTGTTTGTTTTGTTGTTGTTTTTGTTTGTTGTTTTGTTTTGTTTTGTTTTGAGATGGAGTCTCACTCTGTCACCCAGGCTGGAGTGCAGTGGTCCCATCTTGGCTCACTACAACCTCCGCCTCCCGGGTTCAAGCGATTCTCCTGCCTCAGCCTACTGAGTAGCTGGGATTACAGGTGTGCACAACCGCACCCAGCTAATTTTTGTATTTTTAGTAGAGACAGGGTTTCACCATGTTGGTCAGGCTGGTCTCAAACTCCTGCCTGCCTAGGCCTCCCAAAGTGCTGGGATTATAGGAGTGAGCCACCAGACCTGGCCGGGAACGTTGCTTCTTAATCAAAACCAGGCATCTGGAGAGAGTAAGAAATAGGCATGGTTTCATGTGGGCACTGTCACACGCTTTTATCTCCTGCTGATTATTAGCTCAGGTTCTTCCATGAAATGTAGGTTCACCTGGAATCACATCAGTGTCACTCACCTGGGCACCTGTCCACTGCTCTGCTTTTCCTAGAAGTGTGGTCGAAATTTCCTGTCACTATCTGCCTGCCCTCTACCCAGGGTTTGTCTCTAATTGTGTTTTTTTTGCCAGAACCATGCCTGAGCCCTCCTTGACAGGTAGGCCTGAAGATGCTGTCCGGGAAGAATAATAAATATAGACCAAAATCGCCTGGCACGTGCCTTATCTCAAGCCCTCTATCTGCAATTCTATCCCATCAGGCACGCTTCCTTTAGTGAATTTTCTAAGTACCTCTATTTCAAGATCCCAATGGGAGTGATTTTTCTTAAAAGGGCACATCCTCTTTCAGTATCACCCGGCGAAAAATCCTGAACAATCTCAAGCTGATTCTAGGACAGTTTTGAGTAGGTTATCATGGGATTTCCCCCAAAGTGTGAGTTCAGTGTAGTATTTTAGCAGAATTTTAATATTGCAATAAGGGTGGATTGACGTTGCATCCATTTGTATTCTCATTACAATAAAAGAATCAGCATGGTATTAGAATTTTACTGCCTGTGATGTTTGGTGAATTACAGGGAGGTCTAATACGATTTCCCACACTATATTCTGTTTAGATTGGCAGGTTTCTGTGGCCATTTCTCAATAGACTGATAAAGCACTAGATAGAGGATTAGTGCTCTTGGAAGCTGAGAAAGGAGGTGATGGGGTTGTTTATAGCTTCTGGGGATGGATTCTGATGAAACAGCCCAGAGAGAGTGAAACTTTCACAGCATACAGAATGCCAAGGACTCGGAACATAATATAGGGAACAGCCCCACTCCATCGAGTACTTCCCCCTGGGGGTCCAGGACCAGAACAATCAGAACAGAGATACTAATGAACCTCCCCTTGGACAACATCATAAGAAGATATAAATCATACCCAATGTCTCTGGAGGAGATTCATTCTTTTTTTCCTGCTAGAGGGACACTTCAGATTGGATTTAACTAGCACATGTTAGACAGCAGCAACAACATGCACTCTCAACACTCACGATCTCATTCCATTTTCACACAGCCCTGTTGAATAAGCTCTTACTATTATGCTCCCCATCACCAGTATTGTTTTAGATAACGTTTCCAGGAAACAGACCCTGAAATGGAGAATTGCATGCAGAAGGATTCCTGAGGATTAGTCTCTGGAGATCAAAGAAAGTAAGGAAGTGAGGGAGGCAGGACTGGAGAGGTAGAGAAGCTGACCTGCAAAGTGGCTACAATGAAGCTCCTGCAGGGAGATCCAGAGTGGGGTGACCTTCTGAGTTCTTGCAGACAGACACAACGGTTCTGCTCCTGTGTCTAGGCACATCAGTTGCTTATTGGCTGGGGGCTACCCCATGAAGGGACATAACCTTGCACGAGGCAGCTCCCTGCTACAAAGGACAGTACTCAGTGAGGGACATGGAGGTGAGAGGTCAACAGCCAATATTCTCAGCACCTGGGTGATGAGTGTGTCAGTCCTGATGAAGGAATCTGGGCAGAATTCCACACTGTCCACTGACATCATCATCATGGTCATTTAATGAAAGAGCCTCAAAAGAATTAAGCAAATGACCCAAGGCCACATAGCTGGTGGGTGGACCCTCAGTTGCTCTGACTCCTGAGTCAGTAAGCCCTCTCTTCCCTGCCATTGCCTCAGTCTCTCCATTTCTCTCAGGAGTCTAACTAGGGAAGCAGGTGGTGAGGTAGATGATAAAGGAATGGAAACTCTGAGTCAAGGAAATAACAATTCAGATAGAAGAATGCTAGGAACACCTTTCATTCAATAAACACCAGTACGCACCCACAGTATGCCCAGCATTATTCTAAATGCATGGGTATGATATTAGGAAGACAGACAAGGTTCTCTTTCTCATGGAGTGTTTATTCTAGTCAGATAGGTTTATATTCTACAGAGCCTAGAATATGATGG
Source organism: Homo sapiens (assembly GCF_000001405.40). Lineage (NCBI taxonomy): Eukaryota > Metazoa > Chordata > Mammalia > Primates > Hominidae > Homo > Homo sapiens. Next base: position 26,354,103 of record NC_000016.10, read on the forward strand.
ATAAAGTTAGTAGTAGCTGAGATTGGTTGAGTTGGACATGGGATCTCATTCGAAGGAACAGGAAATGTCCGTATTATTTATACTAATTGAGGTTATATCATATTTGGCTACATATAACAGGAAAACCAACTGATAAGAAGAAGGCTTATTCATTTCTGTTCCTTAAGTATGGTGTTTATTAAAAATAAGAAAACATGTGGCCGGGCACGGTGGCTTATGCCTATAATCCCAGCACTTTGCTAGGCCTTGGCGGTCAGATCACCTGAGGTCAGGAGTTCAAGACCAGCGTGGCCAACATGGTGAAAACGTGTCTCTACTAAAAATACAAAAAAATTAGCTGGGCGTGGTGGTAGGCGCCTGTAATCCCAGCTACTTGGGAGGCTAAGGCAGGAGAATCGCATGAACCTGGGAGGCAGAGGTTGCAGTGAGCCAAGATCACACTACTGCACTCCAGCCTGGGTAACAAGAGCGAAACTTCATCTAAAAAAAATAAAAACAAAACAAAACAAAACAAAACAAAACAAAACATGCAAGGTCATATTATATGCTGGGTGTGCAGGTAGACAGAAAACCCTACACCAGCATGGATGGCAGACTTCTGTTCTCTGACTTCCACTTCAGACTGGATTTTGGTGTAGTATGGGCTAAGTTGACATCTGGCTTAAAATGAGGAAGCAGGAGATGCAACAGATGAAGTTAAGGCAATAATTCAGTCTGTCTCATGTAGGTAATATTGAATGGCAAGGAGTATCTCTTGTCATTAGAAACACAATTGCTTAGCTGGGCCTGGTGGCCTGAACCTATAGTCCCAGGTACTTGGGAGGCTCAGGCAGGAGGATCACTTGAGCCCAGGAGGTCAAGGCTGCATTGAGCTATGATTGTGCCACTACACTCCAGCCTGAGCCACAGAGTAAAACCCTGTCTCAAAAAAAAAAAAAAAAAGTAAATAGAAACACAATTGCAATTGTAGCTGGGAGTGATAGCTGTTACTTAATGAGATTTAGGCCTTTGCACAGGTTTGTCATGTGGTCTTGTCTTCCCTCTTTAGAAAAGGAGGAGCTCTTTCATGATGATTTCCTCAGATGTTTGTTCACAGATAATATAAGTCTCAATTGCCAACATGCATTGCTTTCCAGGTTTGTGAGCTGGAGTCTCTTCAGTAAATGGCAGATAAAAGTATTTGAATATATCCCTGAAAAAGAAACTTCCATCTACCATCTAGTTTTGTGTGTGTGTGTGTGTGTGTTGTGTTGTTTTGTTTTGTTTTGTTTTGTTTTTAGACGGGTCTTGCTCTGTTGCCCAGGCTGGAGTGTATGGAGTACAGTGGCGCAATCACAGCTCACTACAGCCTTGAAGTCCTGAGCTCAAGTGATCCTCCCACCTCAGCCTCCCGAAGTCTATCTAGTACTCCTTTGATTTTCTTTTGCCACAATGTAGCAGAGCAGACCTACATTGGATTTTGGTTTTTGTTTGTTGGTTCTGCAGAACTTGCATTCCCACATAAAGGTAGAAGGGATTCTTGGCTGTCTGATAGAGAAGATACAAAGATTCCACTAACTTTGGTCTCAGTGGGTAGAAGAAAACATCAGAGACTTGGAGACACCAGTTAAACTTCCTCGGAAGGGTTATCCATCTTTTCCACACAGCAGAATAAAAAGTGTGGAGGAAAATGCCAACCCTTATTAGAACCTCAGCCCAGGGAATTAAGCTTTGCACAGTCAACTCAGGAGTTTATCAGCTGCCCACTGGACATAGTTCTTTCAGTCCTCCTGATCTTTCGTTAAGTAAGTCTGAATATCCTGACATGTTGCCATCTTAGTCTAGTTGGGTTGCTACAATAAAATACTCATAGGCTGGGTGGCTTAAACAAAAGAAATTTGGCTGGGTGCGGTGGCTCACACCTGTAATCCCAGCACTTTGGTAAGCAGAGGTGGGTGGATCACCTGAGGTCAGGAGTTTGAGACCAGCTTGGCCAACATAGTGAAACCCTGTCTCTACTAAAAATACAAAAAATTAGCTGGGCGTGGTGGTGCACACTTATCCCAGCTACTGGGGAGTCTGAGGCAAGAGAATCGCTTGAACCCGGGAGGTGGAGGTTGCAGTGAGCCAAGATCGTGCCATTGCACTCCAGCCCAGGTGACAGAGCAAGACTCCATCTCAATATATTTATCTAGGTCCTAGAAGTCCCAGATCCAGTTGCCAGTCAATTTGGCTCCTGGTGAGAACTTTCTTCCTAGGTTTTGGGCAGCCACCTTCCTGCTGTGTCTTCTCATGGTGAAAAGAGAGGGAGAGTGAGCTTTCTTGCATCCTGTCTTACAAGGACACTAATCCTATCAGATCAGGGCCCCATCCTGTGGCCTCATTTGACCTTACTTACTTTCATAAAGGCCCAACTTCCAATTATAATCACATTAAGGTTAGGGCTTCAACATATAAATTTAGGGGACAGACAGTTCACTCCTCTGCAGTAACAGCATTAAGCATGTGTAGGTCTTCTCTTTCTCCAAAGAAAAAGATTTCAAGAGATATTCTTTGAGGGAATCCAGCCCAGTATCCATGCCCCTGTGCTTTCTAACCCAATAGTCCAACTGAATGTTCACATGTGACTTCATAATTCCATATTATTGCTCCAGAGGTTCCAAAGAGCTTCTTGTAGACTTCCCTAGGCATTAGCTAAGAATCCCAAATTCCACCCACAGAGAGCCAGCTTCTGCTAGGCACTATTGTTGCCTATAGATTAGAGGATAAAGAATTTGGGTTTTAGTGTTTCAAAGCAAGGAGCAGTCACATGGCCAGGTCATGAGCCATGTGCAATAATTCATTATCATCATTCTTAACTGTCACATCACCAATGCCCTGCTTTGGGTCCACTATTATTATACAGTAAGGTAGAAGACTTTCTGGGATCCCTATTACAGCTTCAAAGACTTTGCAGTTCAACAAACTCATACAAAAATGCTCAATATTACTAATCATTGAGGAAACGCAAATCAAAACCACAATGAGATACCATCTTGCAAGAGTCAGAATGGCTGTTATTAAAAAATAAAAGCATAACAGATGCTGGCAAGGTTGTGGAGAAAAGGGAATGCTTACACACTGCTGGCGGAAATGTAAATTAGTTCAGCCACTGTGGAAAGTGGTCTAGAGATTTCTGAAAGAACTTAAAATAGAAGTACAATTCAACTCAGCAATCTCATTACTGGGTATATACTCTAAGGAATATAAATTGTTTTACCCTAAAGATAAGTGCTCTTGGATATTCATCGCAGCACTATTCACAATAGCAAAGACATGGAATGAACCTAAATGCCCTTCAACTGTGGACAGGAGAAAGAAAAGGTGGTACGTACACACCGTAGAATACTACACAGCCATAAAAAAGAATGAGATCGTGTCCTCTGCAGCAACACAGATGGAGCTGGAGGCCATTATCCTAACTAAATTAACACAGGAACGGAAAAACAAATATTGCATTTTCTCACTTACAAGCATGAGCTAAACACTGAGTACAGATGGACACAAAAAAGGGAAAAATGGACACCAGGGCCTACTTGACCGTGGAGGGTGGGAAGAGGATGAGGACTGAAAAACTACCTACTGGGTATTACGATTACCCGGGCGACAAAACTATCTGTTCACCAAACCCTTGCAAAACACAATTTACCCATATAACACACCTGCACATGTACCCCTTGAGCCTAAAATAAAAATTGAGAAGAAAAATAATAAAAATAAACTCATTGCACATTTAAAAAGAGAGTTATCATGGTTGGATTTTCTTTTTTCCTTAGTAAATAAAACTTCCATTATTTCACACTAAAAAAATGTAAAGAGATACTTGGCAGTTGGACTCTGTGAAATAAAGCGGTATTGCTCAGTGACTTCACCACTTTCTGGACCTCAAATTAACTTTTCATTATTGCAAGTGTATCCAGTGCAGCCACAAGCCCCAGCAAATAATTTCCTAGGACATCACTGACATTCGGACTTGAAGTGTCCTCACTGTCAGATCTGAGGCCACAGCAGTGAAGCCCGACTTCAGCATCATCTGGGTCTGGGGCTCTGAGAGCAACTGAACCTTTCTCCTTCCTCTGTTGTGCTGTGGGCTCCAAGGCAGGTGACAAATGGAAACCAAGTTGAGGGGAAAGTTCGGGTAGAGCCCGTGCTGGTTCCCAACCAGATGAGCCACAATACCCGTGGAGGCTGAGCCTAAGGGTCACCAGCCCCAGGATGAATGATTGAGAGTGCATGGTTGCCTTGATTTTATAGCATTATTTTAAAGAAAGAGGGCCTCCCCTCTCTGACCAACACACCCCAAACTATTGCAAAGCCCACCTCACTTCCTTTTTAATAAAGTCCCCTTGAACTGGCCTATGGTCTCTCACTCTCAAACTCTCAGATCCAGTTGGCCAGGCTCACCTTTGGCCCTTGCCCAGCCTCAGAGGAATGTGGCTTGGAATCAGGGAGATTTCTTATTACCTCTAGGGGTAGGAGTTCTCAGATCGGTGGAGGAGCTCAGAATATCCATCAGATCACAAAGTCCTTCTGTCTTCAAGTCTGTCATTCTCAGTGAGTCAGATTTATCTCCCACTGGATGCCAAAATGACCATAGTGGCGCTCTATCAGTTAAGGTAATGTAGTTGCTCTAACAAACAACCCTAAAATTTTAGTGGCAGTAAAATATGTGCTTTAAACAATATTTCTCTTTTGCTCATCATAGTCCAACAAGAGTTGATGGGAGAAAGTTGAGGCAGGAGCTCTTTTCCTGTCTGTCACTCAGAGATACAGGTTTTTCCATCTTGCTTCTACCCTATTCTAAGTCTGGAGTCTTCTCTACCCAGTAGAGAGGTTAAAAAAAGGGCAATATTCCCAACAGGAAGGTTTCATGGGCCAGGCCTGGGTGTGGAGAGCACTGCTTCTGTTGAAGATCTGGAACTTGGTCAGAGAGCTTCATCTACCACAAAGGAAGATAGTGAATGTAGCATAGGTGTATTGCCTGGACCAAGAAACCCAGGTATTAGGGAGCACTGCAGTGTGCCCCAGAATTTCCAAGCACCACGTCCTTACACAACAGCATTCAAGGTCAGGACCAAAGGCAGAAATCACAGGGCTTTCTTCATTCTTTCTCTCTTGCCGTCAAAGAGAAGCATCTTTTTCCAAAGCCTTCCAGAAGATTTTTTTGCCTGTGTCACACTGGCCATCACTGGGCCACCATTAGCAGCAAGGAAGTCTAGGAGAGTGAGTATCTGGCATTTTGTTCTCTAAGATGGAAAGTGGTTTCTGCCAGCAAAATAGAGCTGATTGGCTCTTGGTTGTTACACCAATGTGTGCCTATGGCTTAGAACAGAGTGTTCTAGCCAAGGTGACAAAGAAGATGTCAAAATCAGAAGAAGATGGGACTGGGTATGTGGCCAATGACCCAGGTGAGAAGGTCTTGGTTGTGGGATGGATTTCAGTCTTGTCGGGGAATTGCAATAAAAGGTGCAGAGGACAAGCACCAAGGCCGCAGGTAGTTAGATCAGGAAGCTGCAGCCTGCTTCTCACATAGATGCCCAGGGGTCATATTCCTGTCCCATGCCCCTCCGGGAAGAACAGCTGGGTTACAGCATTGGGTGAAATTGTTAGGGTAACTGGTCCACACCATTACTTGGTGTGTGTGGGGTAAGGGGATGAGCATATATATGGGGAATACCCTTTGACCACTTTGTCTATGTGTTCCATGGTTTTTCTTGAACCCATCCTCACCCAGTTCCCTTGGAAGCAATGCTTCCTGCATCCCACTACATCTCACTTTTCTCCTCTTCTAGGAAGAGTAGACTTTGACTATATCAGGAATGGGGATTAAATTTGCATTGCAGGTGAATTCCAAGCCTCCTTGTAAGTGAGAAAGAGTTTTATACTTACCCCCATGAGTGCTGAGACTAAGGAAATGATTACACTAACTTCTGTCTATAGAGCATCTCTTTTGTGCTTGAAGAGTCGTTTTCATCCTTGGCTATATATTGCCATCACCTGGGGTGTTTTAAAAGATTCATGCTCCAATTAGAATCTCTAGAGGTACAGCCTAGACATCAGTAATTTTTTAGAAGTTCCCCAGTGATTCTATTACCCAGAGAAGTTTGAAAACCATGGTACCAGACAGAGTTCTAAAGGTTTTAGATATATTATCACTTTTAATCTTCACAACCACCCGTTAAAAGAAGGTATCATCAGTTTCCTCATTCAAGAATGAATGAATGAATGAGGTTCAGTGAAGTTAAGCAACGAGCTAGGGTTTATACAGCAGGAAGTGATACTGGAATCCACACCTGGGTCTGTCGGACTCCTGGGGTCAGCCTCCCCACCACTTCACAAGGCTGCATCTATAGGAAACAGGTTGTTATGTCTGACAGCTGGGTGAGGCTGCAGTAGGCTTCGGCTGACAACACCCGAGATTGCTCCCAAATGGTGCCCCCCTGGCATTGTCTGGGGAAACCTAACTGCTGCAGTTGTGTTATAAAATTATCACTTTACCCACGCAAATGGGCCAGAGCGACCGGTTGTCTATTCCTGTGGTTGTCCCAGATTATTAAATGAACAGCTGCCTCCAAATATGTTTGCAGCCACTGAATTCAATGGCTGCGTGCATTTGCATATTCATGGCTCCCAACCCATGGCCCAGGCTTGCAGGAGTCCTCCAATGGGGCTCTGAAAGTTAATTTATCTTGACAATTTAAATAAATACACTTCCATCAGCTTTAGTGACTCCACTAAGTTTCAGTGAGCACTTTGACAGACAGGGAAGGCAGAGATGGAACGAGATGGGTGGGTGATGGTGGCGTTTGCTATGAGTCTCAAGGTTAAGGGCAGCAAGAGGAATAAACTATTGAAATGATGAACAAAGAACTCCACACTGGTCAATCACTTTCACTGAGAGCTCCAATTTGCTCATTTTACATTTTATTTTATTTATTTATTTATTTATTTATTTATTTATTTATTTTTCAGACGGAGTCTTGCTCTGCCATCCAAGCTGGAATGCAGTGGTGCAATCTCAGCTCACTGCAACCTCCTGCCCCTGGGTTCAAGTGATTCTCCTGCCTCAGCCTCCTGAGTAGCCGAGATTACAGTTGCCTGCCACCACACCCAGCTAATTTTTGTATTTTAGTAGAGGCAGGGTTTCACCATGTTGGCCAGGCTGGTCTCAAACTCCCGACCTCAAGTGATCCACCAGCCTCGGCCTCCCAAAGTGCTGGGAATACAGGCGTGAGCCACCACACCAAGCCTCATTTTACATTTTAGACCTAGGGCAAGCTAACTAAAAAATATATATATATAGTCATAAGAACACTTAACTTGAGATCTACCCTCTTACAAAATTAAGTGTACAATATGTTATTGTTGATCATAGGTGCAATGTTGTAAAATATCACAATTTCATAAATTTCTATCATTCTCATAACCTTGTGGAGTGGTGGGATTGTGATCCCAGAAGTCAGACAGCCCCAGGTGTGAATTCTAGCACCACTGCCTATTGGCTGAATAATTCCTAGCCAGTTACTTAACCTCTTTGAAATTCATCTGGAGCATTTCTAGAGCTGATTCATCTTGCTTGACTGGAACTGTGTCCCTTGGTTAGTAACTCATTTCTCTTCCTCCTCATTTCTGATAGCCACCATTCTACTCTGGCTCTATGTAATTGACTGTTTTAGATATAGATATATCCTAAATATGAACTCATGCAGTGTCTGTTCTTCTGTGACTGGCATATGTCACTAAGCATAATGTCCCAGTTCCTGAAGTTTCATCCATGTTGTCTTGGAAGGCAGAATTTCCTTCTGTTTCATAGCTGAATTGGATTCTGCTGTATGTGAGGACCACATTTTCTTTATTCCCTCATGCACTGCTAAATATTTAGGTTGTTTCTGCATCTTGGATGTTGTGAATAATGCTGCAGTGGACACTGGAGTGCAGGTATTTCTTCAAGATCCTGACTTCAGTTCTTTTGGATAAATACCCAGGAAGTGGGATTGCTGGATCATACGATAGTTCTGTTTAACTTTTTGAGGAACATCCATACTGCTCTTAGTGGCTGCACCATTTTGCATTCTTGGGCAAGCTTTTTGATTGATCTAAAACTTACTGTTTCTCACCTATAAAACGGGATTCATAAACTCAAATGCAGGGTTGTAGTGAGAATTAGATGAAACAATGCAATTTCCTAACTGCCATCATTCTTGTCTTGCCTTCATATACTTGTACTTCTGGGGCTACTAGTTAATTAATTTTCCCCTTTAAATTGAACCACTTCTTTTTTAATGTGAATATTATTTATCCATAACTTTATTAATAGCATCCTGCAGACTACAATAACATTGTCCTTTCCTAATGCGCATTAAGCAACAGATAACTTTAAAAACAGAGCTCTCTCAGCCAGCCGTGGTGGCTCACGTCCATAATCCTAGCACTTTGGGAGGCCAACACAGGCAGATCACTTGAGGTCAGGGGTTCGAGACCAGGCTGGCCAACATGGCTTAACCCTGTCTCTACTAAAATACAAAAATTAGCCAGGCATGGTGGCGGGCACCTGTAATCCCAGCTACTCAGGAGGCTGAGGCAGGAGAATCACTTGAACCCCGGAGGTGGAGGTGGCAGTGAGCCAAGCTCACCCCACTGCACTCCAGCCTGGGCAACAGAGTGAGACTCAAAAAAGAAAAAAAAAAAAACACAAAACAAAACAAACAAAAAAACAGAGCTGTCTCCTTCATGTGCCACCTCATTGGTGTGTGGAACGCAATTGCAGACACTCTACATGGAGAGAGTAAGACCACAGCTGGGCACCTGCACATGAGAAATAGCCAGTACTTATCTGTTTCACCTTCTGCTTAATGCCAGCCTCCCATGTGAAGACGGTCCTTACACAGGCAACACTGATTGAATCTGGGGTGTGGGGGCAGCTCAGCCACCATGCAGGAATAGAATCAGCTCCAGTGTTGCTGCAGCTGCCCACTCTTGTCCCTCACTGTGGCAGCTCTTGGTTAATGGCAGAGACCCGGGGCCTCGCTGCCCGTGCTACAGCCTGGGCTGTGCAAGCTACCAGGGAAGCAATCCTTGGCAGGCATCTCACCTTTCTGTGCCTCAGTTTCTTCATCTGCAAGGTGGAGATAATGTTAGCTACATCGTGAGGATTGAGTGATGTGCCTGGTGCAGAGAAAGTTGCCATTTAAAGGGTTGCCAAGCTAAAGGGATTTTTTTTTTTTTTTTTGAGACAGAGTCTCGCTCTGTCGCCCAGGTTGGAGTGCAGTGGTGCAATCGCGGCTCACTGCAACCTACACCTCCCGGATTCAAGTGATTCTCCTGCCTCAGCCTCCTGAGTAGCTGGGACTACAGGCCCACGCCACCACACCCTGCTAAGTTTTTGTATTTTTAGTAGAGACAGGGTTTCACCATGCTAGCCAGGATGGTCTCGATCTCCTGACCTTGTAATCTGCCTGCCTTGGCCTCCCAAAGTGCTGGGGTTAGAGTAAAGGGATTTTTTAAATGTCCAGATATGCTGATTCACATCAGTTTGTAGCCTCTCTTTTCTTCTCTCCCTCCTCTTTCCTTCCTTCCTTCCTTCCTTCCTTCCTTCTTTCCTTCCTTCCTTTTTTCCTTTATCTCTCCCTTTTCCCTCCTCCTTTCCTTCTTTCCCTTCCTTGTCCCTTCTTTCCTTCCTTCTTCTTTCTCTTTCTCCTCCTCTACCATCCTTCCTCTCTTCCTCCCAAGTGCTTTCCTTCCTTCCCACATCCATTTTTCCTTTCTTCTTCCCTCAGTCTCTGCCTTTCACACACCCAGAGGACCTCCTACACCTCAAGGAATTTAGTTACTTTCCTATACGTGATGCATCCTGTTTTCTCATTTCACAGGTGAAACTGAAGAGGCTGCAGCTTTGAGAAGACACATGATTTTCACATGTTCACACAGCAAGTGCAATAATGAGCTGACATCTTCCTAAATGCACACTAAAAATAATACATGCTTGTGAAAACTAAGATGGTTCCTCCATTGTCACCTAATGCATTGTGTACACCTGCGGTACATGTGCTTCTCCTGGAGAAATCATGGAATTGTGTTAAGGAACAAGCTCAGCCTCTTGCATTGGAGTGGCATCTTGTGTCTGAGTGTGTGTAAGAGACAGAATATATAAAGGTTAGATGCGTGTTCTGTGCAGCCAGACTCCTTGGCTTTGTCTTCTGGTTCCACTGCAATGCTTAGCACATCCCTTCTTGTTTCTCATCCTCAGTCTTTGTATCTGAAATGTGGGGATAATAGTAGAACTTACCTCCTGAGGCTGTTGTGTGGAATAAACAAGACAACAGAGAAGTGTTCAGCAAACGCCTGCTAAGTACCAGTAAATATGGGTGATTGTTATCATTATTCTGGGCATTACAGGGAACTACATTGCAGAAAGCAACTGTTCAAGTGCAAGATGATGCTTGCAGCAGTTGCAGGATCCAACCACTCTTCTCCAGTGTGAGGTTTGGCTGATCAAACTGCCTTTAGTCAGATCCACCTGCCACCTACATCTGTGTGACCTGGAGTAAATTCTTAACCTCTCTGAGCCACAGTTTTCTTATCTATAAAAGGAGAAGAATACTGGCACCTGCCTCAGGGTAGTGGTGAAAATCAAATAAAGTAACAGAAGAATTACTTAGAATAAAGCCTGATGCATAATACATAGTAATTACTTATTTATTATTTCTTTTTGGGACAGGATCTGCTGCCCAAGCTGGAGTAGACTGGCATGATCATAGCTCACTGCAACCTCAAACTCCTGGGCTCAAGTGATCCTCCCACTTCAGCATCCCAGGTAGCTGAACTACACGCATGTGCCACCATGTCAGGTAATTTATGAAAAACTTTTTATAGAGAGGAAGTCTTGCTATACTGCCTAGGCTGGTCTTGAACTCTTGGCCTCAAATGATCCTCCTGCCTCTGCCTCCCAAAATGCTAGGATGACAGGTGTAAGCCACTGCACCTGGCCACTGTTTTCTTTTTAAACTACTGCCTCTACTCTTCCCTATTATCTGATGCTCTCTCTCTCTTTAAGTAAACACACCTGGGGATGTTCCAGGTGTTTGGTGCTGGCAGGATCATCACCCCTTTCTCCATCACACACACAACGACACCACTACCAGCTGTGTGCTCTC